>NC_000011.10:71358726-71661756 GCF_000001405.40 Homo sapiens
GCTCTGCACTGGGGAAATAGCAAGAAGGTCCTGAGTCTTCAGAAAAGGCAGTGGTGAGCAGGGTGTCTGGGTCTAGGATGGTCCCCTCTACAGCTTCCATCTGCCCATCTGTCTGTCTATCTATCTATCTATCTATCTATCTAATCTATCTATCATCTATTTACCAACCTACCCATATGTCCATCTACTATCTATCCATCCATCCATCAATCCATCTAGCCATCCATCCATCCATCATCTTTCTATCTATCATCTCTCTATCTATCTATCTATATCTATCTATCTATCGTCTATCATCAATCTATCATCTATTTACCCACCCATCCATCTGTTCATCCAATATCTCAATATCTGTCTATGTATATATCCATCCATCCATCCATCCATTTATCCATCCATCATCTTTCTATTCACCCATCCGTCTGACTATCTGTCTATCTATTATCTATCTTCTCTCATCTATCTTCTATCATCCATCTATTATCTGTCTTCTGTCTTCTCTCTATCCTTCTATCCATCCACCGATCCATCCCTCATCCACCCATCTATCTTCTATCTATCGATTCATCTACCCATGATCTTACCTATCGTCTCTTTAGCTATCCATCCACCTGTCCATCTATTAACTGTCTTTCTATTTATTCATCCATCCATCTATCCATCATCCACCTATCAATTATCTATTCATCCATCCATCTATCCAGCTATCTATCCATCTCTCTATCCATCCTCTCTCTCTCTCTCTCTCTGTCTCTCTACTAATTATTAACTCTCTGACACTACCAAATCTCTCATCTATGAATCATATGTCCCCCCTTCTACCCGACCTCAACTCTGCCTTGTTGCAGGGAGGGTATGCATGGCCACTGACCTCTGTAGCCAGGGTTGGCCTCACTCTTCCTCCTTGAGTGAAGCTGCTGACCATCGTTTGAGCACACCTGCCTGTGCACATGAGCATGTGGTAGAGTTGCAAGTCTTGAGTGCTGAAACTAGATCCTCATCACTTCTTTCCTCCAAGCCCATGTGACTTTGAGGAGGCCCCTCCCATTTTCTGGCCCTGGACAGTAGTGCCAACTCTCAGGACTACTGTAGGAAACAGATAGTGGATAGGATGGAGCTCTCCTTAGTTACCAGCAAGGTGGGGGTGTGAGAACAAGAAGGGCTCAGTTGCTTTAAATAAAAGTTGTTCAACACTCATGCTTGGCCACCGACACTGTTGCGCATGCATTTCAAACTGCCCCTTCCTGGTGGAGGAATTACCTAGCAGTCAGCTTATCCATGCAGGAGGAAGGCTGGTGGGGTGCCAGTGCAGTTCAGGTGAAGCTGGGCTAGGACATTTGGATATGCCATTGAGAGCGCTCAGGCCCTGGGTGGGCTTTGGGAGAGTGGGTGCTTCCTGATCTTAAGGTGTTTCCTGATCTTGAGGTTTGGAGGTTCTCTTGAGGTAAGAGCCTGGGGTCTGCTCCATGCATTGCAAACTCCAGGGTAAGAGGAGATCAATCCAGGGTCTTTAAAGAGAAAATTTAAGAAGGTTAAGAACAAAGAAAAAATAGTGCTTTCAGAAGTATCAGCCAGAAGTTATGATTTTTATATAAGTTCCCCTAGTAAGTTTTATTGCAAGGCCCCATAGTAATTTGTTTAAAATCAAAAGAGAACAGAGATAATAAGATTTTAAAAAGAGAAGTCTCTAGCTTCTGAGCAGCTTGTTTTAATGTCATGGTTGGGAGCCTAGGCTCTGCCACTGTGTGATCTTGGGCAAGTTTCTTAATATCTCTGCTCCTCAACTTTTTCATCTTTAAAATGGGTATAAATATATTAAAATAAGTTAGATGTTAAAAAATAATATCGACATAGACTACAAGAGTCACTACATGTCAAGTTCTTAGAACAGTGCCTGGCACAAAATAGGCCATCAATGAATGTTAGTTATTACCTAATGTATGATAAGCTTTGACTTTGTCAATAGAAAAACTAAAATACCAGTGGTTTGAACTGCATGACATTTTATTTATCTCTCATGAAAAATAATTCAGCAAATAGACAGGCGGGACTAGACTGGTGGTTCCATGGCTGTCTGGGATCCAGGATATTTCTGTCTTCTCTAGCATTGGCTTCTGCTCTCACTGTCCCTTAGAGCTGCTGGAGCTCTAGCCATCACGTCTGTACTCCAGGCCAGGGGAAAGAGGAAGGGGGAATGAATGAATAGACCACAGTTTTCAGATGAGTGTGTAGCATTTTTAAAACAGCTTTATTGGTATATAATTCAAATACTGTATAATTCACATATATGAGTGACCATCACCACAATTAATTTTAGAACCACTTCATCACCTCAAAAGGAATTCCCCTACCCTTTAGCTCCCCAGACCTAACCAACCACTAAGCTACGTCCTGTCTCTATGGATTTCCCTTCTTTGTATATTTTATGGAATCCTACACTATGTGACCTCTTGTGACTGGCTTCTTTTGCTTGCATTATGTTTTCAAGGGTCGCTATGGTGGATTTTGCCCCCCTCAGGCAGTCCTGGAAGTCCCACCTGACTCTTCTGCTTATATCTCACTGGGAAGAAGCTGGTCATGTGGCCATACCTCACTCCAGGAACATCTGGGACATTGTTTGTTCAGCTGGGCACATTGCCACTCCCAGATAGAACCAGGGTTCTATTTCTAAGGAAGAAGAAAAAAGGACAATGGATGGCAGCCAGAAGTCTGTCACCAAGTGCTGAGCACCACTCAGGGTTCTGCTGAGGATCTAACCCACTCTCTCTATCACACCAGATAAATCTTTGTAAAATGACTTCCATTTCTTACTGTAAGTCCTGTTTTATCTTTAATCCTCACAATAAGCCATAGAGCCAGGCACTATTCTGATTTTATAGACGAGGAGACTGCAACTGAGGAGATTGGGCATCTTACCTGAGACCAGAGGGGGGGTAGGTGACGCAGCTGGGCCTGTCCGCCTCGAGAACAGGGTTCCTTACCTCGGCCCTATTGACGTTTGGGGGTGGGTCGTGTGCATTACGGGATGTTAGCACCATCCTGGTGACCACTACACACTAGATGCCAGCACCACTCTCTCCTCACCCAGTGTGACAACAAAATGTCCCCGGACATTGCCAATTAGATTTTGGTTAAGTGGAAGAGTGGATGAGTAAATGAGTGAATGAGTGGTCGAGTGGCTGAGTGAATGAGTAGTTGAATGGTTGAGTGGTTGAATGAGTAAGGGCATGAGTGGTTGAGCAGATGAGTGGACAAGTGGTTGAGTGGTTGATTAGATGAGTGGCTGAGTGAATGAGTGGTTGAATAATTGAGTGGATGAGTGGATGAGTGGTTGAGTGGTTGAATGAATGAGTGGATAAGTGATTGAGTAGATGGGTGGTTGAGTGGTTGAATGAATGAGTGGATAAGTGGTTGTGTAGATGGGTGGATGAGTGGTTGAATGGATGAGTGGATGAGTAGTTGAGTGGATGCATGGTTGAGCAGATAAATGGTTGAGTGGATGAGTGGATGAGTAGTTAAGCAGTTGAGTCAATGAGTGGATGAGTGGATGAGTAGTTGAGTGCATGAGTGGTTGAGTAGTTGAGTGGCTGAGTGGGTGAGTAGTTGAGTGGATGAGTGGGTGAGTAGTTGAGTGTATGAGTGGTTGCATAGTTGAGTGGATGAGTGGGTGAGTAGTTGAGTGAATGAGTGGATGAGTAGTTGAGTGGATGAGTGGATAAGTAGTTGAGTGGATGAATGGTTGAGTAGTTGAATGGATGAATGATTGAGTAGTTGAATGGATAAGTGGTTGAGTGGATGAGTGGATGAGTGGTTGAGTGGATGAGCAGTTAACTGGATGAGTGGTTGAGTACTTGAGTCGATGAGTAGATGAGTAGTGAGTGAATGAGTAGTTGAGTGGATGAATGGTTCAATACTTGATTGGATGAGTGGGTGAGTAGTTGAGTGGATGAGTGGTTGAGTGGATGAGTAGATGGGTGGTTGAGTGGATGAGTGGTTGAGTAGTTGAGTGGATGAGTGGTTGGGTAGTTGAGTGGATGAGTGAATGAGTAGATGAGTGGATGGGTGGATGAGTGGTTGAGTGGATGAGTAGATGAGTGGTTGAGTGGTTGAGTGGATGAATGGATGAGTGGATGGGTGGATGAGTGGTTGAGTGGATGAGTAGATGAGTGGTTGAGTGGTTGAGTGGATGAATGGATGAGTGGTTGAGTGGATGAGTAGATGAGTGGTTGAGTGGTTGAGTGGATGAATGGATGAGTGGTTGAGTGGATAAGCAGATGAGTAGTTGAGTGGTTGAGTGGATGAGTGGTTGAGTGGGTGAGTGGTTGAGTGGTTGAGTGGATTAGTGCTTGAGTGGATGAGTGGATTAGTGGTTGGGTGGATGAGTAGTTGAGTGGTTGAGTGGATTAGTGGTTGAGTGGATGAGTAGTTGAGTGGTTGAGTGGATTAGTGGTTGAGTGGATGAGTGGTTGAGTGGGTGAGTGGTGAGTGGGTGAGTGGTTGAGTGGATGAGTGGTTGAGTGGATGAGTGAATGAGTAGTTGAGTGGATGAGTGGTTGAGTGGATGAATGGGTGAGTAGTTGAATGGATGAATGGATGATTGGTTGAATATATGAGTGGTTGAGTATGTGAATGGATGAGTGGATGACTCCCCACATGGAAGCCAAGTCAGTGTCTGCTAACTGCCCATCATCTTCCCAAGATGCTATGGAGCTTGTGCCTCAACCCAGGAGACTTTGGCTTTACCTGGAAAGCCCAGGTGTCTCTAAATTGACTTGTAAGAGGGTCATAGAGTGAAAAGTGAGGCCAGTTGCCCAGGCAGGTAGAGACCCTGATGTCTGGACCTGTAAAGAATAGTGACCTTAATGAAGGGGATATAAACACACCCCAAGCTGCTGTTCCCAGAAAACTGTGCTCAGAGAGGCTTAGAAGTGTGGTTCTCATGGGTTATCTAAGTTGAACCCAGAGAATGAAAAGGAACCTAATTCTGTGGGCAGGTTTGGACAGTGACCCTTGATGGGCACTCCTCCTTCATGAACCCACTGAGTGGGCTTACCAGGAGATTGTCCCTCTGCCTCTATTTCCACACCTGTGCCTGCATCACCTGCCAGGGAGAGGTACTGCCTAAGCCAGTCACTGTGGGGGCCCATTCTAAGGTCACCAAGGCCTCGGAGACGGCAGAGCCCAACCTGAGATGCCACTCAGCTGAGGCTTGACCTGAAACCAGCTCAGTGGCTTGGGGGAGGAGGCAGGCTGGGGAGGTGGAGGTGCGCGGGCCCTCTTTCAATAAATAGAATATTTGTCTTTTAAAACAAAGATCAGTCTCAGGCCTGAGATCTCCCAGAGGCCCCATGGAAGCTGTTGGAGCCATTTGGAAAATTCTCCAGCATGCTGGCTTTCTCAGGCTGATGTTGAGGGCATCCCCTGAGAAGTCAGAGGGAGAAACAGCCAGACAGCCCTGCCTTGCTGGCTGCTCCGAAGCTTCCCCACAGATGGAGAGGGACAGATGGTGCTCACTGCCAACCCTCTTGCTGGGTTCCCTGACCTCATTTGTTTGTTTAGGAACACAGAGCACCCTCTGCTCTCAGCCACAGACAGCCACTGGCCAGGAGGAGAGGCTTGGACCAGACTCAGGAGGCCCCTTGTGCCCCCACGTTCTTAGTAGCTGAGTGGTCTTGGGCCTCTGATCCCCAGATCCCTGTGGTAGGTCCTAGCAGAGTGAGCCCTTTGGAGGTGTCACTTCCTGCTCTGGCCCAGCCCTGGCAGGGGCAGGGAGAGTGGGTAGGGTGGATGGATGGGCTTCAGGCCTGGCTGGGCTGAACAGAAGTGCACTCGGGTAGGAGGAAGGCCAAGCTGTCATCATGTTGCTGGGCCTGTGACCCGCCCCCCTGCCCCATAACAATGGGAGCTACTGCAGCTGAGGCCACCATGGCACACACTCTGCCTGTGTCCTTCATTCCCAACAGCCCAGCAGAGTGTCCCTTTGTCCCCAGTGTCCCTCACTAATGAGTGAGGACACAGGTGGAGAAGCTCAGCGTGGAGGTGGCAGGGCTGAGTGCTGCTTTGGAGCCAACGTCCCTCTCTGATGCCCGGCCTGATGCCTACCCACTGCCCTTCCTGAGCCTCAGCCTCCTTCCCAGTCTGGGTTCCCTGCTGGCTCAAGTCCTCCAATCCTGAGAGAACTAAAGCTCTTCACCTTCCAGCCAGGCTCAGTGGGCCAGGAAGGGGCCCTTGCAGGCCCTGGGTCTGTCCATCCCAGCCCAGAGGGGCTGCTTTGGCTGTCAGCCAAGGGAATAGGAAGGAGCCTTGGCCTCTGATGTCCTGAGTGAGGCCCAGCTGTAAGCTGAGGGTGGCTGCCTGGCATCTCGCAGGCCCTGGCCGACCCAGCCAAGGGGACACGGCCTGGCCCCGGTCCTTCCCCAGGAGCCCTGTCCCTTCCTCACTCCAGCCTTCCTCTCTGGAAAAGGCAGAACTTGAGAAAGCCTCAAGGAGGAGGAGGCCGCTTAAAGATAGATGTGCAGTTTGTGCATTGCACATGGGCATCACTGTCACCTGGCTTTGATGAGGTGCGTGTCCCAGTAGGCAGGAGTCCAGCATCTTCAAGGGTGCCACTTTCTAATGTGAGGAGTGACACCTTGTCCTGCCTTCATCTCACTGCAGATTCTGTTTTCCTGCCAAGAGCTGCTTTAGTCACATTGTCTCATTCATTCATTCATTCATTCATCCATCCATCCATCCGCTAAATATTTAAGATAACCGTGGTTTGGCCTCCATAGGTCTCATCTGCCTTGCATTCCTATGCCCTTGGGCAGCCCTCACTGAATAGGGTTTGTGTTCTTTTTTAAATTTTATTTTTTAATTAAAAAAATTTTCTAGACAGTGTCTCTTAGAACATGTGGAAAAAAGCAAAAATAAAATATAAAATAAAATAAAAGAGACAGGGTCTCACTGTGTCACCCAGGCTGGAGTGCAGTGGTGCAATCACAGCTCACTGCAGCCTTGGCCTCCCAGGCTCAAGCGATCCTCCTGCCTCAGCCTTCCAGAATGCTGGGACTATAGGCGCATGCCACCGTGCGCAGCTGGGCTAGTGTTCTTAATGGCAAGGGCTTGACCTCTTCTCAGGACCAGATGCCCCGCTGGGCATTTGAGAGCCTTGATTTCTGGACGCTGTCCCCAACTTGCAGATGAGGACATTGAGCCCTTGCAAGGCTCAGGTGCCTGAGTACCTGGCCCTCAGCACAGGAGGCCATGATTCAAATGCAGGGAGCTGGGTTCAAGGCCTCTGCTTCTCCTGTCCATGACAGAGAACATGCTTTCTCTATTTGGAAAGGGCTCCTGACTTTGGATTGTCACATCGGACTGGAAGTGTCTGTGCTCCAGGCTACAGGGTGGCCCAGGCTTTGTCACTGGATGGCCAGACCTGGCTCCCAGGATGCTTCAGAGCTCAGCCTTTCTTCCTGGGCAAGGGTGAGCCCTCCTGGCTGTAGTGCCTGGCTCCTTGCACCACGATGGCCAGGGCTCCCAGGAGAGCAACCAGCTGCTGAGGCCCAGGCAACTTCTGTGGGGTGGAGGTGAGAGGCCTGCAGCAGGGCCAGAGCCGGCAGGAGGGCGTGTGGTGTGGGGGCACACCTGTTCCTGACGTCCCCGGCCGTCTTGGGGTTTCCTATCAGAAAATGAATTATGTCAATCAATTGGTGAACAAGGAACTGCCCTCTACTTGCTTTAGGGAGAGACTCTGAGCTGCAGGAACATTCGAGGTGGCAAAGCATGCTGAGCTTGCTGGTGTGTTTCTTTCCTGGGTTCTAAAAATGTTGACCAGACCAGGTGCAGTGACTCACACCTGTCATCCCAGCACTTTGGGAGGCCGAGGTGGTCACATTACCTTAGGTCAGGAGTTCGAGACCAGCCTGGCTAACATGGTGCAACCCGGTATCTACTAAAAATACAAAAAATTATCCAGGCATGGTTGTGCGTGCCTGTAATCCCAGCTACTCGGGAGGCTGAGGCAGGAGAATCGCTTGAACCCAGGAGGCAGAGGTTGCAGTGAGCCGAGATCACGCCATTGCACTCCAGCTTGGGCAACAAGAGCAAAACTCTATCTCAAAAAAAAAAAAATGTTGACCAGACCCACAAAGTGGGACAAACACACTCCATGGCTTCTGCCCAGGCCCTGCACTGCTCAGGGCAACTGCCCAGCTTGCTGTACTCCTCTCCAGACCCTCGTTTTCCGACCTCCGTCGTGCCCCCAACTCATCCTCCAAACTGTTGCTGCTGCGGAAGTTGTTCTAAAATGTAAATTAGACCAATTTCACTGCCACCTCTCTCAGGGCCCTCAAAGGAAACAGAATTGACCCTGAAATGGTTCACCCTCCTGTAAGTACTGTGGGTGTGAATTCTTTTTTTTTATTATACTTTAAGTTTTAGGGTACATGTGCACAACGTGCAGATTTGTTACATATGTATACATGTGCCGTGTTGGTTTGCTGCACCCATTAACTCATCATTTAGCATTAGGTATATCTCCTAATGATCTCCCTCCCCCCTCCCCCCACCCCACAGCAGGCCCCAGTGTGTGATGTTCCCCTTCCTGTGTCCATGTGTTCTCATTGTTCAATTCCCACCTATGAGTGAGAACATGCGGTGTTTGGTTTTTTGTCCTTGCGATAGTTTGCTGAGAATGATGGTTTCCAGCTTCATCCATGTCCCTACAAAGGACATGAACTCATCATTTTTCATGGCTGCATAGTATTCCATGGTGTATATGGAGTGTGGGTGTGAATTCTTACACCCTCTGTGGGGTAAAAGAATTCACAACCACACTCCCAACAGGAAGACTCTGAGCAGGGCAGGAGGAACCCACAAGGCTGGAGATGCACCCAGGACTGCTGGCAGGGCTTGCTGTCACCACGCCAGTAGGTATCTGGTAAAGTCTGAGTCTCCAGAGCCCAGAATGCCTTTCCAGAGCCCCCGAGCTGCTGCCCCAGCCTCTTGCTTCCCTGCTGCTGCCTGCACTGAGCCTCTTCCCTGCTCCACCAATGCGCCACACCGGGGCCAGCATCAGTCTCCAGCTCTGGACGCAGCAGAGTGCCTGGGGCTTCAGAGGTGCTCACTGAAATCTGCTGCATGTCAGATGCCAGCAGCAGCAGAACCACCAGAATTCATGAGCACCACCATGGCTCCCCAGGGCGATGCCAACACTCCCACACATCCTTCCCAGCTGGTCCACATGACCCTGTGATGGGGGCGCAGCCCCTGCCAGGGCGAAGTGAGGAACCAGGCATTGACAGAGTGGTGCCTCCCGTCCAGGCATGTGGCTAGCAGCCCAGGGCACAACGCGTGCTGAGTCTGTCTTGGGAATCCCAGCCCAGCACTCGCTCCTCTCGGTGGCCCTCCCCTGCCCTCTCTGACCTCAGGACGTTTCTCAGGGATGGCCTTGAGTAGCTTCAATCACCCTAAATGCTCAAACACACACAGACCCACTCTCTTCCCCCTCAGGACTGGCTGACCCCCAGGCAGGCAGCCCAGCATGCCTGCTGCCCCTCGCCAGCTGTGTAGCCAGGATGAGGAGCCTGGTCCGCCACCTGCACCAGGGCAAGATCCACCAGTCAGTGCCAAAAAACTCTCCCCAAGAGCGCCAAGGGTGAGCAGGGTACCTGAGGCTGATCACAACAGATCCCGGCCCCTCCCTAGGAGTCCCCAGCGGCAGGGTGAACACGGGGCCAAGAATCTGCATTTCTGACAATCCCACGGGACGTTGATACTGCTGGCCTGGGTCCCCCTCCTGATCTCAATGGACATTCAGCCAGCTTGAAGATTTGCTAGGAGACCACCCCAAGCCAGGCACAGGTCTTGGGACAGGGACCACAGCAGGAGGCCACACAATGTCTGCAGGGCTGTGGACAGCATGTGAGCTGCGGGTCGGGTGGTAGTGCCGCTGGGAAGGAGGAGAGTGGTCCGAGGTGCAGCCCCAGCTGGTTCAACCTTCACAGCATCCCGAGCAGCAGGCCTCAGAGCCCTGTTTCATCGTCTGGAAGGGGGGACATGCTATACACCCACCGTTCTAGTCCCGATAGTTAAGCAGTTGGAGCTCAGAATTCAGATCTGTGGCACCAAAGCCTGTGCTCTGTAGACCTCATCTAAACACCCCCAGAGCTGGGGGCTGCAGCAAGACCACCATGGATTGCAAACTCCTGGGGCAGCACGTGGCGGCCACTCTTTGGATACTTGTGAAAGAGGAGTAGGAGGGCAGCCAAGAGCCTTGGCTGATGCGGCTTGGAGGGGGAAGCCCCGCCGGCAGGCTGCTGCTCCAGGGCTCATCCTTAAGGTTAAGCGGGGTGTCTGGCAAGCAGGTGTTTCAGCAGGAGCTGTAACGCGGCCTTTCCTGACGTCTGAGGCAGTGGGGGCTTCCCCAGCCAAGCGCCATGGCTGCACTGACCGAAAAGTGTCCCCACGGAGGCCAGGGAGCAGGGCAGGTGCCCGGGGCCCTCTGTGGTGTGAAAGAATTCACAACCACACTCCTCAGCGTCCTTGCTCGAGCAGGAGGGCCCAACTGTAAAAGTGGCCCCTGTGGGAGGCTCCTGCTGTGGGATCAGATCCCTGCAAGGGCACAGGTGCCAGAGAGCGCACCTGGGTGACGCCACAGCAGCCAGAGGTGAGGGTGGCATGCACTCTGCTCCTCCGTGGTGGAGCTACATCCACCGTGGTGTACAGGCAACAACCCACCTCACATCCGCCGCTGCATGGACCCTCATCAAAGGGACCCTCCTGCCCACTTTAAAGATAGGGAATCTGAGGCTCAGAGGACAAGCACGAGGCAGAGCCAGGAGTGGAACCCAGCCCTTCAGAGGCTGGACCAGGTGCTGGGTTGTTTGCGGTCTACACCAGAGCTGGCTCCTGAAGGGCCGCAGTGAGGCCACAGCCGGGCAGCCACCACCTGGTGCCTGTTGCAGGTACCGAGGGTGAAGACAGAGGACTCCCCCGAACTGCCCTGGTGTGGGGTACTCCCAGGAGGCTTCCTGGAGGAGGGGAGCATGAGCAGGTCTGCCATCTAGGCAGGTCCACTGCTGGAACCCACAATCCCCAAGTCTCGATTCTCAGATGCATTTCTCTGTCACGTCCAATCTGATGCCCACTGAGTGGTGATTTGAGCTCTGTCCACCGGTGCCTCTAGTCTTCAGGGCTGGGAATCCTGCTCAGGAGAGACCCTGGGCCAGAACTGGGACTAATATACATTTGTTGTCTTAAGCTGCTAAGATCTGGGGCAATTTGTTGTGTAGCAATACATCCCATAGCCAAGATGGACCGGTGTGGGATACCAACAGTCTCTCTACCATATCTGCTCTTAACCCTGCAGTCTGAAAACAAAAGACGGTGGCAGCAGCACAGCCAGAGGGGCCTGTGGAGCTGTGCCTTTGCAGGAGGCATGGCGGTGCAGAGCAGGGCAGGAGGCACAGCGGTGCAGAGCAGGGCAGGAAGCACTGACTGTCAGCCCCTCATCGCCAGCCAGCCTGGACCGGGGCATCTGCCTCAGCTGGAGCTGCAGCTTCCAGCAGGACCAGGGCTTCCCAGGCTGCTCACTGGCCTCCCTGATGATGGGCTCAGGCCCAAAAATGGCTGAGGAGACCCAGACCAAGCACTGCAAGGTGAAGCAGCAGGCCTGGCTGCATGAGGGCCTGCTGGGCAGAGCCCTGACCTCACAGGCAACCCTAAGTGCACTCCAGCACAGTGCTCCTTGGCTCACTACTCCTTAGTGCAGTACTTCTTGGCTCAGTACTCCTTGGCACAGTACTCCTTGGCTCAGTACTCCTTGGCACAGTACTCCTTGGTGCAGTACTGTTTGGCACAGTACTTTTTGGCTCAGTACTCCTTGGCTCAGTGCTTCTGGCCCAGCACCAGGTGAGGACCTGGTGCTCCCTGGAACAGTAAGTGCCTCTAGCATGGTGCTCCCTGTATTGATGGTCCTGGTCTGATGTTCCTTAGCCCAATGCTCCCTGCCTGGTGCTCTTTGCACAGTGCTTCCTGGTCTGCTGCTCCCCACAGGGGTTCCCCACCTTGCCACTGTCCTCCAGGTCCACTTATGGGTTTTGTAGGTCTCACTGCCCAGTCTCCCCATTCACTTGGCAGCCCCCAGCCCTGGCTGGAGGAGGGAGAAGTTTCCATCTCACAGAAAAATCAAGGAAAAGCGCTGAGGGGGAAAACAAGCTGGTGGTCTGCAACCAGTCCCTTGATATGATGCACCTGAACTTTGCATCAGCTTCCCTGGGAGGCCGCTTCACCCTCTTTCAGGGTCGAATCAGCCTCCTGCGAAAGGGAAAACGAAAATCTCCAGCTGGGCCTGTCAGCCAGCGGTTGGCTCGTGCTCAGCCTGGGCATGGGTGCCAGCTGGTGAGACAAAACCTGCACACGAGGCCTCTGAGTGGCCGCTTTGTCCTTCCAAGGAGAGCCACCTGCTGCATTCAGGTCAATTGCAGGCCTCCGAAAACATGACCTCGAGAACTTGTGTTTTCCTCACTTTCTCCAACCACGCAGCAGGGGCGAGCCTGCTTCCCGAGCGCAGCCACATTCTCAGACGAGATGAGAAGTGAGAAGAAACACAGCAAGCATGAAAACACACTCCCCACACTCCAGGCCGTCCATGTTTCCAATCCTCTGCCCAAACAAACAAAAATTCCTACAATTCCAGAGACGTCATGCAGTCTCTAACACCTGCACCAGCACAAAACTCTCTGCCTGACATTGGTTTTGAAAAACATACACTCAGCACAACTTAGACGCAGCCATTTGGGGGCGCTGCTTTTCTGCTGCTCTGAGATGGAAGACCTCTGATCTGGGGACACCTGGCAGGGGCCTGAACTTTCAGGACAATGGGGCACAGCTTCCCAGAGGTCAGTTTCCTTCAACTCTTCTTTTAGAGGAAGAATTGGATAATTTAATCGGTAAGTAATTTAAGACATTTAACCATAAAACCAACAGGTCTACTGTGGAGAGGAGTATCAACCTGCACACATTTTAAAGAGAGGACGAGAGATCTGAAAGACACGTCTAGGCTGTAGCAGCTGCTTTGTGCTCTCTACTCTCAGATCCCATGGAGGGGAGCAAGGCCTCCTGCTCCACCATTTGTGTCCTGACCCCATAGGGCAGCTCATGGAACAGCAGGAGCTGTGTCCCTAGTGTGAGTGTGGGTCCTAGAATGGCCCAGCACTACCAAGCTGGGTACAGAATTCAGGCCTCTTGGTTCCTGGTTCTCTGTCCTGTACCCTGCACTACCCTGCTGGCCTCATTAGGGATGGCTTTGCAGAGCTTCCCATCCCCCCTGAGTTTGCTGCTTCACCTGAGGGAGATCCAGCTTTTTCTAGTAGGCTGAGCCCCATTCTGCAACCATCAGCTTGTAAGAGAGGAAAGCTGCTTGCCCCAGAGCTCTGGCCTTCACTGGCCTCATTTGGCCAGCTCTATCCCAACCCTACCAGAGGGGCCCAGCTAGACTCGGGGGTGGGGCTGGGATGAGAGTGTGGCATTGCAAGGAGGCCCAGGGCCCCAGGCGAGCAGGACACTCTCCCCAGAAGCAGTAAAGACAGGCACAAATGAAGGAGGATGAGAGGAGTCTATGAGGAGACCCAGGGAATCAAGAGAGGAGGGAGGTTGGAGCCTGGTGGGGAGAGCCAGGCCTCGCAGGCACCAAATGATCCACTCTGACTGAACCTTCCAGTTACCAGGGCTATCTGTGGCATAGATGACCATTGGGATTACAAGGAGTCTGGGCCACTTCCCTGCCCTTTTGCAGGGCCAGCGAGAGAGCAGAGGGAGTGGGTGTGCATGTGCTGAGCCCTCCACTCATGTCTACGCATCTGCTCCTCCAACACCCTGGGAGTTGGTGTTGTCAGCCCATGTGGCTGAAGAAGAAACAGGCCCTGGAGGGTGAAGTGATTTGCATTACAGCTTGTCCATACTGAGTGAAGCTGGAATTCACACGCAGGCTACCTAACAAATAGCAAGCATCCTTTCAATCCCCAGCCTCTGGGCCACACTGGCAAGAAGGACAATGGGGATTGTTGCTACCAGCATACCTGCCTCATTGCCATAGTCTCTTACCACCATCTTCATTCCTTGACCATGATGGAAAAGTCTATTCTCAACCTCCTTTGGAGAATGGATTTTTACACCAAAAGCACTTGGAGCGTTAGCAACTACTGACCTCTTCTGGACTGAGAAGGCAGACCCAGAAGACGGATACCACGACATAGTCAGTCCCCTATGCCAAAGGCAAATTTCAGATGTGATGCCTTAGTTCCTTGAAAACAGGAAATATTTCTTCTATTTCTCCTGAAACTCTGCCTGGAGGCCTAGTAGAAATCTAGGCACAGAGTAGATGTATCAATCCCGCCACTTGGTGGCTTAAAAGAACAATTATTTATCAGGTAATGATTCTGTGGCCCAGTGACTTGGGCTGGGCCTCGCTGGTTCCTCTGCTTATTTTGGTTGGGCTTATTCATTCATCTGTGGGCAGCTGGTGGTCAGGTAGTTTCATACCTGCATTTGGCAGTTGGCTGCTGATTAGCTGAGAGTCAGATATAGTTACTGGGGGTTACTGGGCCATATGTCTTTTGTGCATCCGCCAGTTTGCATGGTGGTGGCTGCAGGATTTCCAAGAACAGCAAGAGAGGAATCCCAATGCACAGTTACTTTTTACCCCTTAGTCCATGGAACATTGCATCATGTTTGCTAATGTCCCATTGACTAAAGCTAGTCACATGACCAACCCATATTCTAGGGATGAAGAAGTAGTTTCCAGTTCCTGATGGAAGGGGAAGAATTTGTAGCCCTTTTCGCAGTCGCCACAGTTGGTGGTCACAGACGTTTCCTAGGACATTGTTGCCTCATTCTCTCTCCCCTCTTACCACCTGATACATAATTTCTGCTGTGGCCATAATAGCCTTAAAATGCAGTGGTTTTATTTCTAGGCTTTCTCCTCCTTATGCAGCAGCTAAGCTCCCCCAGGCAGGAATTACAGCAGGTATGTCTGTTTCCCCAGCTCCTAGCATAGGGTCCGGTGAATGCTTACTCAGTGAATGTTTATTAAACAAGTCATTGAATTGTTGAATTGAATATAAAGTGAAAATGGCTTCAGGTGAGCAATGTGTTAATTAGACCCAGGAACTGAAACTCCAGATGGGCAGAATGCAAATTAGAAGAACTTTTTAGAAGCACTGTATTACCACAAGTTCAGCGTGATTTGATTCCCCTCAAGTATTCTAGGACATCTGCACTAGTGCTAGCCCACCAGAACTTCCTGTGGATCACAAGTGGGTGAGGTTCTTAGCCTCTCTCGGATATTTGCCCTCTCAGGAAGCTGGTGGGAATGATGGAGTATCTCCCTGGGAAATGCATACCTGCACTATATCACTGGGGCTCAGTCTCAGAGAACAGGATGCACTGCAGCTAGTTTAGCAAGAAGGAATTAGTTTCAGGTTACGGGGGGCAAATAGAATCATTGGAGAGGCTGAAGAAATGGTTGTGGAACTGAATATTCAGGAACGACTTTGAAAACAAAACCGAGCTAGCAAAGGAGCTGCTTCCTCTTTGCCAACAGGAAGCCACCTGCTCAACTGGGAAGCTGTAGCTCCTCCTCCAGCTCCAGAATCAGGCCACCATCAGAGTCAGGAGATGGCCACTGTAGACGCCACCCAGATAGGGAAGCTGCTGGAGGAAGGGTCAACACCTCTGTGCGGGGGCTTGCCTGCAGGAATGCCAAACAGTGCTGGCAGAGCCTTTGTCCTGCAGGAGCGTTCAATTAGATACAGGTGCTTCCATTAGGAGCTTGCTGCAAGGGATTCTGGGAAATGCAGAACAGGGAGACACTGGGTAGGTTAGGATAGAGGGGAAGCCCTCTGATCTCCACCCTCGCTCACCCACAATTTCCCAATCTCAGCCCCCCACTATCCACTACAGTACATGGTAGTACCATCATGAACCCCAAGTTAACAACTTTATTTTAGTTTTAGATATGTGGCAGAAAAATAATTTTTTCAAATACTTATGTATTCCTAATGAGAACATTTAAAATCTACTCTCTTAGCAATTTTCAAGTATATAAGACATTGTTATTAACTATAGTCATCGTGTTGTACAGTAGATCTCTTGAACTCATTCCTCCTAACTGAAAGTGTCCTTTGACCAACGTCTCCTCAATCCTCCTCCCCTACCCTAGCCCCTGATAACTACCATTTTACTCTCTATTTCAATGAGTTTGACATTTTTAGATATCACATCCAGTATTTGGCTTTCTGGGCCCAGTTTATTTCACTGAATATAGTGTCATTCGAGTTCATTCATATCATTGCAAATGACAAGACTTCTTTCTTTTTTAGGGCTGAATAGTATTCTATTGTTTATATCTATACCACATTTTCTTTATCCATTCATCTGTTGATTGACACTGAGGTTGATTTCATAATTTGGCTATTGTGAACAATGAAGCAATCAGTGTGGGAGTGCAGAAGTCTCTTTGCCAAGTCGACAACTTCATTAATTCTTATGAGTTAAAAATCAATTTGGAATATTTTCTTAGAGAAAAACAGGCAGTACAGTGAGAATATGATCATTTGTTCTGAATTACAGAACTTGGTAGTGCATTAAGGAGAATGGAGTCAGGATTATGATTTTTGTTTGTTTGAGAAACAAACAAAACAAGTTCCAGTTACTTATCTTTCCATAGAGTCCCCTCTGTAGATGCCCGGGCTCCTGTTCACAGCCTTGGTGGAGGACATGGCATACGATGTGAATTATAGCAGATGCCAGCTTTTGTCCAAATTTGCCCAGAAGGAGAAAGGCAGGAGGAAGAGAGAGAATGAGAGCCCACTTTCAGACAAGTGCCAGTGATACTAATCAGGGTGCAGACACAGGGCTTTTGCAAAGAGGACTTGCCAAGGCTTGCAGTTGGCCAAGGATCACTGTGCTAGGGTTCAAACAGAGATAGGGCATGCTCCCAAGGGAGCCCCTGGTTTGGGTCAGTTCTTGGGAAAGACCAGGTTGGAGGAAGGCAGTTCTAGAACTTTCTACCCTATCTCTGAACACCTTAAAAATATTTTTACTCAACTTAGGTCCATCGGTTAAATAAATACAGTACCTGTTTCATAGCATAATCATGATTAATAAACACATTTTTTAAAAAATTCTGTAAGTGTTAACAAAGTATATCCTACTTTTGTGGTGGAGACTACCAGGAAGTATTTGCCTGTCCCAGTATAACCTAAAAAGACCACCGTAGAGATCCACAAGAAATGCTGGTCCCCTGATCAGCAGTGGCACCAACACCTGAGAGCTTGTTAGAAATGAAATTCTTGCTGATTGAGAAATGCTGGGGTGGGGCCCAGCCATCTGTTTTCAATCGACCCTCCAGGTGATTCTGATGGATGGTTTGGGAACCATTGGTTTATGCCAGCATCCCCCTCCCTGAGTTTGCTGAGAACTTTACCGCTTACAAAGTGTCTTGCATTTGCTGTTTCACACTCATTTGTATAACAGCCCTACTGGTAGAAATTGGGAAAAGGATAGAGATAGAGATAGAGCTAGAGATAAGGGTACGGATATGGATAGAGACAGAGAGGGATAGGGTTAGTGATAGGTAAAGGAATGAGATGAGGATAGAGTTAGGGATAAGACAAATAGGGATAGGGATTATCTTATTTCATTTTCTGCTGCTATAACAATACCACAGACTGGGTAATTTATTATATGAAGAACAAAGGTTCATTTGGCTCATGGTTCTGGAGGCTGAGAAGTCTGAGAGCATGGCACTTGCATCTGGTGTTATCCCATGATATAAGAGTGAAGGGTGGAAACAAGCACACAAAACAGAGTAAGCAAATGGGGGGATGAACTTATCCTTGTATCAGGAGACTACTCCCACAATAACTAACCCACTTCCAAGATAACAGCATTAATCCATTCATGAGGACAGAGCCCTGATGACCTAATCACTTCTTAAAGGCTCCACCTGTTAACGTTACTATTACAATGGAAATTACATTTCAGCATGAATTTTGGCGGGGGGCATTCAAATCACAACAAGAATAAAGATAGAAATAGGAATAGGGTTCAAGATAGATATAGAGATAGGAGTGGACACAGAGATAGAGACTGAGATAGGGATAGAGTTAGGGATAGGGATAGGGATAGAGAGCAAATTGTCACCTCATGACTGATGAGCAGAGGGGGTATCAGAGTGGTGGTGCAACCTCCCTGAAATCACACATCACATAATGAGCCAGGACTGGCAGTTCCCCTTTCCCCATTATTTCAACCTCAGGAAGATAGGGATTGTTTGAAATGAGGATTAAACCAATGGCTTCTCTGTGCTGTACAGAATTTTAAATGAAAATACAGGCTTCCATCCCACATAGAGTGCAGCAAAGTGGCTGCCATGAGCCTGAGATAATAACTTCTGCCATGACTGTGATGACTGGCTGCTCCTTGCTCAGGGTGGACCAGCACTTCCCTCTCCTCCTCTCATCTTCTGGCTGCTGAGTTCCATGGCCAGAGCCAACCATGTGGGTCGGCAGACAGCAAACTTGAGGGCTTCAATAATACTTACTAAGTCAGTTCACTCATTACATTGGATCATTTTAATTTGTAAATGATCATTTTTCCTCTTAAGCTATGCCCCTCTTTCTAAAGAACACACACAGTGGATTCAGTCAAGGATTCAACAATCTTCTACACATAAGCAAGCTCTGATGCTGGAAAGACGTGCATGCAGAATAACTTTGGCCAGAGTTGGAAGCCATCTTGAAGATTATCTGGCCTGATTCTTTTTGGAGACACAAAAATTGAAAGTTGCGTTGTTCATTAACTTTCAGGAAATTGATAGGTTTCATATTGAAGCTTTCAGTATGTTCAAAAAGTCTTCTTATCTAGGGCTTCTTTAGTTTAACATTGTGTCATGCTTTGTTTAAAAAAATTACCAAGTCCAAGCAATGACTTGAACAGAAATTAAACATATGAGTAAGATCACAGTATTGTCCTTATTTTTAAGTAGTATTTTAAGAAAGTTTCCTCTGGAAATGTTTAATTACCAGATTCCAAAGTTAAGTTCCTCTTCTCCTGAAATCTGAACAAAATTTAGTATTGTATGATCCCTGAACGTGCTGCCAGCTCCCTGACACCTTCCCCAATAGGCTCTCTGAATTCCAGAACTTTATCTATACATCTCTTTAAAACCATAGCATCCTGACTGACAATAAATCTTGGTGAATTTTAATAATTATGATAATGATAACAACAGCTAACATTTGTTAAGCACTTATTATCCCCACACCACTTTTCTAAGCCTCTTACAGGGATTAACTCTTTGACTCCCCCATTTTACTGATTATTATTATTTCCCCTCGTTTTATAGATGAGGAAACTGCACCATATAGAAATATAAGAAATGTGCTTCAGTTGCTCAAACACTAGGCCAACTCCCTTTAAGCTTTCAATGCTCTTAATGTTTTAAGGCAATACGTTTGAAATCAAATGGGTTGAAATCACATTCATAGAGCTTCAGTAAGAACAGCAGCTTATTCTTTACTTACACATGTCATACATGAGAGTTTGGTTGTGTGTCTTCCATAATCACCTTCCAACTCAATGGAGTCAGCGCTAGACTCCATTATGCCATGTACCACACAATGGCCAGGAAAAACAATGCCAGTGTCGCCTTCACAGCAGACATTTATAGCAGACATCAGATCACTACAGAACTAGAAAATAACAACATATTTGCAAATAAACACCCTGATATGCTCTGGATCTGTGTTCCCACCCAAATCTCATGTTCAGTTGTAATCCCCTATGTTGGAGATGGGGCTTGGTAGGAAGTGACTGGATCATGGGGGTGGTTTCTAATGGTTTAGCACAATCCCTCTAGTGTTGCTCTCGTGATACAGTCCTCACGAGATATAGTTGTTTAAAAGTGTGTAGCATCTCTCCTCTCTCTCTCTCCCTCCTGCTCCAGCCATGTAAGATGTACTTGCTTCCCCTTCACCTTCTGCCATGGTTGTAAGTTTCCTGAGGTCTCCCCTGCCATGTTTCCTGTACAGTGTGTAGAACTGTGAGCCAATTAAACCTCTTTTCTTTAAAAATAAATTAAAAAAAAAAAGAAACTTGGTGGAGGTCACACACAGTTAATTAATAATAGAACTAGACTTCAAGTACAGGTAATTTGACTAAAAAGAACCAATTCAGTATTTAATGAATGAGTGAGGAGTGGATGAATGAGTGAATTATTGGTTGGTTGGTTGGTTGGATGGATGGATGGATGGATGGATGGATAGATGGATAGCTGAATGGATGGATGGTTATATGTATGGTTGGATGGATGGACAGTTGTAGAGCTGTATGTATAGTTGGATTAATGGTTGGAGAGACGATGGAAAGATGGATGGGGTGATGGATGGATGATGGGTGGCTGGGCAGATGGATGGATGGACATGGATGAATGGTAAAAATAAAGAATAGAAAACAATACACTTGAGTCATCTCTAGGCTGGCCTCTATGTTCCTGAGCAGCCAGCACTGATGTGCATGGATACAGGCTGGGCTGGGACAAGAGGTTGTACCCAGAGCTGCATCCTGTGTGGGCTGGAGAGGATTGCTGCAGTTGAACCAACTATTGCAGGATTGACCTGGGGATGACAGAATGGCCCCAGCTGACCCTTTTACCACCTCTTCTACTGCTGTTGTGTAGGGCTGGGGGATAATGAGTCCCATAATTTGAGACATGAGAACAAAATGGCCTCTTGGGCAATGATTATCCCTGAGGTCTGAGCTGCCCATTGGCTGGTACACCTTGGGGTAAGAATCAACTCTCCAGGAACACAGAAATCATCTGGGGACTGGGTTTACAGTTATTTACCCCAGTCTCTCAACTGGCTTTTAATGAAGCAATTTTCAGCATCAGATTAAGTGTAATGGACTATTAGGATCACTAATTGTTGTGTTTTTAATAGGAGAAACACTCTGGAATAGTATAAATAACTTGCTGAATGCTGGTAATTACACTCCTTTGGAGAAATCAGGCAAGCCAGGTTTCTGAGTGAATGTGTGTGGGCCCCAGTTATTGAGTACTCTTGATTTACTGTGCTATAAACATGGATATTTTTCTCAATTGCTTCCAGCTGTGCTGACCCCTCCTCTCACCCCTGCTCTTCCCATCAGGCAGCAGGCAACCTGAGTGATTGCTGATGGCTCATGCTGATTTCGTTACTGTTTACATACTTCTGGTTCTACTGGGAAGCAGGCTAAGATCTATACCTGCCTGGGGTTGAGACCCAGCTCCCCACTTTCTTAACTGTGTGACTGGGTGCTTCCACTTGTGTTCTCTAGAATAGGGATAACCGTAGCCCCTACTTCCACCATCCTTGTGGTGAGGACTGAGGTAGGTAACCTATGCACACCACTTAGAACAAGGCTGGTGTAAGGCAAGTTATGCTTTTATTAGGGCTGGGGCAGTCTCATTAATATTTTCTACAGCTTGGTCCTATATGTTTTAAAATATTAATGTCATATTTGATTCAAGGACGTTCTCCCTCTATGCTTCCCCGTACCACCACTGCTCCAGCCTTGACTGTGGGTGGAAGGAAGAATGGATGGGTGGAGAGATGGTTGGATGGATGGATGAGTGGGTGGGTGGGTGGATGGAAGGAAGAGTGGATGGGTGGAGAGATGGTTGGATGGACGGATGAGTGGGCGGGTGGGTGGATGGAAGAAAGAATGGATGGGTGGAGAGATGGTTGGATGGATGGATGAGTGGGTGGGTGGGTGGATGGAAGGAAGAATGGATGGGTGGAGAGATGGTTGGATGGATGGATGAGTGGGTGGGTGGATGGAAGGAAGAATGGATGGGTGGGGAGATGGTTGGATGGATGGATGAGTGGGTGGGTGGGTGGATGGAAGGAAGAATGGATGGGTGGAGACATGGTTGGATGGATGGATGAGTGGGTTGGTGGGTGGATGGAAGGAAGAATGGATGGGTGGAGAGATGGTTGGATGGATGAATGAGTGGGTGGGTGGATGGAAGGAAGAATGGATGGGTGGGGAGATGGTTGGATGGATGGAGGAGAGGGTGGATGGGTGATGGGTGGATGAGTAGATGGATGGATGAATGGATTGTTGAATGAGTGGATGGGTGGGTGGTTGGATAGATGAATAAATTTTGTATTTGATGGTAGGTCTTTCTTTCTTTCTCTCTGTCTCCCTCCTACTGCCCCAGCCCTGACTCCTGCAGCTGAGTGAGGAGTGCTGGAGTGCCTGTTCATCTTATGTCCCTCCCTCTTCCCTTCACTGTGTGCTCCAGTGTGCGTAGGGAGGAAAGAGGAAGAAAAGATAGCTCCTCACCTGACTGTCTAGAGTGAGGATGCCATCCTTTCGTTGGTCATCCTTGCCGCTGTGGTCTGTGGCCTGCATGTGGGCAGGCGTGACTTCCCTGAGCATATAGGTGGTAAATTTTCAGAGTGTTTGCCTGTCCCCAAGTTATTTTTTTTTTATCATTTCCACCTATTGGAAAATGTATGAGATTCTAGGTTCAAAATAATCCTTCCTCTTAACTTGATGGTTTTCTTGTCTTGTCTTCTACAACAATTTGCAGTCAAGAATTCTGATAATAATAATAACTGGAGTCACTTTCCCTTGTGATAGTGGCACCAGATTTAGCAAGCAGAGATAATGCACAACATTTGGGACAGGCTTATACTAAAAATTTGTTACATTTCTGAAATTCAAAATTTAACTGGGTAATCTGGGTTTTTTTCCAGTCACCCTACTTTAAGTTAACCTGCGTTTGCTGATTTCTCTCAAAGCCTCTAGATGTCATTATTTTTGATATTCTGAAATTCCACTAGTGTCTGCAAGCAGGACCCTTCCTTGGGTCTGTGCAGCCCTCCGTGGCCCCTCTACACTGAAAACATGTGTCTTCTATTTGTTTGGTTGGTTTCTTCCTCTCCTTAGTTCTCTCTGTTCTCCTCTGGCACTCTTACTAGATGCTATTTACAGATTTAAACTGCCTGTTACACCTAAATAACCTTGATCTAGTTAATTCACTTCTCTTAGCACCAGTTTCTGCTTCATGAAATCAGCTATAATGAAACCAACCTCACAGAAACGTCATAAGGATTAAATTCATTGGAGGATGTAATGCCCCTTGCATGGTGAGTGCTATGGGTACTGCCCCGATCGTGCCTTCAAGAGGCCAGAGTATCCATGCTGTTCTGCCCATGTGGGTACATCAGGCCTGTGGTAGGATGGCACTTCCTGCCTCTTGTGGTTGGGTAGGGCCATGTGATTTGTTGTGGTTAATCATGGCTATGTGCCCTGTGGCTTTTCTGGACTAATGTATTTAGTTGCCAATGTAAGACCCACCAGCACACTCTTCTGCTCATCCACAATGAATGACAATGTCTCTGATGGTCTGCTCTGTCACTGGATTCTAAGGGAGGATGATGTAGGAGGCAGCCCCTGTTGACCTTCAGTGGACATGCAGCATGAGGGAGAGACTGACTTTTGTTTTATGGCACTGAGATTTGGGGGATGCTTCTTCCTGCAGCACAGCTTCACCTTCCTGACTGATACACAGGAAGAGCCAGGATTTCCCTCTCCTCCACTACTCTGCATTCATGCAGCTTGTGTCCTGCGACACTGCGTAGTGAGTGTCCTGTGCTTCTGCCAGCTGAGCCCAGACAAAAAGACAGAGTCCATCCTTTATTGACCTTCTTTATTGAAGTCTGGGGGAGGAAGTGCCTTTGCCCTTGAGCTGGTTCTGAGCTCTGTTCAATTCAGCCACAACAAGGCTCATCCTGCAGTTGGTGTCGAAGGCACAGGCAACATGGTCCTGAAAGCCACACATCAGAAGCTTTTTCTACTGATGATGGAAGAGCCCATCTCCTTGTACTCCTTGCTGGTGACCCACATATCCTTGAACGTGGAGAGTGAGCACAAGATGGAGCCACCTACCCAAGCTCCATAGACAGAATACGGACAGGTGGCCACCTGGATGGGGTTAAGGAGGCAGAGGAGAGTGGAGGGCAGAGGAGGGAAGGGGAGGTGGGGAGTGGGCAGGAGAAAAGAGAAGACAGCAAAATCAAAATACTACTCTGAAGTGTGGACACAAAACATCCACCCCTGAGAGAACTTCATGGACAGTTGTCTCTCCCTCCTGGCAAATACAATCTGTGATTTGCCATTAAAGATGTCGAACATTCCATGCCTACTTCCTGTAGCTTTATTTTTTTTTTTTTATTTTTAGAGACAGGGTCTCTCTGTGTTGCCCAGGCTGGAGTACAGTAGCACAATCACAGTTCACTGCAGCCTTGACCTCCCAGGATCAAGCAATCCTCCAGCCTCAGACTCCCAAGTAGCTGGGTCCACAGGTGCGCACTACCACACCTGGCTAATATTTTAATTTTTTTTGTAGAGATGAGGTCTTGCTACGTTGCCCACGCTGGCCTCAAATTCATGGCCTCAAGCAATCCTCCTGCCTCGGCCTCCCAAAGTGCTGAGATTACAGGTGTGAGCCACCATGCCCGGCCTGTAGCTTTAAACAATTAGATAAAATGAATAAGAGCACAGAGGACTCGTACACTTGGCATTTTAAAACATGCAACACATTTTATCCATATAGAATGACGGTGCCTAAGGCATAGGTAGGTATTTTGTAGAAAAATTCGAAAATACAGATAAGCAAAATCAACCAATCACCAGTCATTAAACCCCCTGGAGAAATTCCTTCTAGATTGTGATGGGGAGCTTTCAAGATTTCCTCTCTCTATTGCTAGGCTCCTCTTTTCATGACCACACCTATAAAGTGTATATTTCTTTCCATTTCTATTTTAAGAGAGAAAGTAGTGTTTCTTATACCAAGTCAGGTCACCTCTGGGCTAGGAGGAAGTGAAAGTCTCTACAGCCATTTGTCACTGATCCAGGTGACAGCCCCTTGGTGGAAGAGGCTCCCAGGTGCCTGGCATTGGTCCTTTCTCTGCCTGATGCAGGGGGCCAGGCATGGTGGTGTGCACCTGTGGCCCCAGCTTCTTGAGAGGCTGAGGCTGGAGGATTGCTTGATCCTGGGAGGTCGAGGCTTCAGTGAACTGTGATTGTGCTGCTGTACTCCAGCCTGGGCAAAAGAGCCAGACCCTGTTTCAAAAAATGAAAATAAAGGCCGGGCATGGTGGTTCATTCCTGTAATCCCAGCACTTTGGGAAGCCAAGGCAGGCAGATCACCTGGGGTCAGGAGTTTGAGACCTCCCTGGCCAACATGGTGAAACCCCGTCTCTACTAAAAATACAAAAAATTAGCCAGGCATGGTGGTGGGTGCCTGTAGTCCCAGCTACTCAGGAGGCTGAGGCAGGAGAATTGCTTGAGCCTGGGAGGAGGAGGTTGCAGTGAGCCAAGATGGCACCATTGCACTCTCGCCTGGGCGACAAGAGTGAAACTCCATCTCAAAAAATAGATAAATAAAATAAAAAATAAATAATTAAAAAGAGGCCCCTGGGGCTCAGGAAGTTTAAGGTCACTCGCTCCAGGTCAGACACTTGTCATTTTCACACATTCACTAACTTTCTTTAAGGCACTTAGGTAGATAATAACAGGACATGCTTAGGATTCTAAGACATGGAGCAAATGCCTCGCTGCAGGGATCTGCAGGCACGAAGCGCTGAATGGAGATTTGGGAAACCCAAGGCTTAGGTGAGAGGGAAGGAAGAGTGGTTCCCCGACTCAACTGCCCAGTGTCTCCCGGCTCTGTCACACCACAGAATGGCGCTTGGCTTGGAAACCACTTGCTGGCATTGGTTAAGAAAAGATTTATCATTATAGCTAAAAAAATAAAAATAAAAAGGAAGAGTCAGGAGGGGGGAAAAAAAGGCATGGTTAGGATCAGGGCATCAGGCAGAGAAAGGGCCGACGCAGGCACCCGGGAGCCTCTTCCACGGAGGGGCTGTCACCTCAATCAGTTGATGACCTCATCTGCGTCTTATCTAAACAAACACACAAAACCAGATGGAGACTGGGATGGTGTGTGTGTTAAGAAGAAAGTAAATTGGCCAGGTGCAGTGGCTCATGCCTATGATCCCAACACTTTGGGAGGCCGGGGCAGGTGGATCAACTGAGGTCAAGAGTTCCAGATCAGCCTGGCCAACATGGCGAAACTCCATCTCTACTAAAAATACCAAGATTAGCTGGGCGTGGTTGTGGGCACCTGTAATCCCAGCTACTCGGGAGGCTGAGGGAGGGAGAATCACTTGAACTGGGAGGCAGAGGTTGCAGTGAGCCCAGATTGCGCTACTGCACTCCAGCCTGGGTGGCAGAGTGAGACTCCGTCCCAAAAAAAAAAAAAAAAAACGAAGAAGATAGCAAATCACTAACAGAAGATGGCCAAAGGATTGGATTGAACAATTACGAGAAATATGTTTACAAAAAAAAAAAAAAAAAAAAACAGAGAAAAGAACAACAAACATTTCTTCTCCATCTACCCAGGTGCCCAGGGGTTTTGAGAACAAAGGACACTGTGCTGGCGTGGACGTGGTCCAGAGCTGGCTCAGCCCTCGCCGGGACAGATGGGAGCCTCAGTGTTTCTGTGGGCAATTGGGTCATCCATTCAAAAAGCCTCAAATTGTGCATGATTCTGACTCCAAAATCCACATCTAGAAATGGATCTAAGGGTAAAATAACATTCTGAAGAAATAAGGGGGAATAATGGGCAGAGTTTTAGCTCAAGAACATTTATTACAGCAGATTTAGGCTGCTGGGAGAAACAATTATTTGAAAAGTTGCCCCCATTGAAACGAGCTGTTCTCTCAAGGTGGATGATGAACTCATTTCAGGGAGAGGATTTTCTTTAGGCAACAATTTAATGAGCTTTATGGATGCTTACAGGAGAATCTACCACTGTACCTCTTTCAGAGATGGCTTAGATGGAGAGAAATTATGCAGAGAAGAGCTAAATCACTGCCAAGTAATGGGAAATGGGCGATGTCATCATCAAGCTTCATGGAGAGTTTTTGGCGGGAGGAGGCAGTGGAGGGCACCTTGAGGACTCAGAAGGATGAAAGGGCTTGGACCAAATGCAACCCAGCCACATGCTGGCAGGACAGAGATGGCCCAAAGATCCCCTTTGCAAATGTGGTCAAGAAACCTATAAAAGTATGCCAGGCATGGTGGCTTGCACATAATCCCAGCACTTTGGGAGGCTGAGGTAAGTGGATCACTTGAGCCCAGAGTCCAAGACCTGAACCAAAAAAAATTAGCCGGGCATGGAGGCACACGCCTGTAGTCCCAGCTACTTGGGAGGCTGAGTGGGAGGATCACCTGAGCCTGCAGTGAGCCGTGACCATGCCACTGTTCTCCAGCCTGGGTGACAGTGAGACATTGTCTTATTTAAAAAAAAAAAAAAAGGAAAGAGAAAAAAAGGAAGTTATGAAAGTATGATATTCAATTTTAATTTGTTTTCCATGCTGGGCTAAGCAGTAGCCTTCTGTTCTGATTCAGTCAAAGTTCATTACACACAAGAGCCTGGAGTCGTCCAGAAAGCTGAGAGGAGGGAGACCAGAAACAGGCTATGAAGTGACAGCCAAGGGCTTTGGAGTGAGAAGGTGGGAGGGGTGATGGTTTTAATAGAATGTAAATGCCTATGATATAACATAAGATGGTCTAACGAGAGCTGCAGACTTAGGGAGGAAGGAAACGGATAACAGTTTTACAGCATCCCATGAATGTTTATGGCCTACAGGAAGAGGGCTGAAGACTTGGGAAGTGACAAGGCAGTAGGAAGATATTTTGTGTAATCCTGGCTGATGCATTTGTAATTCCTGATGCTTGTCTGTTGCTACGGAGGAGGGTTAGGGACCACCTGGGACAGGCACCACTGCTGTGCATTCTCTTTCAAATCTCACCCTGGTCTATAGAGCAAGGACAGGAAGGGTACAGGGAACACTGTCAGATGGGCAAGGAGAGTCTCAGAGGCAGCTGAAGATGCTCTGAGGACACGTTCCAGACCCTTCCCTCTGAGCGCATCTGCCTGCAACCAGATCTGAGGCCCCTAGGGTTGGGGGTGAGAGTGATGGGTGATAGGGTGATATAATCTTCGAGAAAAGTTTGGGGGGCTGTGGGCAAAAGGGAGTAAGTCCTTGCCTCCTGCCTGTAGACTCTGGAGGAAGTCACCTTGCAGTGTCCTGTTCCAAAGCTGGCGGCTGGAGTGGAGGGGACAAGGGCAGTAAGACAGGTCTAGGGAGGACAAGAAGTGCTGAGATGGCCACTCACGCCCCTGCCCACCCTGGTGTCTGGAAGGTCCCGCCCCCCTGCCCCGCCCACACGGAGCATACAAAGGGTGGCTGTGAACCCTGGTGACAGGCCCGAGGGGAGTGATGGTGTCCCTCTGGTGAGAGTCTGTTGTGCACCTGCAGGAGACCCCATTACAGAGCGCCCTACAACTGGCCTGTGGGATTTGCAGCCAGCTCAAGGGCCAGCTGGTGAGATGGGAAGGATTCAGGGCCAGCTCGACAGGGATGCCCTGCAGTGACAGCCCCCAAAGACCCCACATCAGAGGCTGTGAGGCCTCTGACACAGAGGAAGCCAGAGAAAGTGTCCACTGGGGACAAACCTGGGTGGGGCTCCCACGGGGGAAGAGTGCTTTCATTTAACCAAGGGAGGCTGCATTCATGGGACAGCTGCTGAGCTCAACTGGAAATGAGTGAGTGACATTGCCCCTCCTGCCCCAGCCAGCCAGGCCAGGTGTGTCCCACATCCCAGCAGTCCCAACATCCTGACAGTCCCACATCCCAGCAATCCCGACATCCTGACAGTCCCACATACCAGCAGTCCCTACATCCTGACAGTCCCACATACCAGCAGCCCCGACATCCTGACAGTCCCACACACCAGCAATCCTGACATCCTGACAGTCCCAACATCCCAACAGTCCCAACATCGCAACACTCCCAACATCCCAACAGTCCCAACATTCTCACAGTCCCAACATCCCAACAGTCCTGACATCCTGACAGTCCCAACATCCCAACAGTCCTGATATTCCAACAGTCCCCGACATCCTGACTGTTCTGACATTCCAACAGTCCCGACGTGCTGACAGTCACAACATCCCAACAGTCCTGACATTCCAACAGTCCTGACATCCCAAGAGTCCCGACGTCCTGATAGTCCCAACATCCCAACAGTCCCAACATTCCGACAGTCCCAACATCCTGACAGTCCCGACATTCTGACAGTCCCGATATTCCAACAGTCCCGACATTCCGACAGTCCCGACATTCTGATAGTACTGACATCCCAACAGTCCTGACATTCCAACAGTCCCGACAACCCAACAGTCCCAACATCCCTACAGTCCTGACATTCCAACAGTCCTGACATCCCAACAGTCCCAACATCCCTACAGTCCCGACATTCCAACAGTCCTGACATCCCAACAGTCCCAACATCCCTACAGTCCCGATATCTGACAGTCCCAACATCCCGATAGTACTGACATTCCAACAATCCTGACATCCCAACAGTCCCAACATCCCAACAGTCCCAACATCCCGACAGTCTCAACATCCCAGCAGTCCCGACATCCAAACAGTCCCAACAGTCCAACAGTCCCAACATCCCAACAGTCCCAACATCCCAACAGTTCCAATATCCCAACAGTCCCAACATCCCGACAGTCTCAACATCCCAGCAGTCCCGACATCCAAAGAGTCCCAACATTCCAACAGCTCCAACATCCCAACAGTCCCGACATCCAAACAATCCCGACATTCCAACAGTCCCAACATTCCAACAGTCCCGACATCCCAACAGTCCCAATATTCCAACAGCCCCAACATTCCAACAGTCCCGACATCCTGACAGTCCTGACATCTCAGCAGTCCCCAAATCCTGGCAGTCCTAACATTCTGACAGTCCCAATGTCCTGACAGTCCCAACATCCCAACAGTCCTAATGTCCTGACTGTCCACACCTTGTGTCCCTATGACATCTACTCTCTGCACAGGAGCCTGAGCAGTTCTCCAGAGCCTACTTGGACAATGTCTCTCCTCTGCTGAACCCTGCCGGGGGTTTCCAGCCCCTCTTGGAATGGATGTCCTTCTGCGGCATCTCTGACCTTGCTTTCCTGTTGCCTTTGCTCACTCGGCCCCAGCCAACCCCTCCTTGCCCTTCCTCCAGGAAGCAAGCCTCTGAGCCACTGCATGGGCTGTTCCCCCCATGGCTGAATGTTCTTCCCTAGATATCCACATGGCTCACCCTTACCTCAAGTGCTTACCCAATGTCCTCTTCTTGAGGAGGCCCACTCTGGCCCACCTTGTATTCAGCACCCCCGGCCCTGCCCACACTCCCTCCCACCCCGTCCTTTGCTGCACTTTCCCCATGGATCACAGCCCTCCTGACATGCCACTCATGTCCCCTTCATGTTTATTCATGACGTTTATTGCTTCCCCCGGCAACTAGAGTGAAAGCTCCAAAGACTTCCCAGAAGGACTTCCCAGGTGCCAGGAGCCGTGCCTGGCGTATCTGATGCGTTCAAGGTACATCTGTGGAATGAATTTGAAGCGCTCCCAGAGGGGATGGGTTGGGGAAGCCTCACCTTCACATAAACTGTAGGGGACACCAGCTCAGATATTTCTCTCTGCATCCGGAATCGCAAGCCGGGGCAGGAGCCCGTCCCTCCGGACAGTAGCATGTGGCCAAAGAGAACCTTCTGGAGGTCGGGGTTGCAGGAAGTGATGCTCTGGATGGCCTTCGTGTGGATGCCAGGGGTGTTTTTCCCTGTCAGGACAGGCAGAGGGAGAAAGAATGTTGGAAGCCAGAGGCTTGGCGGCTGCACACCTGGGCCCCTGCCTCCCAGCGGAAGGCCTTGGGTGCTGGAAACCTCCCTGAGCCTTAGGTAACACCCAGCAAGGTAGGCAAACCTTAGCTTAGCTGGGCTCCCATCAGGGAATGCAGGGAGCCACCCGGTCAGATGACAGGACTCAGCTGCTCCTGGTTGAGGAAATAAATAGGAATTCTCCACTCTCCTCCAGGAGAATTTATATTCAACTGTTATTGACAGTTCTTAACATGTAATGCCTTGATATCAATTGTATAAAAAGATTCCTGTCGAGGCAGCATCCTCCTTCAGGCAGTCTTTGAGAAATGACACTGATCCCTCCTTTCTTGGCTCATCATTTGGCCACATGAATAAACTCAAATATAATGAGAACTGCCCTGAAGAGATGTGTGCCTTGTATTACTAGGTTGGTGCAAATGTAATCGATTACTTTTGCACCAACCTAATATTTTCTGTTCAAAATTGTGAGCCCCTGGGAAGGCTGCGTGGTGCCTTCCGTGCCTCTTGCCTGTGAGGAAAAATTGCCGAATAACCTTGGACTCATGACAAAAGGCTAACCCCAAGGGGCATTTAAGAGAGGCCCAGCAGAAAGGCCCTGCTAGTTTCACCGATCTGGGGTGGTGCTCCTGTTCACTGGGACCCAGCCAGACCCCGGGGAGAACTTCCCCACAGTGGGTGAAGAACCTCAATTTCTTCTCTACTTCACATTGGTGGTGCACGTGACCAGACCATCCCCTGCACAGTTGAAGAGAGGAACACAGAGATAAACCAACTAACTTACAGAAGATTCTAAGTGCCAGGTACTCACTGAGTCCTCAACCTGGGGAAATGGTTACTTCCCCACCCTTAATTCCCCGTTGTCCTTTATGAAGGTAACAAATGAAGAATTGGACTCCGGGGAACACCTGCTTTTCCATGTCGACCAGGGAGATTCCATCTTCCCCACCAGTAGGGATTTCACCCTCTGTCATTTCTCCCGTTCCACCAGGACAAATGTACCAGCTGAAGCGTTTAGGCAGCTCCATGCTAACTCAAAGTCTCTAGATCAGCCACATTTGTAAAGCTCCCTCCAAATCCAGGGTGATTACATGTCTGTCTTAAATTGTATTGAAATTTATATTTCAGATTATTTTGTAAGTAGGCAGAGTACAAACAATACATTTTGAAAGAGAAGACCTTTTTGGTGAGTTTCCTTCTCTGTAAAATGGGATAATTTTACAGAGGTGGATTTGGGGGTGGATTCAAGGATATAACACTCGCAATGGTCAGTGAAGTGACAGGCAGACTGTAAGTGCCTAGTGAGTGTTAGCTGGTGTCAGAGGAGCTTTTGAAACAGTGTGCCTGTTTGCTACTCAAACCACACCCCCTCCTGGCAGCCCTACTTCCCTTCCTTCCTTCCTTCCTTCCTTCCTTCCTTCCTTCCTTCCTTCCTTCCTTCCCTCCTTCCTTCCTTGCTGTCCTTCTTTTTTTCAGATGGAGTCTCGCTCTATTGCCCAGGCTGGAGCACAGTGGTGCAATCTCGGCTCACTGCAACCCCCACCTCCCAGGTTCAAGCGATTCCCCTGCCTCAGCCTCCTGAGTAGCTGGGACTACAGGCAATATGCCACCCTGCCTGGCTAATTTTTGTATTTTTAGTAGAGACGGGATTTCACCATGTTGGCCAGGCTGGTCTCAAACTCCTGACCTCAGGTGATCCACCCGCCTCAGCTTCCGAAAGTGCTGGGATTACAGGCGTGAGGCACCATGCCTGGCCCCTTCTTCCTTACAGGGTGTTCGCTTGCTCATGTCCAGGCTAATTTCTGTCCCCTTCCTGCGGATTCACCTATGAGTTTTGACTAGAAGAGCACCTCGGGGCAGAAGAAGCTCTCCTGCCCAACGGTGATCTCTTGGCCATCAGGCAGCTGATATTTCTGTTGGCATGAAGGTGAATCAGTTTTCATCTTTTCCTTGTCAAAGTCCAAAGCCACATAGCAGCATTTCTCCTTCATGTCCCGGATGTACTCTCGATCCCCTGTGGGACAAAGGAAAAGTGCCAAACAGAAAAAGGCATGAAAATGAGATGAGTTCACAGAAGCACCTTTGGTGAGGTTGAGGCTGCACCACTGGAGCTGTCATTTCTATTTCCATTTCACACTCCTGGCACTCTTGTTTGTGCCATGTGTTGAGCCTGAGTTTGTGGAAGAGTAGAATAAGTATGTCTTGAACTAAGATAAAAGGGATTAGGAAATTTCAGCGTTTCAGAAGTTGATCTCCTTCTACATACAGTGTATGTTTGGGGGAGGGTGGGGGGGAGCTGGAAAAGCAAACCCGACTTTCTTATCTACTGCTATGAGCGGTGCTGTTGGTGCCCCATCCCCCAGCTGCCGCCTGCTCACAGCTGCCCTCTTCTCTGGAGAATTGCCCACAGTGGATCAAAATCCCCACCCAGAAATATCTGGAAGGTTACATACACTCCTTCTCTTTTTGGATGGCTGACAACAGGCTTTAAACCCAGCTGTGTCTTCTCGCTTATGGTTTTACACTTTTTCTATCACTCTTTTTGAGTTGGATCGGGGAACTCTGCACCGCCCACCTGGAAATGTCACTTGCTCTTCAGCACCCTGACGTCTGCCTTCTACCTTCACTCGCTCCACCTAACCTGCTGTTGCCTGGGTCTGTTCTGTACTCCTAGATCCAAAAACCTGAGGACACTCTTTGGTTCTTTCCTGACCTCTTTCCCTCGGCAGCTGAGGTTATTAATCACTCCCTTCTTTCCTCGGCTTCTGGGATGCTGCACTCTCCTGATATTTGTTCCTTTCTTCATGTAGTTGGGGCTTTGATGAGGCAAATTTGGGTTCAAATCCCATCTCTGCCATTGACCCAATGCCTGGCTTTAGGAAACTTCATTAACCTCTTAAACCTTCCCTTCCCTTATCTGCAAGAATGGGATAAATGATCATTCGCAGGACTGTTGGAAGGACGAGAGGCAACGATGCTCACCAAGAGCTCACCAGGTGTGAGGCATCAATAACATGCTATGACTTTGCCCTGCAACCCTTCTCACTTTCCCTCTAATTGCTGTTATTCTTTAAGATTCCATGCTTTGCATCGCTTTTGACACAGACCTCTTGGTCTTCAAGGAAGACCCTGGGATGCAAGATTGTAGGCTCACTGGGAATGGGTGTCATGCAGGTTATACAGGCTGGGAATCTAGTCCAGGAACTGGGTGCAGAGAAGGACAGGCACCTTACCTGGAGCCTTGGGTTCATATCCCAGCTGCTATACCATTTATCATTTATGGAATGTTGGGCAAATCTTCTAATAGCCTTCCTGAGCCTCTTCCTGTTATTATTAGTTTTTTAAGAGACAGGGTGTTGCTTTGCTCTGTTACCCAGGCTGGCATACAGTAGTATCATCAGAGCTCACTATAACCTCTGACTCCTGGGCTCAAGTGGTCCTCTTGCCTCAGTCTCCTAAGTAGCTGGGACTACAGGTTGCTCATCACCACACCCTGCTAATTTTTTAATCTTTTTGTAGAGACCGGGTCTTGCCGTGTTGCCCAGGCTGATCGCAAACTCCTAGGCTCAAGTGATCCTCCCACCCCAGCCTCCCAAATTGCTGGGATTACAGATATGAGACATTGCACCTGGCTGCATCTTCCTCTTGTAATGGAAATAATTGTTCCCTCTCGTAGGGTTATAGTGAGAAGCAATGAGAAAATGCATGTGAAATGTTTACTTGGCCTGGTGCTTTCTACAGGATAAGTTCTCTATAAAGTTTAGCTCATCATCATCTTAACAACTGTCATCATAACTATCATCACCATCACCATCATTACCACCACCACCATCATCACAATCATTGTTACCATTACTATAACCATCATCATCACCATCACCATCATTGTCATCATCACCATCACCACCACCATCATCACCATCACCACCAATCACCATATGACCATCACCATCACCATCATCAGCATCACTGTCATCACCATCATGGTCACCATCACTATCACCGTCATTGCCACCACCATAATCGTTATCATCATTATCATTGTCCTTATCATCATCATCAATCCACTAAATGTCCCTAAATATAAATAAAGTTGTTTTTAGAACTTGAATGATGGTTAAGTAGTCTTAGCTTTACACACTGAGGGCTGTAGGTTGAGCTAGCAAAGAAGGCTATTATACCCCAGAGACTAGTTTACCCAGCCAAGAATAGCAATTTCCTACCTGTGCCCACCAATAATTGCACATTGTCTTTCAACAGTTGCAGGAGGTACGAGGTTAGGTCCTGGCCCGCTATGTCCACCTGGAAGGTTGACTGATGCAAAGGACAGCCATCAGCGATGGGCACGAAGTGTGTCATTCCTTCTCCAGATTCAACAGTCATGCCTAGACAAGAGAACATGCTGGTACCATAATGCAAAGCCAATGACATCCCTTACAATTGTTATATCTGCAGTGAGAGAAGGCAGAGGGGAGCTAACAGAGGAGAAGACAAAGATTCTCAGGAGCCAGCTTTCTTCCCCGAAAGGGGAGTGCACAAGAAGGAACAAAAGGGCTGGCTGTTGTGGATGGTGGCCCACAAGTTTTCTTATGACACCACACATGCAGGTTTCACAGTAGTGGTCCAAAAGGTAGAAGAGGAAAAATCATACCAGGATTTTTTTTCCTTTTATTGTTTTAATTGACAAATAATACTTACACAGTACTTATACTGTATACAAATGCCCATAGCAGCTTTTTTTTTTTTTTTTTTTTTTTTTTTTTTTTTGAGACGGAGTCTTGCACTGTTACCCAGGCTGGAGTGCAGTGGCATGATCTGGGCTCACTGCAAGCTCTGCCTCCCAGGTTCATGCCATTCTCCTGCCTCAGCCTCCTGAGTCGCTGGGACTACAGGTGCCCACCACCATACCTGGCTAATCTTTTGTACTTTTAGTATAGACGGGATTTCACCGTGTTAGCCAGGATGGCCTTGATCTCCTGACCTCGTGATCCGCCCACCTCGGCCTCCCAAAGTGCTGGGATTACAGGCGTGAGCCACTGCACCCGGCCCATAGCAGCTTTATTTACAATAGCCCCAAACCGACAACTCAAATATTCGTTCACAAGTGGATAAAGTACAATGTATTCATAAGATGGGCTACTATCCAGCAATGAGAAGACATGAACTCTCAACCCACACACAAGAATAAATCTTCAAGTAATTACACTGTGTGAAAAAAAAAAAAAAAAGAAACCCCAAAAAAGTGCTGACCTTCTGGTCCATTCATACAAAATTCTAGAAAATGCAGACTCCAAGGCAGCTGGTGGCTCTCTGGGGACAGACTGGAGGGGCAGACTGTGTGGTGCCAGGGAAAAGATTAGGGGTGACAGATACATTCATTATCTTGGTTCTGAAGGCTTCAAGAGTAGACACATGTGTCAAAACTTAGCAAATTGTACACTTTAAACACATGCAATTTATCGTATATCAATTACACCTCGAGAAAGCTATTAAGAAAAAAAAGTGAGTAAAGTAAACTGTTAAAACCTGGGAGCGAATCATTTAACCAGGAGGGATGAAAGGGTCTGGAGAGTGCGAGCTGTGTGGGTCTTTGTCTTTCGTTACTGGTCAGGGAGGGAGTGGGCTGCGCGCAGTGGTGAGCGTCTCAGCCGGAGGGAGGCGGAGGCTATGGGGCTCCCACAGGGCTACTCACCGAAGGTCTGGCCAGAGGCGTACAGAGAAAGGACTCCTCGGTTAGCTAAATACAGGGCAGGTATGTTGAAAATCTCAAACAGCACCTAGGGAGAAACATCAGCCACCCCTGGCAGCCAGGCCCGCAGATGAGGTGGGCTTCTCCTTAACTACCCAGGCAACATGAGTACCGCCTGCAAGAGGCACTTGGTTCCCTGCACCACCCAAGAGAGACCCAGACCATGGACACAGAAACACATTCCTCCTTATCCCAGCTTTGCTCCGATGAGCTCCGGGACACTCTCAGTTTCCCAGTCTGTAAAATAGACCCATACCCATCCCAGCCACCTCTTAGGACTGTGGGGAGACTTGGATTAGATGGCAGACTCCCTACAGATGGGCTCCTGGGTATGGGGGCTGTCCGTGGATGTCTGGTACCTGGCTCAGGATGATTAGGACAGGTGCACAGTGGCCCCAGGGTGTGAAGTACTGGGGTGTGGACACTGGGAGCAGCCCAGAGTTCAGGGAAGGGCCTGGCCTGGCAGCAGGACCCCTGGGTTCTAGGCCTGGCTCTTACAGCATGTGTGACCTTGGGAGACAACTGCTCCTCGCTATGCCTCAGTTTCCTCATCAGAAGGAGAGTAGTGGTACCTCCCTGGGGATGGTGCTGAGGACAACATGAGTTAACACCCGTAAAGCCCGTGCCACAGTGCTTAGTGTATACTGAGCATTCCACAAATGCCATCACTTGCTGGTCCCAGGCCTCAGTTTTCTCATCTGTAAAATGGGAATCGGACCATAGGGAAGGACCGTGAAGACCATGTGAGCTCTGTAACCTTCTGGCCCCACAGCAGGCCCACGGAAGTCAAGGCTGGCTTTTGTCTTTGTGGGAATTTTTTGAGGCCTGCTGGGGCTGGGTGCGGGATGGAGAGTTCAAAGCAGGGCCCACAGATGTAGAAATATCCCTTTGCCCACAGTGAGGAGAAGCCCCACGCGGGTGGGCTAGCAGTTGCCTGTGGCCTGCAGAAGCCCCCGCCTTCCTCATGATGTCTGTCCTGGGCTCCTCTTTCTTGGGTCACCCATCAGGTTCTGCCCACAGGGCCCCAGAAGGAGATCCAGGGAGGGGAGGGGAGGGCTTGCTGACGTCCCAGCTCCCTCCCTGCTGGGTCCCTCTTCTGAAGGCCACAGCGCCTGGGCGACAGCCCTCCCTGGGAACTGATAACCATCCACTGCTCTTTCAGGCTTAGGGGTGGTAGCAGCTGCCCCGGGACACCCCTGGATACCGCACGCTCTCATGGGGCTTTTTTCTAAAACTCACGCTCACCTTTGTGTATAATCTCTTTATGACACTCTCACTAAACATGCCCCATGTGAGTGTACCTTTGACTTCCTGCTGGGTCCCTGATACAGTTAGAGGGTGAATTTGGAGAGGACCAGGGCAGAAAGGCAGGCAGTGCACCCAGCAGGTGGGAAGCCACAGAGGCAGGCTGGATGCCAACCGCACGGCTGGAGCCCTGGCTCATCCCACAGGCCAACGGCACCCAGCCGCGGGGCGCCTGGGGTTTCGCCAGGTGTTCTTCAGCGTGTGTCTGTGGGGTGTCTCTGAGTGAGACCAACACGTGGATCAGGGGATGCGTAAAGCAGACAGCCCTCCTGGATGTGGGTGGGCCTCATCCAATCAGTTGCAGACCTGATTCCATCAAAAGGACAGAGTAAGAGGTAGCCCCTCCGGCCCAACTGCCTGCACCCAGACACCAACCCTTTCCTGCCTTCAGACTGGGAGTGGACATTGGCTCTTCCTGGGTCTAGACCCCGCCGGCCTCCAGACTGGAGCCACAGCACGGGCCCTCCTGGGGCTCTAGCTTCCCAACCGCAGAGCCTGGAACTTGCCGGCCTCCGTCACTGTGTGAGCCAGGCCCTCATCCTGAACCCCTCTCCGTGTCTACGCTCATCCCACTCTTCTGTGTCTCCAGAGAACTTTGCTGCCCCCGCCGGGGAGTGAGATGTCCCCTGTGGAGAGGGCCGCCCCACTCCTTCTCCAGCTCCCCACCGCCTCACGGGCACTCGACAGTCTGAAAGTAGGAGCCTGCTGCGCCCCAACCAGGCAGCCCAGCTGTGGCCTACTCCTGTGATCCACCTCTCCACAAGCCGAGGAGGACTCAAGGGTCCGCTCAGGGCTTTTTCTCAAATGAGGTGGCAGCTCATGCCTGCACTGTGATGGATAGAGCTGCCATTTCTGGGCCGCCGTGTGTGCCTCTGCAGGGAGCAGGTGGCGCCTTGAGCCCTGGGTCTGTCTGTGGGTCACGGCTCACTGCGGGAGACACCGCTGGGCTCCAGGGACCCTGGGCCAGGTGGTGGAACTGTGCTGCTTGCTTAATGAGCTCACCAAATGTCCTCATTAGGAGCAGCTAATGATGTGATGGGAACATGGTAGCCAGCGGCAGCCCAGCAGCCCCCACCCCAGCCTTAAGGAGAGTGCCACACCTTCCTCTCTTCTCCAGCCTGGGCCCCTGCCAGGCCCCACTGCCCAGCCCCATCAGGGCCACCCTGTCAACACACACCAGTGCCTCCTGCCTGGTGGGCAGGCCCAAGAGGAAGCTCAGAGAAGAGACCCAGGAGCTTTTAAACCAGAATCAGAGGCCGGAGTCAGACCTGCATCTAGGACAACTGAATTGTGGCTGAGAGTGGAGTTTCAGGGCGAGACCACTGGGGTCTAGGCAAGCACGCCAGCGACACTCCGCATGACCTTAGCCAAATTGCTTAAGCTCCCTGCTGCCGCAGGCTCTTCATATGTACAAAGGGGAGGATGGTCCTCTGCCCCATGGCTGGTTGGGAGGCCTGCATGAAGTCACATGTATGCAGTGTCCGGCCCCTGGCCAGCACCCCGGCGGAGGCCGGCATGCTTGGCGTGAGTGTCGAGGGGGTGTCCCCTGACCAGCGTCCTCCTCTTGCCGAGCAAGGAGCAGGTGAGGCCGAGGTTGCCCCTCGCTCAGGGGAGACCAGATACTGACCCCCTGAGGCCCTCACCACCACTGGCCCCGGTACCTGTGTGACTTTCTCTTTGCTGGGTGTTGGGTTCAAAGACGGCTCCGTCACCAACATGGGGTACTGCTCTGGGGCGACGTGGAGCACCTGGTAGAAGGAGTGGTGCCAAATCTGGGAGAAGACGGGATACAGAGTCAGCAGCTTCCTGGGGCCAAGGCCAGACTTCTGCAAACGGGGCAGGGCATGGCTGCAGGACCAGGCAAGGCTTTAGGTTTTGTTATTTTATGTTATCTTATTTTATGTTATTTGTTTGACAAAGCAGTATTTTATTTTTATTTTACTATTTCTATTTTTCCAAGACAGAGTCTCGCTCTGTCGCCCAGGCTGGAGTGTAGTGGCACGATCTCGGCGGCTCACTGCAACCTCCAACTCCCCGGTTCAAGTGATTCTCCTGCCTCAGCCTCCCAAGTAGCTGGGACTGCAGGTGCATGCCACCACGTCCAGCTAATTTTTGTATTTTCAGTTGAGACAGGGTTTTGCCATGTTGGCCAGGCTGGTCTTGAACTCCTGACCTCAGATTATCCACCCACCTCAGCCTCCCAAAGTGCTGGGATAACAGGTGTGAGCCACTGTAGCCAGCCGTCAAAGCAGCATCGTAAATAGCACTTGTGATGGCTGAGTGACAGAGAGGTCATCCTGATCTGAGGGAGCATCAGGGAGACAGCGTGGCTTCAGCAAGATGCAGAACCGCCACTCGGTCACCAGGCCTGGGGCTAGGATGTGGGGCTGAGACCAGTGAGGCCCAGAGCTTGGCTAGAGCATCTCGTGGCCTGATGTGGTCGGATACCACCACCAGGACTTCAAGGGTGTGATACAAACTGGGGGCTCAGACGGGTGGATGCTGCATAGGGAGAGAGTGCAGGTGTGAGCCCAGTATGAACGGAAGCTCCACCGCACACCAGGCCAGCCCCGGACAAGCAACCTGATTCTGTTGAACCTCATTCCTCATCCTCAAAACAGGAAATGTTCCCTGCCTCACAGAGGAGTGTGACAGTGAAATGGTGGCCTCGCCGAGAAGTCTGGTGCATTCATGTCCCACGGTTGCCATCACAAAGCCCCAGAGACAGGGCACCTCGCACCGCAGACACTCATCGTCTCCCATTCTGGAGGCTGGAGTCCCAGATGAAGGCGCCGCAGGGCTGGTCCCTCCCAAGGCCTCTGTCCTCGGCCTGCAGGCACTGTCTTCTTCTGGCTGTGTCCTCACAGGGTCCCCCACTGTGTGTCTGCATCCAACTTCCTCTTCTGATAAGGCCCCAGTCACATTGGATTAGGGCCCACCCTAATGATGTCTTCTTAACCTAGTTGCCGCTTTAAAGCTGCTATCTCCAAGCACAGTCACACTCTGAGGCATTGGAGGCTAGGATTTCACATGTAAATGTTGGGGGACACAATTCAGCCCCTCACACCCAGTACAGTAGGGGCTCAGTACACCATGGTTGGTTATCAGGTGTGAGTCGGCTGCCTGTCCCTGTGGGGGGACGTGCCCCTGGGGGAGGGCAGTGTGGAGGGGCGGCCTCCTGCAGGCAGGCACAGGACCTGGAAGCATGAGGCCACAATCCCTGTGAAAGAGCAAGAGCCAGGCATCAGCTGCAGGTGTGGCCCATCCTTAGATGACCAGCCTGAGGCAGGGAAGGGACACAGCCAGACATGAGCTTGGAAGAGTCTCCTGAAGACAGGGCGGGGTGATGAGAGGGAGGAGGTGGGAGACATGGGCACAGAGGAGGGTCAGTGTGTGATGCTGGCAATTCAGGAAAGATGGTGAAGCCAGGAGCCAGGACCCCTGAAGCCATGCAGGACCCAGAGCCTTGGGCTCCCTCAGGCAGGTGAGCCCCCCACAAGGCAGCAGACGGCGGGGGACCCCTGGGGCCCATAGCTGAAGCTGTGCTCTCCAAGACCTGTCTACACGGCCCGTGTTTCTGCATTCCCGTCACATTGGGAGCCACAGCCACAGCTGTGCAGGAAAAAACACTTGTGAACGGTGTTACCACTGCCCCTGCCAAGATGGCCCCATGGCCCTCAGGCCCTGGAAGTCACGCCCTGTGCAGACCTTTCCTACATGGAATCAGGACTGGCTTGTGTGACCAACAGAATGTGGCAGAAGTAACAGTGCGACGGCCCGGGCTGTGCCACGGTGGCCTGGTGCCTCCACCTTGGCCTTTTCCATAGTTCCCCATGGGGGAAGCCAATCGCCAGGCTGGCAAGAAGTTGAACAGCCCTGGAGGGAGACCCCCATGCAGAGGAAGCACCCCACGGCCACCTGATACTGCCGCCTTGGAAGGGGCTTCTCCAGCCCCAGTCAAGCCTGCAGCCAACACAGCCCCTGAGCTGTGGCAGCCACTTGAGACCCCGAGCCAGAACCAGCCTGAGGAGTCACTCCCAGATTCCTGACCCACAAAACTGAGAGTGATGACCATTGGCATTTTGAGCCTCTGCATTTGGGGCTAATGTGTGAAGGCAGCATTAGAACATTGTGATCAGTTGAATTGTGTCGCCCCAAAATTCATATTTTGAAGTCTTAGCCCCCGTACGTCTGAATGGGACCTTATTTGGAAACAGGGTTGTTGCAGATGCCATCACTTAAGAGGAGGCTGGGTCCCCAATCCCATAGGAAGGAGAAAATGTGGACACAGACACAGACAATGCCACGTGAACCTGAAGGCAGACATCGGGGTGACACATCTGTGAGCCAAGGGGAGCCAAAGACTGACAGCCACCAGGGGAGAGGCCCAGGACACAGGCTCCGGCACGGCCCTGCAAGGAACCAGCTCGGCCCACACCTTGACCTTGGACTTCCAGCCTCCAGGATGGTGAGGTAATGAATTCCTGCTATTGAAGCTGCCTCGTCTGTGGCTGGGACAGGGACACAGTAACTAACAGGTACATCCTCTAAGGCAGTGCACGGCCTGTCCAAATGCACATGGAGGTCCTAGCCAGAACTTCAGTTACTAAGTGAGGGAGCTGCAAGTTCACCATACTTACCACTTCTTAGTGTTTGGGACTGAAGACTTTTTTGCCATTTGTTTGTCTGCTTTGAGACAGGGTCTCCTTCTGTTGCCCAGGCTGGAGCACAAGGACACAATTGGAGCTCACTGCAGCCTCCACCTCCCAGGCTCAAGCAATCCTCCCACCTCAGCCTCCCCAGTAGCTGGGACCACAGTGGCACACCACCACAGCCAGATTATTTTTTAATTTTTTGTAGACATGGATTCTCACTATGTTTCCCAGGTTGGACTCAAACTCCTGCACTCAAGCTGTCCACCTGCCTCGGCCTCCAAAAGTGCTGGAATTACAGGCATGAGCCACTGTGCCTGGCCAGGACTGAGGACTTTTTATCCATCATCTCCCTCAGCCCTCACAGCAGGGTCTGTGTTAGGAAGGCCTGCACCTCTGTCTCATAGCTGGACCTAGCTAGGGAGGCCTATGAACACGTCCTGCCTGGCAGAAGCTGTACCCACCTTCTCCATGTTGTCCCAGTTGGTTGTTATTGCCCGAGAAATGGGGTATTGCAGGTTGAGTTTCCCTCATTTTTTCTGAACCTCCTCTCCAATGAACCAGTCTTCCTCTTCCATCCCCACCAATACATTCTGAAAGACACAGGCCAGGACAGATCAGCTTCTAGGGGTGACTGGGGTTGGACTCCCCTGCAGCTGGCTTTCATTTGTGGAGACCCAGTGAGCAGTGGCTGGGAGGCCACAGTGGCCTTCGTGGGAGACTCCAAGCCACAGCACGGGCATCCACGACCTCCCCGAGCCCTGTGAGCTATTTCAGAAATGGCCACTAAGAGGTTTTAGCAAAGTACCTGCAAGGTAAGAGTGTGCCCGAGGAGTCATTCCTAGGATATTTGTCCTGTCCACTTCGTAGATGAGGAAATGGGACAGCAAGGAGAGAGGCTGCTGAGGAAGGAGAGGTGAGGGGAGATGCACCAGGAATGCCACGGTGCTGCTAGAGGATCAAGTCAATTAAGCCCACCGGCAGGAATGCATTTCATAAGCTGACATCGTGGTAGGAGGGATTGTCACTGCTTCCACATTTGCTTCGGAAGGTTGACCGGGAAAGGGTCTGTGATGTAATTCAACTTCTGTTATTTTTTTAGGAAGATAAACCTGGCTACTTTCATGGCAGATTAAGCCATCTGTTCCATCATTCAGAGGTGATTTTACTTGATGGCCCATGTGTTCATCTGGGTCCACTGAGAAACAGACACCAGGATGGAATGAAAGGTGCAAGAATGTGATTAGGGAATACGCACACATTGGGGACAGTGGGGAGACAGCAGGACAAAGATCGAAGAGACAACAGGCTGCTGTCCAAGTCTGAGCCTGGGTGCAGGGAACAGGGAAGCAGATTGGGTGGGTGACCTTAGCCACCATGCCGTCTAAGGGAATGGAACCTTTGCAAGGTTGTTGGAGAGTTCTTGAGCCAGGCTCATTTATCACAGGAGTGCTGGGTTTCCCAAAAATGGGCTTGACTTGCCTTGGTGTCACTGCCATCCTCAGTCATTGGCTGGGAGAAGCAGGTAGGAAGGATGGCCTCAGTGCAATGGTGCTGTGCCACAGTGACTTAATGGTGCCATGCTGCAATGAGGCCATGGTGCCACAGTGCAGTGACGTCATGGTGCCACGGTGCAATGACATCATGGTGCCATGCTGCAGTGACATAATGGTGCCGTGCTGCAATGAGGCCATGGTGCCATGGTGCAGTGACGTTATAGTGCCATGGTGCAGTGACGTCATGGTGCCACGGTGCAATGACGTCATGGTGCCATGCTGCAGTGACATAATGGTGCCATGCTACGATGACGCCATGGTGCTGTGCTGCAACGACGTCGTGTTGCTGTGCTGCAGTAACATAATGGTGCCATGCTGCAGTGACCTCGTGGTGCCACGGTGCAGTGACGTTATAGTGCCATGGTGCAATGATGTCATGGTGCCATGGTGCAATGGTGCATGTGGTGGAACAACCATGCCATGGTGCAGTGGCTCAACAGTGCCATGATGCCGGGTGCAAGAGTGCAATGGTGCAGAGATGCAATGGAGCAGTGATTTCAGAGTGAGGCCCCTTCTCCAGGCAGCCACAGCTCACCTGCTCAGAGCTTTTCTATCTTAGGAGTTTGTCTCTTCAGCAGAAGAGGTTTGGATTTGGGATGAGAATCACCAGCTATGAGACCTGGGGAAAGTCGTGTCCCTTCTCTGAGCCTCCATCTTCTTCTCTGAGCCTCCATCTCCTTCTTGGAGGCTCCATCTCTTCTCTGAGCCTCCATCTTCTTCTCTGAGCCTCCATCTCCTTCTTGGAGCCTCCATCTCCTTCTCTGAGCCTCCATCTTCTTCTCTGAGCCTCCATCTCCTTCTTGGAGCCTCCATCTCCTTCTCTGAGCCTCCATCTTCTTCTCTGAGCCTCTGTCTCCCTCTCTGAGCCTCCGTCTCCTTCTCAGAGCCTCCGTCTCCTTCTCGGAGCCTCCGTCTCCTTCTCAGAGCCTCCATCTCCTTCTCTGGGCCTCCATCTTCTTCTCTGGGCCTCTATCTCCTTCTCTGAGCCTCCATCTCCTTCTCTGAGCCTCCATCTTCTTCTCTGAGCCTCCATCTCCCTCTCTGAGCCTCCATCTCCTTCTCTGAGCCTCCATCTCCCTCTCTGAGCCTCCATCTCCCTCTCTGAGCCTCCATCTTCTTCTCGGAGCCTCCATCTCCTTCTCTGAGCCTCCATCTTCTTCTCTGAGCCTCCATCTCCCTCTCGGAGACTCCATCTCCGTCTCTGAGCCTCCATCTTCTTCTCTGAGCTTCCATCTCCCTCTCAGAGACTCCATATCCCTCTCAGAGCCTCCATCTCCCTCTCTGAGCCTCCATCTCCTTCTCTGAGCCTCCATTTCCTTCTCTGAGCCTCCATCTCCTTCTCGGAGCCTCCATCTCCCTCTCAGAGCCTCCATCTCCTTCTCTGAGCCTCCATCTTCTTCTCTGAGCCTCTATCTTCTTCCCTGTCCAGTGGGAACAATGACCTCTCTTCCTCACACCTCGCCATGGCGCTGCTGGAGGATCAAGTCAATTAAGCCCACCAGCAGGAATGCATTTCATAAGCTGACATCATGGTAGGAGGGATTGTCACTGCTGCCACCTCCTCGAACGTTTCTCAGCCACCCACATCTAAGTGTGGTGGGTAGGCGGTGGGGGAGGGACAAAGTCATGGGTGTGCAGAAGGAACAATGTTTTCTCCAGTTCGAAGTTGCTGTTTGAGATAAAAAGATGGACAGTGCTGGGCCTGGTGTCCTTTCGTCAGGAGGCCTGTGGGTCAGAGCGGCTGCTCTACTTGGAAGCAACCCAATGACTTTGGGCAATGCCTTCATCCTGCCTCTCTGTTCTCACAAGTCCTCCTACGAGGGGTCTCACTGCCATCTTGGCTGCCAGACTTAAGCCTTGGAAGGGGCGTGAGGGTGGCGGAGCCCCGAAGGACACCCTGGGTCTCTGTGGCTATGACTTCTTGACTTGGGAGTTAAGGGCACTGCATCGAGCTTGTGGGGAGGGACATGGAGCTTAGATCTAGAAAAAAAGGTGACCTCTCTCAGAGACTGAAACTTACTCCCAGCTGCCCATGAAAATAAAACCAAATCAAGAGCCCAATCTGCTGTGGTTGAGCCAAGCAGTCTGCTGCCCCATAATTCATCTTGGTCACTCATTCTGTTTTGGCAAAGAATTTTCCTCTCGCTGTGATCTTGTGTTTCACCATCTAGGTCAGCGTTCCCCAACCTTTTTGGCACCAGGGACCAGTTTCATGGAAGACAATTTTTGCACTGAGCAGGGCAGGGGATGGTTTCGGGATGATTCAAGTGCATTACCTTTATTGTGTGTGGCCCTGAGCTTGTTTTCCTGCAACTAGGACAGTCCCACATGGGGGTGATGGGAGACGGCAACAGTGCCTGCAGCCTAGCTGGGGTGGATTTGGAGGGGAGAGCCTTGCTCTCAGCAGATGCTCCCTAATGCACCCCCTCTAAGTCAATTCATACTCCAAGGATAAGGCCCCTTCCCTGGAGGAGGGGCTGAGAGCTGAGATGAAATTCCACATTGTAACTGTAGTGGGTTGAATGATGCCCACCCCCCTATCATTATGTCCACCTGGAGTCTCAGGTGACTATCTGCATCGAGTGTCTTTGCAGAAGTGATAGTTAAGAATCTCAAGATGAGAATCACCTTGGATTACCTGGATGGGCCCCAAATCCAATGACAAGTGTCCTTCTAAGACAGAGGCAGGAGGAGATTTGAGACAGAAAAGGAAAAAGAGAAGGAGGCCATGTGAAGACGGAGGCAGCCAAAGGATGCCTGGAGCCCCCAGGAGCTGGAAGAGACAGGAAAGATCACCTGCTAGAGCCTTGGGAGGAAGCCAGCCTTGCTGACACCTTGCTTTCAGACTCCAGGTCCCCAGAACTATGAGGAAATACATTTCTGTTTTTTTTTTTTGTTTCGTTTTGTTTTGTTTTTGAGATGAAGTCTCACTCTGTCGCCCAGGTGGAGTGCAGTGGCGCGATCTCAGCTCACTGCACCCTCTGCCTCCCGGGTTCAAGCGATTCTCCTGCCTCAGCCTCCAGAGTAGCTGGAATTACAGGCGTGTGCCACCACGCCCAGCTAATTTTTGTATTTTTAGTAGAGACGGGGTTTTGCCATGTTGGCCAGGCTGGTCTCAAACTCCTGACCTCAGGTGATCCACCCACCTCGGCCTCCCAAAGTGCTGGGATTACAGGCGTGACCCACCGCACATGGCCACATTTCTGTTGTTCTAAGCGAATACACGAATATACTAGTCATTGTTATCATCACTGCTATCGTCATCATTGCTAAACACTCCCTATGGTCCAGAAACTGCACCAAACATACATTCACTCATCTCATTTAACCTTCAGGCCGAATCTCTGAGATACATACTTTGGACAATCACATTATGCAAAAGAGATGCCTCTGCCACAGCAGCACCCTTGCGCTGAGTCATGCATGTGCTGAGGACAGGGCTGAGATTGGAGCCTCAGTCTCCCCGGCCCTGAAGCCCCAGCTCTTAACCACTGAGCTCCATAATCCCCAAGCAGCAAGCTGGTTGGCTAGCTCGAGTGCAGGCACCTGCGATTTGCCAGGGTGGTCCCTGCTATGATCCCTGCCACTTGGACAACGAGGAGGAAATCCACTGGCTCCCAGCATCCATGTGCATTTTATCCTCTTAGAGAGGGAGACGGGATTTTCTCCTCTGTCACAGCTCCGGGAGCCAGTGTATCTTGGATAATTAGAAACACTGCCAATAATTTGCTCCAAGTGCTGCAAAGAGCAAGAGTGATCGCCATGAGGTCCTGCGACATCTGAGATCTTCCACGTCACGACGCTGCTCCCTACCACGGACGATTGGAACTTCCAGAGGATGAGCTCCATGATCCAGAGCATGAGCTGGGAACGCAGTTGCACTGGGGGGTCTTGCCCCCACCACTTTGTCACCATGTGGATTCGAGAAGTCACCTCTCGGAGCAGGTGGTTCCTCTTCCGGGAGAAGAGGCATCTCTGTCCCTACCTGGCATGCAGCCAGGCTCAGACCCACTCGCCCAGTTTCAGTTATGACGCGACTGTGTTGTCCGGGGGAGGGGGATGAGCAGTTGGTTTTTAATGGGGCCAGAGCTTCCGTTTGGGAGGATGAGAACGTTCTGGAGATAGATGGTGGTGAATGTTCTTGATGCCACTGAACTGTGCAGTTAACACAGCTTTACACTGTGTATACTTTACCACAATAGAAACACCTGTGTTTCTAAATTCCCTTGAAACACAGGAAGATCTGGCGATGTGGGATCCACTTGCTGGCATGTCAGAGATGGGCCTCTTGGAGGGCCTGTGTCCCGGTCCCCACCTGCCCTCCTACTGCCTTCCTATCACGGAGGCTGAGTGTCCATTGCCACTCACCCTAATGGACTCCCGTTTACCCTAAAGGCAAATTGCTCCTTCTCTGTGTCCATACCTCTCTGAATGTGAGAAGAGCCAGAGATGGGAGACGGGCAGTAAGACTGATTTTTCACAATGCATCCACTTTACTGATTTACACATCGCTGCTCTCTCTAAGCCTGCGGCTCTCAGAGTGGGCCGCATGCTGGGAGTGGTGAGAGGGGCAAGGCCTTGCCCACCCCATCTCCCACCCCCGACCAGCTGAGGCAGAGACTCTAGGTGGCCCGGCCATCTGTATGTTATCAAGCCAGGTGCTCCCGACTTGGATTTGTGGAGGCAAGTTCGCACCCACCACGCCCCGCTCAGCAGATTGCCTTGGCCGCCCTGTGGCAGAGGGGATGGGGTTGACCGGGCCAGCAGGCCACCTCTGGATGAGCAGCACCCCACAGGGAAGAGACCCCGACATCACTCACATCGTGCCGAAGTTTCCCGAGGACAGTGGGGAACATGCCCATTGGGCTTTCCATTCCTGCAAATCCCACCTTGCTGAAGCCAGAGCCGTAGTCACAGATGAGGGGCACGCTGTCCATGGCGGTGAGGCTGGGGGAGAGAACACACGGTTACCCATGCCACTGCATGGCACTGGTCCCTGGGACAGGCACTGTGCTGGGCGTTAAGCTTAGGGCTCATAGCGCCCAGGGGCCCAGGGTAGTGTGGGTGGCCCCCCATACCCAGAGCTGGGCCCTGGGTGGGCAAGAGCCACTTCCAGGATGCCGTGTGCAGTTTGTTGGAAGGGGGTCCTTTCCGATGACCATTTGCACATGGCTGCCCTGGAGAAGGGAGGATTAGGGGGGCCCTGCACTAATGCTTTGGCCTCCACCTGTTTCTAGCAAACTGTGACCTGCTTCGCAGCCACTTATCTGAAGCAGCCCCTCTCCCCTTCGTGGAAGGGGGAGACCCCAAGAGGAGCTGGGGCCCTGGGTGGTCTGCAAGCTGTGGTCACAGACGGATTCCTGACTTCCAGCTCCAACGCTGCCTTATCTGGGAAGCTTCACTGACCTCCTGGCCCTGGTTGAAACCATTCTCTCCCTCTGCTTTGCTTCTAGAGAACATTTTCCATATTTTTGCAAGTTTAGAAAACATGCAGAAAGATACAGAGCATCAAAATCACCTGAGGTCCCCGCCCGTGGTCACCCCTCTGATATTTTGGCATTTCTGTTTTCAACCTACTTTTTTTTAGACAAAGTCTCACTCTGTTGCCCAGGCTGGAGTGCAGTGGCATGATCTTGGCTCACTGCAACCTCCGCCTCTCAAGTTCAAGGGATTCTCCTGTCTCAGCCTCCCGAGTAGCTGGGATTGCAAGTGCGAGCCACCACACCCAGTCACTTTTTTCTATTTTTAGTAGAGATGGGGTTTAGCCATGTTGACCAGCCTGGTCTCGAACTCCTGACCTCAGGTGATCTGCCCGCCTCAACCTCCCAAAGTGCCAGGATTACAGGCATGAGTCACCATGCCCAGCCTGTTTTCAACCTACTTTTATGCACTGTATAGGTTTTTAAAAAATCAACTACCCTCAAAAATGAATGAGTCCATTTTCTTTTTCGAATATTGCATTGTGATTAAATATTTATTATCACAAATGTTTTCTTCGTTTTATAAGTGACTTTTGGATCTTTTTTCGATAAAGAAAGAATACAGGCTCATTGTAGAAAATAGAGAAAACTGTGAAGAAAAACAAAACCTTTTCCAAATCCTGCTAATCGGAAGTAACCTTTGCCAATATTCAGCTCTCTACCCTGACAGTCGTCACAGAAAACAGAGGGGTCTCTGTTCATCTAGTGCCTCTGTGAACAGCTGTGTGAGGTGAAACTCAGTGGGGCATGAGGGCGTCTCTCACTAAGTTGCTAGGTATACACACTACACATATTACAGTATGTACGGTTTTGTGTTAGACTTTTCAGTGGAACATTATAGCCATTTGCATGTTATGGAATATTTGATGGAAACGTTTTCCTTCTAACACCATCTACCACATCTGCTATGAATCCTCTGTGGAGCCTGTAGGTCCTATTTTTTTGGTCACCGTCAGCAATCCTGGGATAATCTCCTTAGTCATCCTTCTTTTTCTTGCATTTTGGATCAGCCCCTTTCCATCACCTCCTTTGAATGACTAGTTGGAAGAGCAAAAATTTTTAAAGGCTCCTTAAACATTTTGCCAAATTGCTGTCCAGAAACGTTGGTCAGTTTGCCACAGCCACATCAGGCCCTTGTCACACGGAGCTGCCATCATCTCTGCAGGCCCCTGTCTCGCATCTCCATGTCAGGCCCATGCCCCCCGCTCTGCGTACTGCATGCTCAGCTGATATGGCTGGATGGCTTTTGAACCCACCTGGTCTCTCATGTGGGGGCTTCATAACCTTCCTCTCTGGAATATTTGCTGGTGTCCCATCTGTCTGCATGCTGACTGCGTATCTGCAGCCAGGCTGTTGCTTCTGGAAGGCCAAGCATCGGCTGCCTGTTCATTCCTGTGCGTCCTGGACATGCAGGGATGGAGGAGGCTTTGGTTACTACAGTTTTGTAGTATATTTTGAAGTCTCATAATGCCAGGTTTGTGCTTTTGCTCAGGATTGTTTTGGCTATTCAGAGTTTTTTTTTGGTTCTGTACAATTTTAAGATTTTTCCAATTCTGTGAAGAATGTCCTTGGTATTTTGGTAGGGATTGTGTTTAATCTGTAGATTACTTTAGGTACTATCATCATTTTAACAATATTTCTGGATCCATGAGTATGGGATGTCGTTCCATTTGTTTTTATTTTTTGTCAGTCACTTCTTAAATATATTCCTAGGTATTTCATTTTTCATAGCTATTGTAAATGGCCTCATCTTCTCGATTTCCTTTTTAGCTATTTTGTTGTTCATGTATAGCAATGCTACTGATTTTATATGTTAATTTTTTATCTTTACTAAATTCATTCAATTCTAAAAGATTTTTGGTAGAGTCTTTAGGATTGTCTATATATAAGATCATATTGTCTGCAAATAAGAATAATTTGACTTTTTACTTTCTAATTTGCAGAGCCTGAGACATGAGGGGCACTTGACAGCACAGGAAACCCTTGGGTGCATTTCCTGACCTGACCCTCACTGCGGTGACAGATGTGATGGCCTCGATGACGTTGATAGTGATGATGATGACAATGATAATGATGACTATGACAATGATTATGATGACAATAATGACAATGACAATGACGATGACAATGATGACTGTGACAATGATGATGATGGCTGTGACAATGATTATGACAATGATGATGACTATGACAATGATGATGACTATGACAATGGCGATGACGATGACATAATGATGACAATCATGATGATGACTACGACAATGATGACGACATTGACAGTGATGACAATAATGATGTCGATGATGATAATGATGATGACAATGGTGATAACAATGATGATGACAATAATGATAACAGCAATGACAATGATGATGAAAATGATAACAATGACAATTATGATGATGACTATGATGATGATGGCAATGATGACATTGATGATGATGATAATGACAATGATGATGATGACAATGATGACATTGATGATGATGATGACAGTGACAATGATGATGACAATGATAATGACAATAATGATAACAATGACAGTGATGACAATGATGATGATGGATTGTCTTGATATGCAAGGCATTTCCCCCACGTAAATCAGCAAATACCCAATGTGGGAGCAGACATCCAAATACCTTGCTCTTTCTACCAAGTGCTATGCATTTGGGGCACAGAAATAAATTGATTCCAGGCCTGGTCAAGCTGTTTTCGTTTTTCCTTTGGTACAATAGCATTTGCATTCTGATGTCAAAGATGTGGTTTTTCCTTTGTTTTGTTTTAAATCAACTGATGTTGGCTTCCACTCCCAAAGAAAGAGGGAAATGAGGCCATAAATAATTGCACTGCTCTCCTGAGCCAAAATATTTTCATCTGGGGTGTGTTGAGTGGAATAAAAACTGGTTCAGTGCAGGGAAGGCTTTTGCCTCCAATGGGCTGAATCCGAGTTTGCCCCAGCATGGTGTGGCCAACCAAGCAGCATGCTTCTACTTTACTCCAGATCCTCATTGATCTGAAACTTACTTGTGAATCCAAATATTGACTATCAATGCACAGAAGTAAAAATCTAAAGAAAGCATAACAGAAATTGGAAGAGGCCAGCTGCAGTGGCTCACATCTATAATTCTAGCACTTCAGGAGGCCAAGGAAGGAGGATTGCCTGAGTCCAGGAGTTCAAAACCAGCCTGGGCCACATAGAAAGACCCCATCTCTACAACAAATTAAAAAATTATCTGGGAATGGTGGTGGCACACACCTGTAGTCCCAGCTACTTGAGAGGCAGAGGCAGAGGCAGAAGGATTGCTTGAGCCCAGGAGTTTGAGGCTGCAGTGAGCCGACATTGCACCACTGCACTCCAGCCTGGGCAACAGAGCAAAACCTTGTCTCTAAAAAAAAAAAAAAAAAAAAGAAAGAAAGAAAAAGAAAAAGAAAAGAAATCAGAAAAGATTGCTCAGCTACTGAGAAAAGAAACTGTTGGTTCACATCACTGACATAGAAAAGGAAGGAAAGAAGGCATTGCCCTGTTTCAGGTTCTGTGCTGGGGACATAACTAATACCAGGGAGAGAACAGGTGACAAACAGGTGCAGAGAGGTAAGAGGTGGAGCCCACCCGTAGTCCAGGCAGGGCCCCTCTGTGTCATTGCTTCTGCATGAGGCCACTGTGAGGTGCCTAGCAGAGGTCATGGTCTCTTGACCTAGTTGGGGCTTCTGGAAGCTGGCCCAGCAGCCTCCTAGAGCCTCTGCCTCTCTTTCCACTCTAATCCTGCTCCAGTCTTAAGATTTGGATGAGGTGGGCCCTAAGGGCTCACAGGACCCATGCTGGCCAGTAAGATTATTCCACTCCTTGGCTACTAAAGTTGGCTAAATAATGGTCCCTGTCCTCACACCACATCCTAATGTGTATATGTGTATATGTGAGCTTCCATGGCAAAAGAGACTTTATAGTTGTGGTTAAGTTATAGATCTTGAGATGAGGAGATTGCCCTGGATCATCTGGGTGGACCCTAGGTAATCATGAGAGTCCTTGTAAGAGGAAGCAGGAGGTCAGAGTCAGAGAGATTGGAAGATGTTATTATTGCAGTGAGCCAAGGCATGCAGGCACCTCCAGGAGCTGGAAAGGGCAAGGAAATGGGTTCTCCCAGTTCCTAGAGCCCCCAGAGGGAAAATGGCCCTGCAGACACCTTGATTTTGGCCCACTGAAATCCATTTCAGACTTCTGACCTCCAATACATTTCAATTGTCTTAGGTCAAAGTTTGTGTTGATTTGTGATGGCTACCCTTGACCAGGGTGGGCATGTGATGCCAGCCATGGTTTCTTCCTGGGATCTTGGTCATCTCTCAGGAAGGATACTCTCTTCCCTTGGATTAAGGATCTGGGAGAACCTGAAGTGAGCCTGGAGTTGCCCTTGTAGCTGCCTTGCGGCCCCACAACCAGAGCTTCCCTGAGGAGGAAGTCAGCCCTCAGGAAGCAGAGGAGAGACATGAGGAACAGAATTTTTACAGTATCATTGGAGCACAAACCTCAGCCTGCCCTGCACTGTTCAGCCCAGGGAGCCAACAGAATTTTTTCCTGCCAAATGGGTCTGAGTTGGGTTTCTGTCACTTGCAACCGAGACAGTCCTGACCGATTTTTAGCAATTGGGCTTCTTCATTGGTCCTGGGCATTAGAGCTTCATTGGATGAAATGCCCAGAAAATCATTGGAATTAGAGATATATGATTATCCTCTGAAAATGCTCTTGTAGATTTAGCTTAAAGTAGATTAGGTCAGAGGTGATTAATTCTGAATCAAGGGTTATCAGTATTCATTCAGCAAATATTCACCAACTGCCTCCTAGGGGCACGGTGCTGTTCTAGAGTGAGGAGACAGTGAGGAGGATTCAGACAAGTTTCTTTCCCCATGGGCATGCTGGTCTCCCTGGGAAGCCAGATATTATATGGAATTTATTTATTTATTTATTTGAGATGGAGTTTCACTCTTATCGCCCAGACCAGAGTGCAATGAAGCCATCTCGGCTCACTGCAACCTCCATCTCCTGGGTTCAAGTGATTCTCCTGCCTCAGCTTCCCGAGTAGCTGGGATTATGGGCGTGCACCACCACACGCAGCTAATTTTTGTATTTTTAGTAGAGATAGGGTTTCACCATGTTGGCCAGGCTGGTCTCAAACCCCTGACCTCAGGTGATCCACCTGCCTTGGCCTCCCAAAGTGCTGGGATTACAGGCATGAACCACCGCACCTGGCCCAGAATTTATTTTTAAATTAAAAAGTCATTCAAAATTTTTCAATTGTGATCAGTGCCATCGAGGCTGCCTGTGCATGTCTTGTGATGTCACTTGTCCTGCCTGGAGCATTGACCTATGAATGCAGTGTGCAAATGTCTCAGAATAGCAGTGACGCAGACGGGGGGAGGTGCCAGAAACTTCTGGGCCAAAGTGGGTCAGGGCCCACCAGCTCTGTTTGGGTGACCATGCATAGCCAAGCCACACACTCGTGGTCCTCTGGAGATGTTGGTCTTGATCGTTTTCTGCTGTGGGCTGTCCTGTGCCTTGTAGGATGTGTAGCTGCCCCCCAGCTTCCACCCACTAGATCCCTGTAGCACCCTCCAAGTTGTGACAACCCAAAATGTCCAAGCTTTGCCAAGTGTGCCTGCAGAGGGAGTGGGAGGTGGACAAAAGAGTCCTGGCTGAAAGGGAAGGGCCTTCATGATGCAGACCTGTGGAAGCCAGGTGGGAGGACAATTCCAAGGGGTGAACCAGTTAGAACCAGATTTTCCAAGCTTATGAAATACTTTCCTCACCAGGGAAGCCATCACAACAGATCTGATACTATCATTGTTTCTCTCCATCTTAATCCAAAATCATTTATTCCATCACAAGAAGAAAAAATCAGGAAGTTCAATATGTCCCAGGCAGCTCTGACATCATCGTGTCCTGCTGCACCATCGGGCACATCATGCCTGACTCCCCCCAAGGCTGCGACAGGAGACATTCTTCCTGCTCAGGACTCTGGTGTTCCTGATGGGTCCTGTGCCTGCTTGAGTCATGTGGCTGCAGAGAAGAGGACTGATGTGAAGACTTGTGTTTAGTAAACTGTACAGTGCTGTAATACCTAAGGGGTGATCATAATAATAATATCAAGGAGTTATCTCTATTATATTTTGGGCAATTTGAATTTCCCAAAAGGGAGAAGTTGGGGAGGGACAGAGAGAATGAGAGTGAGACAGAGAGAGAGAAAGAGAGAGAGAGAGAGAGATAGATTGTGAGAAGGGGATGTTGGAGTGTTGGAGAGGGTTAGAATTGGAAAATAAGTTGGTAGACTGAAGTATTTGCAAGGCATTGTGTGAGCTCCAGGATGGATGGATAGATGAGTGAATGGATGGGTGGGTAGATGAATGAATGAATGATGGATGGATGGATAGATGAATGGATGAATGGATTGATGGATGGGTAGGTGGGTTGATGGGTGGGTAGATGGATGATGGATGGATGGATGGATAGATAGATGGATGAATGAATAGATGGATGGATAGGTGGATGGGTGGGTGGATAGATGGATGGATGGGTGGATGGATGAATGGATGAGTGGATGGATAGGTGGGTAGATGAATGAATGAATGTTGGATGGCTGGATAGATGAATGGATGGATGGATGGGTGGGTGGGTGGATGGATGGGTAGATGGATGATGGATGGATAGATAGGTAGATGGATGAATGGATACATGGATGGGTGGGCGGATGGATGGATGGATGGATGGGTGGGTGGATGGGTGGGTGGATAGATGGAGGGATGGGTGGATGGATGGATGAATGAGAGGATGGGTGGATGGGTGAATGGATGGATGATGGGTGGTAAGTCCATGGATGGATGGATGGATGGATGGATGGATGGATGGATACATAATGTAGTCATTTCTATCCTTGCATCTCTTATACCTCTCTAAGTTTAGACAGCCTTGTCTTCACCTAGTCCATTTTTTAGAAAGAAATCTTTCAAAACAGGCCTTATAGAAAGAGAAATGATGTATCTGCCTACTCCCTACACAAACTTTCTACGATCCTGGCATCCCTTTATAACAAAGCATAGTTCAACCCTACAAGTGTGCACTGAATACTAACTTATTACATTACTTTAGCGAGTTCTTGGATCTCTCCAAGTGCACAGAGATGCCCTTGGGGGTCCCACCTTTGTCCTCTCTTCTCAAAGAGCCTGAACATGCCTGATGCCCTGTGGATGAGATCTGTTCTTCTCATGGGAAACAGATAGGATTCACAGAATTTAGCTACTGTGTTTTTCTTAAGCAAATTATACTAAGATCCATGTGGCAATGTCCCAGAAGAGAGACCACATAGAGTTGCAAGGGAGCAGAACATGTACTGCTTACATCCTTCCTCTCTTGAGAAGTTGTGCTGGTTGGCTTCCAATGTTTCTGATTGAAAATAGGGTGAAGCAAACCCCAGATGATTTAAAGGGGCTGGGATAGGATGTTCCCCAAGGCACTACCACAGGCTCTGGGCAAAACCCTGTTTCTGCTCTCAAAAAGCTCCCAACTCGTAGGAGAAAAACATTTGTAAAAAAGAAATTAATGCAATGCGACAAGGGCTGTAAAAGGAGGCAACAAGGTGAGTTGAGCTTTGAAGCCTTGAACAGATTCTAGGCAGGGACAAGCAAAAGCCCAGAGCTGGGCAGGGAGTCCTTGGAGACGTATGTGAAGGGACATTCAATGGTCTTGGGTGTCCTCCATTCTTTACGCCCCCAGTGCTGTCACATCTGTAGGGGTTCACTGAGACATTTATAACAGCAGCCACACGGAGATGACTTTCTTGTGCCAGACACTCTCTAGATTAATCCCGCTAGCCTCTCAGCAACCTTCTGAGGCTGGGTAGCATCAGTCTCATTTTTTCTGTGGAGGGATCAGGCTCAGGGGAATGAAGTGAGAACTCCAGCTATGAAAGCTGGAGCTAAAAATTTGATGCCAAGCAGCCTCATTCCCTATCCTTTCTTTCCACCTGAGTGGTAAATTGCAAACAGCCATAGATTCCTTGCAGCTGCTCTTGTTACGAAGTGGAGCCTATTTTCCCATGCTTAAACCTGGACTGGTCTTGTGACTCCTTTGATGGGTACAGTGTGATGAAAGTGACGTTGTGTGAGCTCCAAACATAGTCATCAGAGGAGCTGCAGCTTCCTCCCTTGCTATGTTCAGACCACCCTGGTGTGGGAGCTGGAGTTAGCCTCTTGGAGGAGGAGAGGCCACGTGGAAGAGAACCAAGATGCCCAGCCAACAGCCAACCACCTGCTAGACATGTGGCTGAGGCTACCTTGGATAATCCACCATCAGATGACCTGTGAGGTGACCCCCACCCCCAGGTGCACAAGAGAGCTCAGAGAGACCAGCCAAACCAGCTCAGACCAGAAGAACCCCGAGTTGACCCACAGACTGGTGAATATAATATGACGGTTGTTGAAAGCTATAAAGCCTCAGTAAGGTTGTGCTACACTGACCTGCATCTGTACTCTAAACAAATGGTCCTTCCCAGACCTCCATGGTCTGCTTTCAACTCGCTCAAAGTCATCCACTCACCAATACAAAGATGGAAAACACAGAGAAGCTAAGGGGATTGTTGAAAATCACACTGTAATGGTCTGAACCAGAGGCTGGCAAACAAAAGCCCAGAGGCTAATTCTGGCCCACTGATTGTCTTTGTAAATTAAGTTTTATTGGAACTCAGTCACACTCATTTGCACCCTGTCTCTAGCTGCTCTTGGGCTACTACGGCAGAGTTGAGTAGTTGAGAACATGTGGCCCACTGTACTAGTCTGTTCTCGCACTGCTGTAAAGAAATGCCTAAGACTGGGTAATTTATAAAGAAAAGAGGTTTCGGGCCGGGCGCAGTGGCTCACGCCTGTAATCCCAGCACTTTGGGAGGCTGAGGCGGGCGGATCACGAAGTCAGGAGATTAAGACCATCCTGGCTAACACAGTGAAACTCTGTCTCTACTAAAAATACAAAAAATTAGCCAGGTGTGATGGCACACGCCTGTAGTCCCAGCTACTTGGGAGGCTGAGGCAAAAGAATCGCTTGAACCCTGGAAGCGGAGGTTGCAGTGAGCTGAGATTGCACCGTTGCACTCCAGCCTAGGCTCCTGAGACTCTATCTCAAAAAAAAAAAAAAAAAAAAAGTAAGAAAAGAAAAAAGGTTTAATTGGCTCGCAGTTCTGTGGGCTATACAGGAAGTGTGGTGCTGGCTTCCAGGTAGGCCACAGGAAAGTTACAATCATGGTGGAAGGTGAAGGGGAGGCAGGGTCATCCTAATGGCCAGAGGAGGAGGGAGAGAGAGGAAGGAGATGCCACACACTTTTAAACAACCAGATCTCATGAGAACTCTATCAGGAATAGCACCAAAGGGGGGTATTCCACCCCCAGGATCCAATCACCTCCCAGCAGGCCCCACCTCCAGCATTGGGGATTACAATTCCACATGAGATTTGGGTGGGGACACAGATCCAAACCATATCACCCACAAAACCTAAAATATTTCTTATGTGACCCCCTTGTAGAAAAAGTCTGACAACCCCTCATCTAGACTGTATCCCTTAACACTGTGACAACAGTTCTCAAAGTGCGGACCCCAGACCATCAAAATTAGCTTCATTTGTTAGAAATGCAGTCCGCAGTCCTCATCCCAGATCCCCTGAATGAGAAACGCTGGGTGGGGGCCCAGCAATCTTAGTCTAAGAAGACCCCCAGGTAAGTCTGATGCCCTCCAGTCGAAGATAAGACAAGAAAACCACCACCTTCAGTTACAGAAATCTGTTGTGATTGTTGACTCTCCAGTCTGAAAAGCGTGTTCTCGTGTCCTCACTCTAGCCTTTCAGGGAGGAAGAATTGCTCTCAAGTCCCATTTTACTAGTTTAATCTGCCCTTAGCAAGATTGGAGGCAGCTGAGAGCCACTCAGTAAAACGCTGGCAGCCCCCAGGAGCTGGCAGTGGGAGACACGGGATGACTGTTCCTTCCAAAATAAATGGAGGGTTTACAGAAGGCATACAGGATATGTGGCGTGCTGCTGTGACACACAATCAGTCCTAGCCAAACCAAGCCCTTACATTTGAGTACCAAAGTCTGGGTGAAATAACCACCTCATCCTGGTTTGGTTTTTTCCAGTTTCAACATTGAAGAAGCCATGTCCCCAAAAACTTCTCAGTCCTGGTCAAACTGGGACAAGTCCTAGGCCTGGGATGTAAAAGGCCAGGCTTTCCTGCAAAGAGCAGGTAACATGGTGGCCGATCCCGCCCACAAGCATCCACAGATGCTTCCTACAGGTGCTGGAATGAAGAGCTGGAAGCAGCCCAGTGCTCAGGGAGTCAAGGCATGGCTGGGTAAATACAAAGGCAGCTACCACCCAGTGTGGGGCACCGCCAGTAGCATTCCCAGGAGCCCCGGGAGCTGCAGGGGTCACGGGGGCATCTGAGCCAGCAGTGCAGTGGCACATGGGCATCAGCCTGGATCCCGTACCCTGGGACAGTCCTCTGCCTTGAGTCACTGTGTTCCAGACCCGACGTCTCTCACTACAGCTGTCACTTGTCATGCCTCCCACTCTACTTTCCACACCAGCTGCAGTTCTCTGGGTGGGGCTGAGCATCTGCGGTTCATTCACCCTTACAGCTTCTAGAAAGCCACACTGCAAACCCTATCGGCCAGATGAGAGCTTCCCCAGATCTAAGCTTCTCTGTCTCCCCAGGGCTGCACCCTGAGATACACATGCAGAAAGGATTATTTCTATTTTTATTTTATACTATGTTATTATGATATAAAACAAGATATATGTAATGTATATAAATGTTAGGGATGACTTTTTTTTTTTTTTGAGACAGAGTCTGGCTGCGTTGCCCAGGCTGGAGTGCAGTGGAACCATCAAAGCTCGCCGTAGCCTTGACCTTCCAGGCTCAAGCAATCCTCCCACCTTAGTATCCTGAGTAGCTGGAACTACAAGCATGCACCACCACACCTGGCTAATATTTTGTATTTTTAGTAGAAACAGGATTTCGCCATGTTGCGCCAGCTGGTCTCAAACCTCAGCCTTAGCTTCCCACAGTGCTGGGATTACAGGCCTGAACCATCACACCTGGCCTTATTTTTTTCTAACAGACAGAGCCTTGCTATGTCACTAGGCTGGACTGGAATGCAATGGCGTGATCATAGCCCACTGCAGCTTCCACATCCTGGGGGCTCACATGATCCTCCCACCTCAGCCTCCCGAGTAGCTGAGACTACAGGTGCACAACACCATGCCTGGCTAATTTTTTTTTTTTTTTTCTGTAGAGACAGAGTCTTGCCATATTACCCAGGCTGGTCCTGAACTCCTGGCCTCAAGCTAACCTCCCACCTCAGGCTCCCAAATGCTGGGATTATAGGTGTAAGCCACCTCACCTGGCCTTGTTTCAATAAATAAGTTAATAACCTGCTACCCAGTATAAGACATCACATATTCTCCACACTTCCTGTTTAGATCTTCCTCCCAATGATATCCAGCACCCTAACATTTTGCTTAATAATTCTCTTGCTCTTTTTAGCACTTTTGCCACACCTGGATATATCCCTAGAGAAGACATTGGTTTTGCCTGATTTGGGGCTTTCTGCAAATAAAATAACCACCTCGTATGTTTTTCCTGTGGCCTGTTTATTGTATTCGTCCTCTGGTGGTGCACCCATGTTGATGTGTGTAGCTGTGGTTTGTTTTTCACTGCTGTATAGTATTCCTGGTTCCACTGGATGAAAATGTGGTCATTTGGGCCAAGGGATATGTTTGGGTAGCAACAGAAAGCTGGAAAACGGTCCTGTGTGGATGATACCATGCTTTGCCTGGAGGGCTTGATGGGGTGTGCAGGTGGACCCTGAACTGAATTTCGGGGGATCCGGGTGAAGCTGAACTCCCTCTGCTCCCCCTCATAGCACTCAGCCCCTTCCCTAAACACATATCAGTCAATTAACGTAAGTAATTTGGGCTGAAGCTTGTTCCCCTGGGTGCTATGCGTCTTGGTCTAGTCCTGACGACATCACACGTACAATACTTAAGCATATATTTGCAGAAGTAATACGCACACAAATCAAAACCACGAAACCTCTGGAAGGGTAGAGCATGAGAAAACAGCATCTTGCTCCCTCACTTGCACCCAGAATCCCAGCTCCTGTACCCCAAGTGAGCACGCAGCACATCCCATGAGTAGCCTGCACCTTTGAGCCTCTAGATTTCACCGCTGGTTTCTTGGTGCAAAGCAGGTTACTTCTGTGTGCACTGTGCTCCCCCTGGTGGCTGTTCCCTAGAGCACAATTCTCACGCCTCAGTCCCAAATCCAAGTTTCAGGAAGGAAATGGCTTCACACACTATTCCCTCTGACGCAAGGTTGGTACTTTCAGCCTTTCAACCTACCCCTCACATAATACCTAAGAATTTTGCAACATTTTTTAAAGTTCTTAAAACAGAATCGTAAAAGGGAGAGGCAGTTTTAATATGTACGTACTTAATTAAAACATCTAGTTCTGGGTCCTAAGGGGATGGGGAACGCAGTCTCTGTCCTATAGGAATGGTGAGCGTGTCTAGCGCAGGGGTTGGCAAACTGTGGCCCACACGCCAAATCTGGCCAACCGACTGCTTTAGTAAATAAAGTTGTATTGGAACATGCTGATTTAATTCTGTGTTTATTGTCTGCGGTTGTTTTCTCGCTGCAATGGCAGAGGTGAGTAATCGCAGCAGAGACCTCCTGACCTACAAAGCCCCAAATATTTACTCACTGGCCCTTTTCAGAATCAGTTTGCCCACTCCTGGTGGAGTGTTTCAATGGAGACACCTATGACAATGACGTATGATCAGTCTGGAAGGAAGCTTCCTCTTAGGATTTGATTTTCCATTCATTCATCCCGAAACTGTTGCATACCTACTATGTGCCAGACGTTATTCTGGCCAGAAAAGATTCTTGATGTTGTTTTCCAACTTGGAGAGCTGTAGTATTTTCAGTGAGAACAGTAAGTCATACCAGTTACCAAGGTTGGTCATTCAGGCACAGATGCCCCCTGTATGCTGAACTGAAACTTATCTCAGGCCCCATCACCCCCTTTGCCTGCATCCCCTGATACTGTTGGAAGCCAACTCTGTCTTCTATGGAGGATATTGACAGTGAATTCCAGCTTGGTAGGACAGGGGAGGAAGGAGCGTGTTGGTAAGGTCTGGATCTGGCTACACTCTCGCTGTTAGTCTGGGCAGAGTCTAAATTGAGCAGTGGGAGTGTAGCCAGATCAAACCAGGTCAAGTCCCTAGACCTTGACTGGAGGCCGCCTCACTTTCAGCAGTGGTAGCCGGCTTGTGTCGCTGGCGAGAAATGCAAACGTTTGTGAATTTCAAATATGTATATATATATATTTGTGCTCCAAAGGCAGCACACCCGCATATGATTCTCCAGACACCGGGAGGCACTCGTCTCCCCTCTCACCTTTGCAATCCCCAGGTGAAGAGGCAGCACCTCTTGGCGTGATTCTCAAGGGGGTTTGTGTTTATTCAGCAATTTTTGGTCTTGCTCGGGGATGTTCTCACTTCCTATTTAAAAATTTAAAAAAAAAGATTCTGAAAGACTTAAACAGTGAAAACATTTAGGCCAAACCAGAGCTACTGAAACACACACACACACACACACACACACACACACACACACACATATATATATATATATAATGTGTATATATATATATAATGTATATATATATATAAAATGTATATATATATATATATATATATATATAATGTGTATATATATATATGCAGGAACAGAAAGCCAAATACCACATGTTCTCAGTTATAAGAGACAGCTAAGCATTGAGTACACATGGACACAAAGAGGGGAACAATAAAGGGTGGGGCCCCCTTGAGGGTGGAGGACGGGAGGAGGGTGAGGATCAAAAAACTACCTATCAAGTACTATGCTTATTACCTGGATGATGAAATAATCTGTACCCCAAGCCCCTGCGACATGCAATTTACCCATGTAAATATATATATACCTATATATACATATGTGTATTTGGAAGAAAATACCAACCTGCTTTTCATTCACCAGGTGGCCGCACACAATGCATGGTTGGGCCTTCCCCTTAATAAACATACCTGGATAAAGAAAATCTGGTGCATATACACCATGGAATACTATGCAGCCATGAAAAGGAATGAGATTATGTCCTTTGCAGGGACATGGATGGAGCTGGAAGCCATTATCCTCAGCAAACTAACACAAGAACAGAAAACCAAGCACTGCATGTTCTCACTTATCAGTGAGAGCTGAACAATGAGAACACATGGACACAAGGAGGGGAGTAACACACACTGGTGCCTGTCAGGGGGTGGGGTGGGGGAACGGAGAGCATCAGGATAAATAGCTAATGCACGTGGGGCTTAATAACAAGGTGATGGGTTGATAGGTGCAACACATCACCGTGGCATACGTTTACCTATGTGACAAACCTGCACGTCCTGCACATGTACCCAGGAACTTAAAATTAAAATTTAAATTAAAAAAACACACACACACAGCCTTGGTTTAAATGTGGCCTTGCTGGTCTGTGTCAGACATGTTACAGAAACCCATCCCTCTCCTAAGAGTTCTGCCAGGACCCCTGGCTCCAGGACTTTGCAGCCTGCTTTTGAGCACATGCCCACAGAAATTACTGAATTCCAGTAACATCAAGAATCTTTTCTGGCCAGAATAAAGTCTGGCACATAGTAGGTATGCAACAGTTTTGGGATGAATGAATGGAAAATCAAATCCCTTTTAGAATGGAACAAGATCACAGAACTAATTCGGTTCCATTTTCACCTACAAGGAAAGCTTTTTTAGTAGCCGGAGGAAGAGGTAAAAAGTAGCATCAAGAGAACATGTAAAACCACTAACTTTCACTCAGGAGAAACTTAAAACTCCCAGAGCAACCCCTATATGATTCTCCAGACACAGGGAGGCACTGGCCTCCTCTCTCACCTTTGCAATCCCCAGGTGAAGAGATAGCACCTGTCGGCGTGATTCTCAAGGGGGTTTGTGTTTATTCAGCAATTGTTGGTCTTGCTCGGGGATGTTCTCACTTCCTATTTAAAAATTAAAAAAAAAAAAGATTCTGAAAGACTTAAACAGTGAAAACATCTAGGCCAAACCAGAGCTACTGAAACAAAGAACTCTTTGAAAATCACCTATAATGCAACCCACCCACAACCCTTCTGCTCTTTTCATTAGAGAATGAATCATTCCCTATAACTGAATAATCCGGTTAACAAAAACTAAGTAGAGCAGGATGTTTTTAAATGCACCAAGATCTCTAAAGGGCATTACAAAACTGCCTGCCTTCCTGAGCAGGGATGCTGGGTGTCAGGTGGCCTCTTCTGGGTAGCTCAGGCCACCATCATGCGCAATAATGGCAATGTGCTGTAACACAGCCGTGATCTTAGGGGCCCCGCCCTGTGTGGGCATCAGTCCCTGGCAGCAGCAGCCCCAGAATATTACCTTTTTGCTTTTATGCTCGTGTTTCTACTTTATCTATCACCATCCTTATGGTTGTTTTGGAGTGTGTGACCTTCCAGCGATCTGTCCTACCAAGGACAACAGCGGCCCTAAGACTTTTGCCGGGATGGCCAAGAAACTGGGAGGCTGAAGAGAGCTCGAAGTATGGAGCATCCCTGCCCTCAGCTGTGAGCAGGGGAGGCGTGGGAGGTATCCTGGGGATACTGGAGAGGTAGCCACATGTGTGGAGCAGGCAGAAGGAGGGTCCAGGTCGTCTGGCTGGGACAAGGCAAGGGCAGAGGAAGGTGCAGCTCACTTACATGGGCGGGACATTTACCTGGGCTGAAACGACAGCAATAGGCAGCTGTAGAAGGACACGGGGCAGCTCAGCGTGGAGACGCCGCACATTTCAACCTGACAGTTGAGGCTGTGCAAACAGAAGGTAGTCAGGACTGCTGAAGCCTGACTGAGAGGCATGATGGCACTGTCTCTGCCAGTCGGCAAGTGAACGCAGAGGGCCTCCGTGGAGTCGTTCACGTGAAAACAAATCTCAGATGGAATCTTGCTGTGTTGCCCAGGCCGTACACAAACTCCTGGCCTCAAGCGATTCTCCTGCCTCAGCCTCCCCAGTAGCTGGGACTATGGGTGCCCGCCACCACACCCTGCTGGAGTAGTGGACTTTAACATCCTCACTTCCATATGTCAGGGACCAGTTCCTAATGCCACCTCCGTGAACATCACGTGATGGCCAACCAGATGTTGACTGTCATCACTGGGACTCAACTGGGAAACCCTCTTTTTCCTCCAAATTTGCTGCTCTAGGTGCTAAGGGTCTGTAGGACAGAGCTTTGGGACTGTTAGAATTCTATCAGAAAAAAACGAGACAGAAGGCTATAAGCATGAGTGTGGGCAGGGTGCTGTGGTTCACTTCTGTAATCCCAGCACTTTGGGAGGCCAAGGTAGGAGAATCCCTTGAAGCCAGGAATTCAAGACCACCCTGGGCAATATAGCAAAACCATGATTCTACAAAAAATTAAAAAGTTATCTGAGTGTGGTGGCACACACCTGTAGTCCAAGCTACTCAGGAGGCTGAGGCGGGAGGATCCCTTGAGCCCAGGAGTTTGAGGCCAAGGCTACAGTGAGCCATGATCACACCACTGCACTCCAGCCTAAGCAATGGAGCAAGATCCTGCCTCGTAAAGGAAGGAAAGAGTGGCCGGGTGCCATGGCTCATGCCTATAATCCCAGCACTTTCGGAGGATGAGGCGGGCAGAGTACCTGAGGTCAGGAGTTCGAGACCAGCCTGGCCAACATGGTGAAACTCCATCTCTACTAAAAAATACAAAAAAAAAAAAAAATAGCCGGGTGTGGTGACATGCACCTGTAGTCCCAGCTACTCGGGAGGCTGAGGCAGGAGAATCATCTGAACCTGGGAGGTGGAGGTTGCAGTGAGCCAAGATCGTGCCATTGCATTCCAGCCTGGGTGACAGAGAAAGACTCCATCTCAAAAATAAAAAAAAGAAAGGAAAGAGTGTGGTGGGAGACAGAACTTAACAGCTTCGTGCTTCAGCACAAGGACTCTAGTGCTGGGCAATAAGGATGCTGGCTCTGCACTTGCTGTGAACTGGACAAAATTGAGACTTGGCACTGCTGTTCCCTCCTTGTTAAGTGGGACCAATGGCAAGCATGAGGCCTACCTATCTCAGGGAGTCTGAGTCACTGTACAGCAAGGTCTGAGATGAGGGCCTCGCCTTTGTTCAGGGGGCAGTAAATGCTGGTCACCACCAGGGGCCTGATTTTCAAGCTCCCACTTTTGTTGTCTGATCAGGGGCTTTTCCCCCATCAGCTTCTTCTGCACCCAGAGGGTATCTACAAAAGCCACTGCAGCCGCTGCCCTCCCATCAGCACCTCCCTCCAGGAGACCCCCTTACAGCTTTCTTGTTGCAGGCCCCTGTCCACACCTGTGGTTCTTGTCCCAGCCCAGCCTCATCCTCTGCAGGTGCATTTGCATGAGCTGCCTGGCTTTCTTCCTTTCCTAATGAAAAGATATCATCTACAGACACGAAATGCATTCATTTCAGGTGCAGAGGGATGACTCACATTTGCCTACTCCTGAGTAACTGGACCAGGGCCTAGAATATTTCATGTGCCCTCAAGGCAGCACCCTGTTCCCTTCCAGCTAGGTTACCCCACCCAGCTCCACGGTCCCTGGAGGTAACCACGCTTCTGTCTTTAATTATAATAGTAAATCCTTCCTGCTCTTGGCCACCATATGGAGGGACTCATGCAGTACACACAGTCTCAGGTCTGCTTCCTTCGCTCAACATCCTGTGTGCAGACTCAGCCATGCTGCTGGATGTAGCCATTGCTGCTTTCTTGGTTTCTTTCCATTGCCATTCATTTTTTCACTGTGTAGCTGTACTTCAAATTATTCATTCTACTGCTGATTGATATTTGGGCTATTGCCAACTGTGTCTTTTTTCTTTTTTTTTTTTTTTTAGCTATTTACAATTAATGTCACTATGAACATTCTTGCACGTGTCTTCTGGTGAGCATCCCTGGGAACACTCCCAGGAGTAGAGTTGTTGGCTGATAGGGTACACGAACGCTTGGCTTTAAGAGATGCTGCCAAACAATCTCCCCAAGGGGTTGTTCCCATGTGCACCCCATCAGCAACCAGAGAACACATCTCTACAACAGACAGGCTTCTCAGCCTTTTTCTTTGCCATTCTGGTGGAGATGCAGTAGCTCCTGGTGGTTTTAATTTGCATTTTCCCGATGACTAATGATGTTGAACATATTTTCACATACATTGGTCATTTTGTCCAAGCCTCTTTCTCATCTTAAAAGCATCAGTGTGCCAGTCATTTTCTCCATGATTTGTATGAGCCCCTTATATTAGGTTGGTGCCAAAGTAGCTGCAGTTTTTGTCATTGAAATAGCAAAAGCCACAATTGCTTTTGTACCATCATAATATAATGTGGACTTGAGTCCTCCAGAGGATGAAAGTGTCATTGCAAATAACTTTCCCCTCTTGGTGAATTGCCTTTTCATTCTTGTAGCATTTTCTTTTGATGAAGAGAAGTTCAATTTCATCAATGTCCACTTTTTTTCCTTTTTTTTTTTTGTGGTTAGTGCCTTTTATCATCCTGTTTAAAAATCTTTGCCTAACCAAGATCATTTTCGTATATATTTTTTAAAGACTTTATTGGTTTGCTTTTTCCATGTAGGTTAATAATACATTTCAGTTTTGTAAATGATGCGAGTTGGAGTCAAAATTCATTTTTCTCTGTTTGGGTATCTATATGACTCAAAAGTTCTTATTGTTTTTTTAACTGCTAATTTTTTCATTGAAAAGATTCTTCATTTCTCACTTGGTTGAAATGGTGCTGTATCACCAGTCCGATATGTAACCAGTATGTAAACACATCACCAATATGTAAACGTGGCACACCCATTTATTTATTTAGCTCTTCTTTAATTTCTCTCAGAAATAATTGTGGTTTCCAAAATACAGCAAGTCTTCCATATTTTTAATTAAAATTTCATTCTAAGTCTGCTGTGTTTTCAACACAGTAAATGTTATTGAAAAATTGATATGTTTACTTTTTTGCAAGAATAGAAATAAAATAGATTTTTGATATTGACCGTGTATCCTGCAACCTCACTAAATTCACTTATTAGTTCTAGTAGCTTTTTTTGTAGACTTCTTAGGATTTTCTGCATAACTATTGTGGGGACGGTCAAGACCACTCTCAGGTCTGATGATTCACTAAGAAGGCTCAGGAAACTGCAGCTTCCAGGGAAAGGATAAAAGTCAAAATCAGCAGAGGGAAAAGGTGCATGAGAGTAGAGTCTGGGGGAGACCAGGCATAAACTTCAAAGGGTCTCTCCCAGTGGGGTCATGCAGGACATGCTTAATTTTCCCAGCAACAAGTTGTGACAATACATGTGACATGTTACCAATCAGGGAAGCTCATTTGAGATTAAGCAGCCAGGACTTTTCAGGAGTGCTGGCCTTATACCGTATCCAGCCTTTGCTTGGCATGTGTCAAAATTCTAGACCTCCAGAAGGAAAGCAAGTGAACCAAAAGGCATACTATTTGTACAACAGTCTAGGCACAGTGACCTGCTCTTATCAATTAGAGTGGTGAGAACCCTACCCAAATCTAAATTCCCAGATGCCACTCAAGGGCCTACCTTGCAGGCAGGCCTTTCCAAACATAGTAGTTAGGGCCTGTTGTGTTAACTCTTTCCTTCATAAAAATCTTGTGAATTGTGCTAATTTACTTATTTCTTCCCAATCTATGTCTTTTCAAATCTTTTTCTTGCCTTGTTGCAATCTCTAGGATCTCTAATGTAATTTGGAAGAAGTGGCAGTGAAAATTCTTGCCATGTTCTTGATCTTATGATGAGAGAATCCAATATCTCATCATTAAATATGAAGTTAGCTGTAGGTTTTCTATGGATGTCTTTGCGTTTTTATTATGAATTAGTGTCCTTTTTTCTCCATCTATTTCATATAATAAAGTGGTTTTTCTTCCTTATTAAGTTAATGTGATTCATCATCAGTTGACTGTCCTATTCTTTTTGAGAGCTTTATAACATTCCATCATGTGGATGCACTTAATTAAACAGTCACCTCTTGATTTGCATAACTTGTTCCCGATCTTTTCACGGTTTTTTTGCACAGGACACTGCAATGCACAGCCTTGAACTTGCAGCCATTTCGCACATGGCAGGATATAACTGTGAGGACACTCCTAACAGTGGGATGTGTGGGCATAGGACCACCACACCCTGGAGATCTTAGTGTATTCCAAGGTACAGAGGGCCGTGGTGAACCTCCCTGCAGCTCCCTGCAGCTCCCTGCAGTCCTGTCCAGGGGGAAACAGCCCAGATGGTTCTGCAGACGCCTTTGCTGCCCTCCCCAGGGTCATCTCCAAGTCTTAAAGGGAAGGCAGCTCTTCCTGCCTCTACTCAGCCTCCACAGCAGCATTTCTCATCTGCAAGGCAAGTCAAGAATTCTTTCTCAAGACAGAGTGGAGTTCACTCCCAGTTAAAGAAAAAAATAATAACCATGTAATTCAAATGCCTCCCGCCTCCTCCTCACTTATCTAAGTCTGTAGCCTTCCAAGTGTGCTCAGGGGTAGGAAGAAGTGAGCCAACAACAAGGAAACCAGTTCCAGAATTGGCACTTCCATTGCAGCTAAGTGTTGCAAACAGTTCTGCAACTGAAATCCCTGGCCAGAAAGCTTGGCGGCCGATGTCTTGATGATCCTGGCTGTGGGGATTTGCATCAGTAGTTCTAACTGGGCTTTGACTGAGGTGGAGCAGTGCCAGAGGCCCAGGGAGGTGGTGGGCATGGCTATTGCTGTGTCAATATGGGAGGCTGCAGCAAGAGAGGTCTGACAGTCCACAGGGCGGCTGAGGCCCTCAGAACGACCCTGGCTTTTATTCTGAGCAACATGAGAAGACCTTGGAAAGTTCTGAGCAGTGGAGTGACAGCATGTGACTCACATTTTGATGGGATAGTCTGGCTGTTGAGCCGAGAACAGACTGTGGGCGGGGGCAGGAGGCAGGGAGACATGCGCTGAGGCTAAGAGAGGACAGAGCCTGGGACGGGGGCACCCGGTAGATGGAAAGCGGTCAGATCCTGGACATTTCATGGGCACAGCCACAGGCTTGCCCTCTGATGGAACGTGGCGTGAGGGAGGGGAGTCAGGGATGATACCTGGTTTTCGGTTAGAGCAACTGACATTTATGGGAAAAGGTCAGTACTGATTGAGGGGGTGAAGTCGAGTAACCTTTCAGATGCTGAGTGAGGTGTAGAGGGAGCATGTGGACTCATGAGCGGCGTTCAGGACAAAGGCATGGCTGGAGATGAAACCTTGGAGTCACCAAGCCGTGGAGGTGTTTAAAGCTGTGAGCCAGGTGGACTTGCCTGGTACTTGCCTCTTGCTAACAGCCATCTTGCAGCTTCCCTGTGTGTCCAGGTGACCACACTCACCCTGTGCAAACCCCCACCCCTGACCACTTCCTGGAACAACAAAGAGCTGGTCCACGTCTGTGGCTCATTGTTGAATTTGAGGCATTGAGTTTCCAAAAGCCAGACCCATCCCGTCCCCAGCTCCCAGTCACTGCGGTCTTGGTCTTCCCAGGTAACATCCAGATTTCCTAACAGATTTGGAGACCAAGGTTTGGGAAAGGGGCAAGAGTGGATCTGTGAGCTGAGGAGGCACTCAGGGAGAATAATCTGCCCATCCTGATGAAATAAACACACAGAGGGGACTTAGATCTCAAGTCTGCATGGAATGTTCTCCTCAATGAGGCCTCTTGACCAGAAAATCTGGCCGGGCTGTGGCCTGACGTTCCCTCTCCTGATAATGCAGGGTTTTTCTTGGTCCTTTCACGGGACTCACAGCAGGGGCGCCCCGTCTACTCAGCTCACTGTGCTCAACCCCTTGTGGGAGGGAGCATGTGAGCATGTGAGTGTGGGATCCGGCCGGCCATTCCAAGTGCAGACACAGGAGCAAGCTCCATGCAGGACCCGTGGCCAGACTAGGCGTGTTGCAGCACCCAGGTGAGGGTGCCTGTGACCCCAAAGCCCCAGAGGCAGTGTTACAGTGCTCCTTTAGTTCTGCCATTTGTGGGTGGTGGTGTGTTAGCAGCTCAGTTGTCCCCCTGCCTTGTCATGTGGGGTGGCTGCCCTCCACTGGCAAGGGCAAAGGGCTAGTGTGACAGCCTTTCTGGGTACTCACACTAGCTGGGTCCCACTCTTGCCCAGCATCCAAAAAGAATGAAGTCATATGGACACTTGAAGGATGGTGAAGGCCGAGAATTTTACTGAGCAACCAAAACAGCTCTAAGTGGAGAGGGGAGCTAGAGAGGGGCCAGGAAGGGCAGGTCATCTTCCCCAAAGTCAGGCCGTCTCCCCTCTACTGAATGAGTCTGGAGTCTTTATAGGTACAGGATGGGGAGTGCATGCTGATTGGCTTGTGAGTATGCAGTAAAAGGTTAAAACTAGGCTGGGCACGGTGGCTCACGCCTGTAATCCCAGCACTTTGGGAGGCCAAGGCGGGCAGATCACCTGAGGTTAGGAGTTCGAGACCAGCCTGACCAACATGGAGAAACCCAGTCTCTACTAAAAATACAAAAATTAGCCGGGTATGGTGGTGCATGCCTGTAATCCCAGCTACTCGGGAGGCTGAGGCAGGAGAATGGCTTGAACCCGGGAGGCGGAGGTTGCAGTGAGCAGAGATTGCGCCACTGCACTCCAGCCTGGGTGACAGAGCAAGACTCTGTCTCCAAAACAAACAAACAAAAGGTTAAAGCAAAGATGCCACTCAAAGGTGGACACAACAGTGTAGGAAACCAATTAGGAAAGGTTGGGTATATGTAAAATAGGTGAAGGGTGGGGATCCATCAGAGGGAAGTGCACCAAACAGCAAGACAAGTTGTCAGTCCAGTCCAAGGATAGCTTGGCTTTCAGGCTTTAAACTGTCTTTGGCTTGGAGGTGGGGCTTCACCGGGGATCCACCTCTGTCTGCTGGGCATTTGGCTGCCTCCTGTCGCTATCACTGACGCCCACCTCTGACAGTACTCCAGACAAGAAGGGCTGACTCCTGCTCCTGAAACAGCCCTCCCTGCAGGCAACGTGGTGAAACCAAGCCCAGTCGGCCCTCGGTGGCACCAGTGCCTGCGTGGAAACCCCCCTCCTGGCCAGAAGTCCTCCTCCTCCTCCTTGGCCTGCTTAGGGCAGGAAGGTCTAGTTTATTAAAAACAAATGCATTGTATCTGTCCAGGTGCAAGCAGCCTTCCTCACCACTACTATAATCCTGCAGAAGTGTTGCTGAAAAATAACATTTATCAAAAATACAGAAAAAAACCACTATCTATTACCTCCGCTATGCAGCTATGAATAGCATTAATGTTTATGTTTTGGTATATATCCTTTTATGTATATATTTCATATGAAAACTTTATTTTTTTTGAGACAGGGTCTTGCTCTGTTGGCCCAGGCTGGAGTGCAATGGCACAATCACGGTCCACTACAGCCTCAACCTCCCCAGGCTCAGGTGATCCTCCTGCCTCAGCCTCCTGAATAGCTGGGACTACAAGCATGTGCCACCATGCCCAACTAATTTTTTAATTGTTTTTACAGAGATGGGGTTTCGCCATGTTGCCCTGGATGGTTTCAAACTCCTGAACTCAAGTGATCTGCCCACATTGGCCTCCCAAAGTGCTGGGATTACAGGCGTGAGCCACTGCGCCCAGCAGAAAACTTTATTATCTACCATACTTGCACCAACATTGTTATTGAAACATATTCCTCCTCCCTTGATTTCTTCAGGGTAAATTTCTTGACGTGAATGAACAGAACTCCTACGTACTGTTTAGGAGAACACTGGCTTCTTGTTGACCTTGGTGATGCTGGGAGTTACTGCTGCAATAAAGTTTGCCAATGTGATCAAGTTTGCCAAAGGATCACGTGATGTTAACTTTCCTCCCTCTAATTACTAGGGAAATTGAACAGCTTTTCAGATCTTCATTGGTCATTTATATTTTTTAATGGTATTTTCAATTGACAATAATTGTTTATATTTATGGGGTACAATGTGATGTTTTGATACATGTGTAAATTGCAGAATGAGTAAATCAAGCTAATTAACATATCCATAACTTCATCTGTGTATTTTTGTGGGCATAGTGAGAACACTGAAAATTTACTCTTAGCAATTTTGAAATATATAATACATTCCGAACTATGGTCACCCACCATGCTGTGCCACAGATCTCAGAAACTTATTCTCCTGTCTAACCCAAACATTGTACTCTGTGACCTACATTGCCCCTTTGCCTCTCCTCCTTAGGTTTAAATTTGGCCTCTACCAGTTGCTAGTTCTGTCATTTGGGGTGAGTTGCTTTAAACCCCAGGCCTCAGTTTCCCAAGAAATCAGCTGTGCCATCAAAGACAGTGCCTGCAATCTGCGCAGCTCCTCCCAGGACAGAGATATGTGCTGAGCAATTGATTGTTAAATGTGGACCAGAAAGCAGATCTGCTGGAGCCAACAGCAAGCAGGGTGGTTTCTGAGAAAGGCCTCACCTCGCTTTCGAAGGTTGAGGTTGGAGAGGGTGGGGTGTATCAGGATTGAATCTACTCATGGGAAAATAGCCTCTCTGAATGTGCCCACTGGATTCCTGCCCTGACCCTGTCCTGGGGTACTGGATGCCTGCCCCTTATCAGAGGGCAGTGCCATGCCCTGTAAAGCACAGTTCAGATGGCCCTGGCAATTGGTCCGAGCCGTCCTTCATTCTGGAAGGGGGCAAAGGCCAGGCCAGCTTCCCAGGGATCAGGCACTGTGGCTTCACTGGGAACAGAATGCTCTCTGTACATGGAGAATGGTAGAGGCTGGCACTGTCTAATCTGAGCTCCTGGATCACCCTGTTCTCGCCCAGAGAGAAGCTGGCTCCATCTGGGGATGAGTGAGGGCAGACGTGTCTGGTGGGACAGAGCCTGGGCCACAGCCTTGCACCTGCAGAACCCATTGTACAAACACACAGTGCATGGAAGAGGAACCTGCAGCCCAGCACAAAGCTGCTCAAACAGAAACCAAACCAAAAGCTAACCTCAGCCAATTCAGAGGCAGGTCCACATCTGAACCAAGAGCTCTCCCAGCAAATTGGCCTGGAAAGCCCTTCTCACATCAAGGCAGGAAGATAATAATGACCCTCATCTTTCAAAAGAGGAAGCTGAGACACTGAGAGGGTAGGTCCCCTGAAGGTCATACAGCTCTTAAATGCTGGGGCCAGGATTCCAACGCAGGCAGGGAGGCCCGGATCTGAGCTCACAGTGACCACACCCCAGCCTCTGTGAACTGAATTTACGCAATGTCTGGGAAGAAAAGGCAGGGTCCACTCCGCTCAGAGCCATGCAGGGCAGTGTGCTCCCGTCTCCCCGGCATTTGAATCACTCTTGTGGTGTGTGTCCAGCACAGATGCACGGGACCCCTCAGGCCCATATCCTCAAACAGGTAGTGGTGGGGCACCAGTGCACGAACACTAGGGCTCAGCAGTCAGCCTGGGCGGGTCACAGTTCCGATACCCTCCAGGCTGTCTGGGAGGCGGCCTGGCTGTGGGACCAGTTCTCATGTGAAGCAATGAAGCCACTCTGAGCTTGGCCCCCTGCCCTGGCATGGGCACTGGGCTGCCTGTGTGAAACTCTTGTTTCTCCAGGTGCAAGACAAACCTGGCACTCTTTCTGGCTTCTCCATTCACTTGCCGGGGGCAGGTGGCCAAGCCTGGTTTCATCTCCTTGGGGGGGAATGGAATACTCTCCACATTCAACCCAAAAACAGCCCCAGCAAAGGGCTGACATGGGAGGGAGAGGGGCAGGGTGGCGCCACGCACCCACGGGCACCCAATGCTTTGACGCCGAGACCCAAGCATCTCTCTCAGACATCCCTTCTCATACCAGAAACAGAGCCCACGTATACCAGTCAGACCTGCAGTCAGGCCCATTCACGAGTCAGGCCCATTCACCAGTCAGAAACCACACAGCCACTTATTTGAACAGGGGAAGTTTAATATAAAGATGAACTCTACTCGGAGCATAGAGTTTAAAAAGAGTTCTACACAACACCCTAGGGATGAGGAAGAATGCCTCAGGGAAGAAAGCACAGAAAAGGAGGTGCCCTCCCGAGGCTGGGACTGAGACCTCCTCGCTGGAGAAGGTGTGGGAGGCCCCTGAGGGTGAAGTTCCCCGGGTTGCTCGAGCCAGAGTCTGCACAGTCATAGGGCAAGCAGAAAATTCTTTCGAGAGGGTGGGCGCTCACAGGGAATCGGGAAGCAGAGCCCACCTGCCTACACCTGAAAGGCCACAGCCGGTGCTGGGACCTCTCTGAGGTCTGCAGACTCCAGGCAGAGCACTCCTGGCAGCTGTGCAGCAGGAGCAGGAAGGAAACGACATGAAAGCCCCTTTCTCCCCAGTGTCCCAGTTCAACACCGTGCACGCTACCAAGGAGAAACGGCGCACGGGCCCCACCCACGACTGCAGAGCAGGCAGGGGAGGGGGATCTAGAGCTGAAAGGCAATACATGGATAACGCGCACGCCCCACTCCCACTTTTATTTAGCAAGAGTAAATGCAGCCTAATGACAGGGCGTGGGAAGACCTCCTGCTCACCAGTGTGGGCAGAGTGTAGCGTGGCCTGGGCTCCTAATACAGGTAAATTGTCTCCAAAGGACTAGTAAAGGTGACTGGGTCATCCTCCTGCCCCAGGGACACTGATTAGAGAAAATCCGTCTGTGCTGGCAATACGGCAGTGCTGGACACTCGGAATTCCCTTGAAGGCAAAAGCAAGGAACAGAGCGTGATTAGGTACTGGACACCTGCCAAGTGCTGGGCTCTCTCCAGTTTACAGATGAGGAAACTGAGGCTCCTCGAGTTGGAGCTGGGATGCCAGCCCCCATGGACCTGGCAGAACACGCTCTTGACAGCCCCACAGGGCTTCTCCCTAGGGCGTGCCCTTAGAAGATTCCAGGCAGCAGGCGGTAAGGCACTGCGGCGGTGTAGCGCTCCCAGTCCCGGCCGTACTTGCTGGCGCAGCGGTGCTCGTCCCGGAGGCAGCGGTGGGTCAGCAGGATGGCCATGTAGATGATGTAGAAGTAGGGCAGCAGGTGGCCGCCGCCACAGGCCAGGCAGTAGGCCAGGCTGCCCATCAGGTCGCCGACGTAGTTGAAGTGGCGGGCCACGCCCCAGAAGCCCGACACCAGCAGCTTGCTGTGGTGCCTCTGCCCATCGGCGGATGTGTAGGAGCACTCGATGACCTTGGGCTTCCTGCCCCAGATGAGGCAGCGCCCATCCGTGCGGCGGAACAGGTCCTTCTGGTGGTTGGCCACCCGGAAGATGTAGTAGCCCACCAGGCCCAGCAGCAGGACGCCCACGGCGTGCGGGGTGGACAGCTGCACGGGGTGGTACACCAAGTACAGACCCTGGGGGGCGAGGGGGAAGGGGTCAAGCGGTGCTTTGCCCAGGGAGAGGACAGGAGTGTGGGCTCGGGGGCCCAGCGGCCTGGGGTCAAACCCCAGCTCTGCCTCTGACACACGCCTTGCCTCCGTGTTCTCTTCTGTGAATAAAAGCACCAACCTTGAGGGCTGTTGTGGTCATTAAATGAGTAACTCTACCTGCCTTCTACCTGTCTGTGTGTGTATGTGTGTGTGTATATATACCCCCTATATATATGACATATAGCATAAACATCAAATATGTAACAGTATTAAAAATATAATCTGAATTTAATATTGTGATGGTCAATTTAACGTGTCCACTTGGCCAGGCCATTGTTCCCAGATATTTGGTCAAACACTAGTTGTAAAGGCATTTTTCAGATGAGGTTCATATGTTAATCAGTCAACCAGGCAGAGTGGATGACCCTTCACAATGGGGGTGGGCCTCATCCAATCAGTTGACAGCTTTAAGAGACAGAAGACCCACCTTCCCCAAAGAAGAGGGAATCTGCTAAAAAGTGGCCTTCTGGCCATGCACAGTGGCTCACACCTGTAATCCCAGCACTTTGGGAGGCCAAGGCGGGCGGATCACGAGATCAGGAGTTTGAGACCAGCCTGACTAACATGGTGAAACCCCATCTCTACTAAAAGTACAAAAATTAGCTGGGCGTGGTGGCATGCACCTGTAATCCCAGCTACTCGGGAGGCTGAGGCAGGAGAATCACTTGAACCCAGGAGGTGGAGGTTGCAGTGAGCCAAGATCACACCACTGCACTCTAGCCTGTGTGACAGAGCGAGACTCCGTCTCAAAAAAAAAAAAAAAGTGACCTTCTATTTAAGCACAGCATCAACTCTTCCCTGGGGCTCCAGGCTGCCCTGAAGATCTTGGACTTGTCACTCTTCAATCACATGAGTTGAAAAATACATCTCTTTCTTACACGTATACCCTCCACCCCTCTATTGATTCTGCTTCTTGGGAGAAACCTAATATATAGTATAAAAAATGTACATCTCGAGACACACACAGAGGCTAAAGCAAGTAAGAGCTATTATATAGTGGGACCTATTGCTACGTTTTCACATCCTTGGAAAATGGAGTTTATAAAACCAGGGAACCAGCAGACCTGCAGCCAGCCAGGTGGAGAAATGGGGCCGGGTGGGCCATGCGGGGGGCTCCAAGGACCTGGTGTGAGCATGGGGCCAGCTGGGGCTCTGCACCCTCCACCTGGTACTGGCCCCCTCTGCTGTGGGAATCCTGGTTTTCCAGGACACCCGCACCTCCATCCCACAGGACTGGCTGTCACAGGTGATGCCGGGCCTGTCACATCCTGAATAGGTGACAGCCTCTCCACGTTGGTTCTCTCCACTTGGGCACAGCCTCTTGGGGCAGGCCACCCCACCGTTCTGCTAAGCAAGTGCCCTGGGGTGAGTTATTTCTGTCCCCAGGGGGCTCGTTGCTCTTGAAATGGGCAGGTGGCATCTGGTCAAGCAGCCACCTTACCTGGGAGCCCAGCACTCTCCCCAAATCAGAGCAGGGCTGCTCTCGTTGAGCTGGGAGGGGAGTGGGGGGCTTGATGCCAATGACAAGGCCACTTGCTATCCCCTACTGTCCTGGAACTCCCAGGGCAGCCCTGCCCCAGTGCCCAGCACATCCTAGGAGGCAGGAATGAAGAGGACCCCTCCTGCCAGTGCCCGCACTGACCCACCTCCACCTCCACTGCCCCATCCAGCCCTGAGCCGGCATCTGCCCTACTTTGCAGATGTTAGGGACATACTCAAGGCCACCTCCCTGGCTGCTGGCCCAAGCTGGCTGAGCTGGCTAATACACGAGGCCTTCCCTTCTTCCTAGAAACAGGGGGCAGCTTTGGTGCCCCCAAGGACAGACGCTTCTGCAAGGAGAAAGCTTAGCATGTGTCTGCCAAATGCCCCGCTGGGCCAGCTCTGCCCACCTCCTCACCTGCAGCGTGTAAAGATAAGGCAGCCAGACACAGTCGCCCCAGCCCAGGTACCACCCGAAGTGGTCATGGCAGATGTCAATGGTCTTCAGGTACCAGGTTTCGTTCCAGAAGAAGTCAATCACGTAGATGGCCTGCAAGACAGAAGCAGCCGCTGACCACCCCCGGCCCTCCTGGGGCCCCCATGGACCTCGGGGAAATCACACTCCACGCAGATGCAGCAGGGGGTGCTCGGGAGCTGCTCAGCAACTTCCTCAATGCTGGGGCTGTTCCTTCCCTGCGGCTGGGGCTGTTCCTGCCTGGGTCATGGGCAGGGCTAAGGGCTTCCTTGTCCTCAGAACCACCCCGAGCCCATGGCCCTGGCATCTCTCCCAGCCCAGGTTCTCAGGGCTTGCAATGGCGCGTGCCAAGGGGAAGGGATACATTCATCCCATCCAGGTCAACCTCCTGCCCGAGCAACGTCCACAGCTCCTGACAGGCCTCCCTCACCCTCTCGGGTTCTCCTAGCCAGCTCCCGCTGGCTCCCTGGGTGACGCTTCCGAATGCACCTGATCGCTGCCACCCTGCACCCCAGCTCAGCACACACTTTCTGGGTCTTGCTGCTTTTAAGATAAAGAGGAAGACTTCCATGAGGCCTCCAGCCTCACCTGGCTCTGAGCTCCTGAACGCTCTCTGGTCAGGATGCGGGATGTTTCTGAGTGTCCCAGACTTGCCACCCTCTCTCCCTACAGGGGGTTCCTGGAGCATGCACTCTTGCCTCCACTCTACCAGGTTAACTCCCACACACCCCCAGATTCTACCCAGGTGTAATCCCCAAGGGAGACCTTCCTGGACCACGCCTGGCTGCGTAGAACCTGCCTCCTCCCCTCCCAGGGCTGGCAGAGACAGGCACCCAAGGATGGCTTCCTTCACCAAGTGCTCGCCGGCTGCTTCCTGGTGACACCTGGGGAGGGCAGCTGACTCTCTTTTACAAGCAGTAGATTAAGGTCATGGGAATACGCTCTGGCTTGCGGGTTCCCCCAGAGCCTGCCGGCATCGGCGTTTCACCCTCTCCAGCCATGACAGGCACCTGCAGGACGTTGACCAGGACCATGGCATTGGTCACATGGCTGTGGAGCTCCCGCTGCTTCGCTGCGAAGGACAGGTTGATGAGGGTCCAGGCGACGATCCCGGGGCGCCCATTGAAGAACAGCTTGAAGTCAAACCACTTCCCGATCCGAGGGTTAAACTCGATGCCCATCATGTAGTTGTAAAAGAAATTGCCTGTGAATTTGCTTAAAAATATAAATAAAAGATACATTTAGTGGATGAGCATATCTCACAAGATGAAGCCACCTTACTTAGCGAGAGCCCAGCACTGGCCCAGGGTCCTAAAGGGTAACGTGAGACGGCGCAGGCAGAAGCTGGCCATGAGCCGCTGGGACCCCCACGGCTGGAATGCTTGTCGGCTGGTTCCTGGCGCCCTCATTCACTTTGCTTTGCATTCAGCTGCTGCTCAGCAGAGACTTCCTTAGGCAGAAGCCCAGGGGCACCTGCTCTGCACCCGGGAAGGGTGGGAGACCGGCCCTGGGCTGGTACCTGGGTTTCTCTCTACCCTTCTCCAGATGCCCTTGACGCATGGCACAGGTGAGCTGAAGAACTGGCTTGATTGCACTGAGATTACGTTCTGGGGCCCAAGCACACGGTTTGAAGCCGACGCAGGGCACGTGGGCCCTCATGGGTGAGTGACATTATAAATCACGCCAACGTAGAGAATGACAAACGCACCCTGGGCCCGGCTTCCAGCATGTGCAGGACAAGTTCTTTGACCAGTTACCTGAATCCCCCAATCCCCGGAGGGCCAGAGCATCAGCCGAGATAACCCCTGTGGAGACCCTGACTAGGTCTAGCTGGCTGAGGACACACAACAATTTCTGTGTTAACTAGAAAATCCTATTTTCATGTCCAGTTCCCTCAGGTAGGGTAAGTAGAAAGAAGCAAAACACACAAAGTCTACATGATTATAAGGTAGCGAGGATGATTTCCAGGAGCCATTGAAGGCCAGCCTCGTTATCTGATAACACACAAGCTACAAAGTGTCATCCTCCAGAAACATTTCCCAAGAGCCTAGGTGTAAACCACACTGGGGTTTTTTGGATCCCCCAAACTGAACTGTAAGTCCCACTGCCTACAACTGTCCACAAGAGAACCCCCCAAACATTGGTTTATGATGGATGGATGGATAGATAACAGGGTGAGTGGGTGGAAGGATGGATGAATGGGATGGGGAGAGGAGCAGGTGGATGGATATATGATAGGCAGGGTTGAGCTGGGGTGCAGGGTGGCAGGGATCAGGTGTGTTCAGAAGTGTCACCCAGGAAGCCAGAGGGAGCAGGCTAGGAGGGCCTGAGAGGGTAAGGGAGGCCGGTCAGGAGCTGCGGACATTGCTCAGGCAGGAGGTTGACCTGGATGAGATGATGCATTCCTTCCCCTCGGCACATGCCATTACAGGCCCTGATAGAGTGGATGGATGGGTAAATGGATGGATGACGGGCAGGTGGATGGGTGGGTGGCTAGATGTGTAGGTGGGTGGGTAGGTGGATAGGTGGATGGACAAATAGATGACGGGTGGGTAGACAGACGGGGTGGAGGGTGGATGGGCAGGTGGATGAGATGGATGATGGATGGGTGGGTGGGTAGGTGGAAGGATGGGGAGATGGGCAGGTGGATGGGTGTGTGGCTAGATGTGTAGGTGGGTGGGTAGGTGGATGGGCAGATGGATGAATGGGTGATGGGAGGGTAGATGGATGGATGATGGGTGGGTGGATGTGGGTGATGGATAGGTGGATGGATGATGCATTGGTGGGTGGGTGAATGGGATGGGGCAATGGGTAGGTGGATGATGGGTGAGTAGGTAGATGAATGGGTAGGGGGGTGGATGGGTGGGTGGGGAGATGGGCAGGTGAATGGATGAGTGGACAGAGATGAGTGGCTCACCACTGTCCAGCCATGGGAATGGGTACAAGCCAGCAGGGCTCTCCTGGGAAGCTGTTAATTAAAGCCACAGGGACAATAAGACTCTTCACTAAGGTTGTTTTGGGCCTCACCAGCTTATCCAAAGAAAGAGGCAATGGGCTGCCTGTGCCCCAAGCCAGAAGTTTTTCCTGGCTTCCTTACCCCCACGCCAGCCCTAAAGGCAATGACTTGGCCACCACAGCTGACCTGGCCATCTTCAGCTGCATTCTTGCCAAGGCTGGAGAAGCCACCAAACATTCAGAAAGGATGTTCCCCAGGGTGAAGCAAGTTCCATCCCCCTCCTCCTCTTCCACGGATTCTCAGTGCTCAGGGCTTTACAACCACCTGCCCCAGGCAGCAAGAAAGGCCAGGGGTGAAGTTTGCACTTTCTACATCAGGCTGGACCCGCTGCTAAGAACATACCAGTCTCTGGCGCTGGTGGGGAAGAAGTAGCCCTTGACCATGGCGAAGGTGGAGACGGCATAGCCAAGGATGTTGGCGCACCACAGCAGTGGGATCCAGTTGTCGAAGATGATGGTGGGCGAGAACCAGGACAGGAGATGAGCGTTTGCAAACCAGAGCAGGTGCGTGAGGAGCCAGGCTTGCAGGCCATTGATCTGATACTTGTTCACAACCCCTGCAGATGAAGGATTCAGAAATGAAGGCGCTTTCCCAACCCGCAGTGAGGAGCTTGGCTGGGCTGAAGCATGCCTGGCGGGGGCCCTGGTCACTTTCTGGGCCTCTGCTGCTGCGGACCCTCATCTGGGGCCCCAGGAACCATCTCTGAGGCCCCTATACCCTTGGCCAAGGAACTACCTGCTCCTAGGAAGAGGGAGGGGAGGCTGAGTCCATCCTTTGGTTCTGCATCTCGTTAACTGGCCATAGGCTGAGTGACAGGTGTGCAGTCTGATAGGGAGGTCAGGGCTGAGGGGCAGAAGCAAGTGAGGATGCCCCTGTGGTATGCCTGGCCCCCTCTGTAATTGTTGGGGAGCACCTCAGCCCATCCACCCCTCAAAACAGGGAGCTTCTGGGGGCAGAGTTGGGATGCGGTTCCAGTCTGCACCCACGTGAGAGGCACAAAGCCAGGCTCCTCGTGGGTTCTCAATGATGGCAAGGAATGAACAGACAAGGTCTCCCACGGACAGCCCCGAGGAATGGTGGTCTCTGCATGGTGGTCTCTGCAGGAAGCTTCATGGGCCGAGTGCATCCCCTGCTATGGGGCTGGGAAGGAGCTGGGCCATCCATTCCCTCCTTACCCAGGAAAGTGATTTCTAACCTGGGTGTGGGATGGCCCCAGCTGCCCTCAATGGTTTTGAGGCCTGGTGCTGTGAAAAATCCAAGCAAAATGGATTTCTATCCTGTGACAAGTCTTAGGGACAAAGCAGCGCTGGGGAGGACTGGCCCCTGAGAGAAAGGGATGAGAACGGGAGCCTGGGGAGGGTGGAAGGGAGGAGGCTACCTGCAGGAGTCACGGCCCCCTCCTGGATGCCTCCTACGTAGCCGGGTAGAAACTTATGGCAGAAGTCAGGGAGAGACGTGTACAGAAGCACCTGAAACACACAAGCAGCCTGATCACCCCCCGCCTGGAGGGCACCTGCAAAGGGGGACGCATAGCAGGAACATGAGAATCACAATCATAGTCTTTTTCTTCCTGAAGCACTTATGGCTCCTGGAAGCTCAAACTGCTGGGCTGTGGGTTTTGAAGGGGGTTCTGAGACAATAAACTCATCAACCAGGGAAGGTGCCAAGGCGTTCTCCCCCAGGGCTCCATTCGCCCCTCAGGAGAGCGCACAGGTCCCTCCCAGTCACCTTTTTAAAATGGAGAATCCCATAAAATTCAACTTTTTATATATATATATAAATCTATCTTTGAGATGAGGTCTTGTTCTACCACCCAGGCTGGAGTGTAGTGGTGCAATCATAGCTCACCGCAGCGTTGTCCTCCTGAGCTCAAGTGATCCTTCCACCTCAGCCTCCCAAGTAGCTGGGATTACAGGTGTGCACCACCACACCCGGCTAAAATTCACCCTTTTAAAGTGCACAATTCAGCGGCATTTAGCGCATTTACATGGTTGGTTGTACACCTATCACTGCTAATTCCAGAACTTTTCATCACCACAGAAGAAAATGTTGTTCCAATCTCCGGTCACTCTGAATTCCCTGTCCCTGCCGCCCCTGGCTGCCACTGAGCTTTCTGCCTCTGTGGATTTGCCTGTACTGGGTATTGCATATAAAGGGAACCACACAGTATGCAGCCTCTGTGACTGGCTTCTCTCGCTCAGCAGTGTCTTCAAGGGTCATCCGCCTACTGGCATCAGAGCTTCATTCCCTTCCGCTGCCAAATAGTGTCCCACAGTGGGCACAGTGTTCTGTTCTGTGGGTCCATTCATCTACTGATGGACAGGTGGGGGTTCCTGCTTTGTGGCTATTTGTGATTCACACTGCCCCTGTCATTTTTCACTCAAAGGGACCAAGAGATCTGAACTGAGAAGTATTCTGGAGCCCAGAAGCTTGGACCCTGGGGAGAAACAGCTAATCATGATCTGAGCCTTCCTCCCGCCCAGGAAGGAAAACCCAGGCCTGTCTCTTTCTAGCACCGTTTCCCTGGAAACCTTTTCCTGGGTTCAGGCAATCAGCACCACCCATGTGTGCACCAGGTTTACAACAACCCCTTCCTGGAACTCCCTCTGGACTGGGAGGCCAGTGGGGACACCATGGAGCTGAGGACGTCCTGGACCTGCCTCGACTGCCTGTGGGGAAACATGGCCCTCGCTTCTCTGAGTGGCATCTCATGACTGAGAGAGTCCCTTTGGGGACTGAGATGCTCCTTTCCAGACCTGGTGCAAGGCGTGACTCCTGCTGACAATGGGGCTTCCTCAGGACAGCACTGCCCTCCCACGGGGTTTTGCTCCTATCCTCAGCTTGTCCCTGCAGAGCTGGGCGTGCCCAGCAACTGCATGCAGGCATGCCGTGAAGGTGTATCAAACGCTGATGTGACAGGTGCCTCCTGCCTTACAGCTGAGGATGAATCTGAACATGTCAGAGTCCAGGGAATGCCCTGCTGGGTCCCGGGAACCCAGATGTCAACCTGAGCCAGGATCCATGTCCCAGACAAATGGAAGGACTACCCCAGCAGGAGGGCACGCTCCCCACCTGCTGTGTCCCAACCCCAGGGCAGGGGCTGCTGACCTGGAAGGTGACCCACAAGGTATAGAGCTGGGCGGCTTTCCTCGTTATAGGTGGAGTCTTGGCCCAGATGTCCGAGAGCCGAGCATGTCCGGTGACGATGTCCACCACAGGGCCAGTCAGGGCGCAGCTGTACTGGTCACAAGCCATGATGAAGTAGTAGACGATGAAGGGGGCGAACAGCAGTAGGAAGATGACGCTCGCCAGTGAAAACCAGTCCACCTCCCTGCGAGGACGGATGCAGGCAGTCACACTGGGGCCCATCTGCCCTGGGCCCCACCAGGACCCTAAGAGGCTCTGTGTGGGAGAACTGTTGCTCAAACCCACCAGTACCCCATGACAGAAGGCATTAGCTCCTAGCACGGGCCCTCCTTGCGGCCAGGGAAGCCACTCAACATGCCTGCTCTACTGTAGTTGATTAACTGGTGGCACTATCTGTGGCCCCCATGGAAGGCCCAGAGCTCAGAATATGAGCGGAGGTAGGTCTTTCACAACCACCAAGGCCAGTGGTTTCCCCAGTTCCAGGTCGGAGAGGATACTCACCCTGCACGAAGTCCCCATGGTTCTATGGCGAAATGGGAGCTGTGACAATAGGTCATACCCCCAGATGGTGGGAAGGCCCCAGCTGCCCTTTAAGCCTTTATCTTTTTTTCTAAGTTGTTGACTGACCATGATTTCTAGTTTCTTTTTATAATTCCTTACTTTATAAAGTGGAAAACTGTTTACCTTTCATTAGTCTTGACAAAAAAAAAAAAATCTTTTTTAAAAAGGTCCTTCATTCCTTTGGGTCCATACAATTCCAAAGGCTGGAAAGCTCTGAGACCACACTTTACTTTCTAGCTGGGAGAACAGGCAAGATCCTTACCAGGCACGGCCCCACTGCCCTTGAGATGCGGTTCTGTCATTGGTGACGCCATCTAGACTCTTGGCTTTGGGAATGTTGGGTTGCGATTTTGCAGCCATTGGGCCCTGCAAGAAAGAGAACCTTGCTTACATTATCCCTCAAATAACAGACACCACCTTTCCCTGTTGCATCCACCACTGCTCCTGGGCCTGGCAGGGCTGGCCTCCTGTGCACATCTTCCCGGTACCTTGTTCCTGACAGCAGATTCCAGGCAGGGAAGAGATCATCTTGTCTTAGACTCTCTTCCTTGGACCCTGCAATCACCTCCCACGTGACCTTGCTATGGCTGCTCTTGCTAGTCTCAGTTCATTCTCCAAACATGGCAGAATGCCCCCCCTCTTACAGCACAAGCTGGCTCCTGCCTCCCTCCTACACACCACTCTCCCCTATTCTCCTTTGGCTCCAGGAACACAGGGGTCTTCACTCATCCTTGAACACAGTTTAAATTGTCTGTGGCACTGACTTCCTCTGCTTAGAGCACGTTTGCAGGTGTCCTTGTTCAGGGCTCATGTAAAATGTCCCCTCCTGGGGAGATCTTCCCTCTCAGCCAATCTGAAGCAGCTGCTCCCCAGCTTCCCTGCCAAGGCCCTCCACTGGGTACTTTATTTTCTTAGTAACTCTCCCCATCGCCTAGAAGTATTCATTTGTGTGTGTGTATTGTCTGTCTCCCCTCACTAGAATGTAAGCTTCCCAAGGGCAGGAATTGTGTGTCCTCTTCATTGTTCTACTACCAGGGCCTAGAACAGTGGCCCATGTAGGACCATCAATAATCACCCTTCAAAAAAAAGGGGAAGAGAACACAGAATGTCTCTAGGTACCCACAGCTGCTCTACATGGTTATAATTTGGGGGAAGCAGTGACATCCCCACTTCCAGAACAAGTTCATAACTGTGAAGCTTTAAAATATCTGAGATTTTTTAAAAGATGCTCTTGAAAGCTTTTAGAGAAAAAACAGGAGTAAAAATCACAGTAGGCTTAGATTTCTCAACAGCAAGCTGGATTCTAGAAGACAATGATGAAAAACTTCAAAATTTTGAGGAAAACTTTTTGCAACCTAGAATTCTACTCCTATGTGAACTATTACTCAAGGACAACAACATAGGATCCAGGAAACTGGAGACCCAAGAGAGCTGCTGAAGCCATGTCCACAAAAGGGCAGGGGCAAGTCCCAAGAGGACAGCTATGCAGCAGGACTAACCAGAAACCAGTCCACATTGGTACAAGATGAATGGCTAGGAAAGAGAGGAAATGAAAATGATGAATTTTGTTGCATCTGAATGTGTAGGAAAATTATTGATATATGTGACAGCTCGGTTAGAGCATCCAGAAAAAAATGAATGAGAGATGCATAGAAACCTTACCAAATGAAAAAAAAAAAAAAAAAAAAAGGAAGGCAACTGTTAACTCCAGGAAAAATAAAAAGTCATATAAGGAAGGAAAAAAAGAAACCAAGCCATTATTATAGGACCTTACTTGGCTCAACAGTGAATAATGGTAATTTTGTCATAACAATGTATACTCTGACTATTTATTGACTATTGTATGCACAGAAGGGAATTTGCAAAGTTAGGGGTACTAAAAGGAAATTACTTAGAAACAAGTAGGTACAAACAACAACACAAAAGTAGCTGAAAGAATGAAAAGTGTTTGCTGCTGGCAAGCAAGACTGTCGGATGTGGGATGTGGTAGAGAGTATTTCTTCTGAAGCCTTTTAACACTGATTTTTAAAAAAATGTGTGCATGAATTACTTTAATAAAAATTCACACACATTTAAAAAATTTCAACGATGAAAGACATTTTCCTTATGCAGTGTGAGAACTTCAGTACCCGCACTTCATTCAATTTACACAAGTTAGTTTATGCAGTTCCTATGATGCACAAAACAAGACGAAGAGTTCTTGATAGGAAGAGACCGTGTCTCTCTCCGGCCCCAAATACTGAATACAGAGCCTGGCGAGTGCCAGTCACTCTCCTTATATCTGTAAAATCAAAGTGGATGAAAGAAAACTACTTCTGAGAAAAGCTGACACGCTAGTGAGTCTGATCTCAAGATCACAGCCACCTGGACAAGCTGGCTTGCTTTAGACAGTTCCTCTCCCCCAGGCTCTCATCAAGGTAAGATACAAGCTTAGTTTCTTCCCAGCCAAAACTTACCAGCTCAGTGCCCCCACTCCCTCCGATCCCTAGTTCCCACACTGACTGGTGTTAATCCAGACCACCCACATGCACACTTGCCTTACAGGAAGGCTAAGTAGAATGGGGTGGCATTCGTCTTGCCCCAAGCCATGGATAAGCTACAAGGGGACAATGCCTGGTACCAACATTATCAATTATGTAAAACACTGGGAAATTGCAAAAGGGTCAGGGGATGTGTAACCTCAGAACTAAAGTGTGAAAAAGCCACTGGGAGAATGTTGTCAAAAGGGATTAAAACAAGACCAAAGAAGTACTTTTAGCTTATTACAGAGTTCATTCACCCAGGAGTCAGCTCTTTAGCCACAAGCATTGAGTTGTGCAATAAACATCTAAGTAACATCCTTCCCAATAGACGGCTGGGAACAGACAAAGGGGAGGTGCCCTGGTATGTTGTATTTTACTCATAAGAGGCACAGACAGTCGTTGGCACTCGAGAGCTGGTGGACCAGTCTGTCTGTACTTTCAACGCTGTGAAGCCATAGCCTGCGCCCACGATCCAGGGCACTGAGATACACTTACCTCCAGCCTCTTGCCAAATAGTTTCACAGCAGAAGGGAACTTTTCCTTCTTGAACCGGCCCCTTAAAAGTTTCTAGACACCTGTGCTCCAAATGCCTGCTTGATCCTTCTCAACCGGCTAAAGTCCTGCAAGGAACACAAAAATGAATAAGACCGCAGGCAGCTGACATTTCAGGAGAGGGCAGAAGCTCAAGGCCCACAGTAGGAGTCAAGCAAGAGGCAGAAGGTCCAGTGCTCAGGGCTTCAACAGCCGCATGTCAGGGAGGACGGCGGACAAGCCAGTCCCATCGCAAAGCTGCTGTGCCTGGCTCAGCACTGACAAAGAGGGAGGCGAACAACAGGTGGGGCAGGAGAAAGAGCCGCCGCGGAGCGCGGCATGGGGCCAGGAGCCGACCCCGGAGCCAGGCAGCCTTCGCCCGGGGAAGCTCCAGACAGCGCGGGGACAGAGCATCCCTCAGACGCCGGCTCGTGGGGGAGGGGGACTATCCACGCCTCCGCCCCGCCTCCCCGGAGCCCCAGCGGCCCCTCGCCTGTGAGCTGGACCCTCTCCCCACCTGCGCGCACGCCCCCTACCCCTGACCCCACCCTCGCCCTGTGAGTGGGCACCTGCTCACCTGGGCAAGCGCCCCCCACTGCGCACACCTTCCCCTGGCCTCACCTGCGCACACCTTGGCCACTCACCTGCGCACACCTCGGCCCCTCACCTGCGCCCACCTTCCCCTGGCCTCGCTTGCGCGCGCTGCTCCACGCCGCCTACCCTCTAGCCAGGGGTCGGAGTCACCCGCAGGGCAGGGGCGCCCGCCCCCGGATGATGTCAGCGATTGCCTGCCAATCGGAGGCGGACCCTGCACGCCCGGCGGCTCCGCGCCCCGTGATTGGTCGAGGAGCCTGAGCTGACTCCGGGCCCACCGCGCCCGCCATTCGGCAGCGGCCGGACTCGAGATTGACGGCCCAGGCCCCGCCCTGCCGCCCCACCGGCCCGCCCGGGCCCTAGTGGGTGGGCGCAGCCTCTGGCGCTTCTTCGGGATCCCAGCTGACCAGCTGGGGGTGGGGCGTGGCGGAGTGGCCACGTGGGCCGCGCGGAGAACGCGCCAGGCTCATCACCTGGATCATCGTGCCTCAGTTTCCCCCTCGGCAAATGGGGCTTCAGCGGCTCGCGACGCACATTGATGGAGCGTATGTCCAGGCGCCGGTGCACCGCAAGGAGCAAAACAGACACAGTTCTTGGTCCTAGGGCTCACGTCCCGGGGCGAAGAGGATCCTCCATAAACGATCAGGTAAACACATGGGTGTCAGGGAAGGCTCGCCGCTGGGAGACCGCCAAAGTGACCCGAGATGGAGTCTGGGTGGCCTGCTTATTAGGGGGGCACACCTGTGCGAGGACGGGAGGGGAGGGAGCAGCAGGACTGGGCAAAGGGAGAAGCTGAGCCACAGTGCGAGCCGGACGCACGGGCCACGTTGCGAGGGCATGACCTGGGGCGAGGCAGCCCTGGAGGAGGGGGCAGCTGAAGGTGTCTGCTGACCCCACACCCAACAGCTCGGGTAACAGGCCTTACTGTCAGAGCGATCTGGTTGCCACGTCTCTGTGGCCCTCAGAGAGACATCATGTTTTCTTTTTTCCCTGCACCTTTTTGTTTTGAAAAATGTTCAGCATACAAACAAGTTGAACGTAAAGTGAGCACGCAGATTCCTAGGTTCAGCAGGGGTGAGCAGCTGGCCACGTTTCATTTCTCTCCCTCTGTGTTTATATATGTGTATTTTTCTTTTTTCCTCCCCACTCAGCCCCCACCATTAGCTGCAGATACCGTGATACCCCCCTCCCAAATACTTCGGTATCCAACTCCTTAAGAACAAGAACCTCCTATATTACCAAAATACAATGACCACATCAGTTCAATGCTGTTATCTATTTTCCATCTCCAGTTTCCCGCGGTTGTCCCAATAATGCCCTTTACAGCCCTTTTGTTATTGTTGTTTTGTTTTGCTTTGTTAAGACGGGGGTCTCTGTCACACAGGCTGGAGTGTAGTGGCACGATCACAGCTCACTGCAGCCTTGAACTGCTGGGCTCAAGCGATTCTCTTCCCTCACCCTCCTGAGTAGCTGGGACTACAAGAGCACACCACCACACGCTATTTTTTTTTTGGTAGAGATGGGTGGGGGGGGGGGTCTCACTATGTTCCCCAAGCTGGTCTCGAACTCCTGGGCTCAAGCGATCCACCCACTGTGGCCTCCTACAGTGCTGGGACTACAGGTGTGAAGCTCTGCCCTACAGCCCTTTTTTAAACCCCAGGATCTAATCAGGGAGCCACACTGTGCATTCAGGCTATGCACTTTTTTTGGCAGGATAATATACTACATAGAGCATGTTTTATCTTGTTAGAAGGCTGTCAACCTGAAATAACCAAACAGGTCAGAATTTAGCTTAAAGAGAGTTTATTTAAGTGTATAAAGTTTGAGGACAGGCTGCCTGGGAAGCACAGATTTTAAAGAATGGAAATCAGTATTTTGAACTGTAGATGTTTGGGATCATTTATGTAGACAAATTTTAGGGAAGTTTAACAGAATTTTAACATCTTTTTATGCATAAAGTTATAATCTGACCAGCTGAGGTGGTCTTTTTTAGGTGGAAGGTATATTTAACATTTTACACTGAAGATGTAGGAGTCTGGTCTAAGTACGGGATAATAAGAGACAATCTATAATAAAGATCAGTAATTAAAAGGGGAGCAGGCCTGGTCTGTGGTCTCTCCTAGTCATTTATAAAACATGAATGATAAAGAAAAACAGCCTATAATCTAAAAGACAAAATTACAAACATGCTATGTGACCCAGTTTCTAGGACTTAACTTCCCTCTTGACATAATAAATTTATTTATTTTTATTTATTTATTTAAAGACAGGATCTTGCTCTGTTGCCCAAGTTGACCTAATAAATTTCAAGAGTCCTAAAATTTTCTTTTTTAAGACAACATATCACTGTGCTCCATGATTGATAGTGGGGCTCCGTGGTTTCTGCCAGAAGTCTCCATTTTTCCTTTTGTTATTAATGAGTAATTGGTGCAGTGATACTTTGAGACTGTAAATATGCTGTTCCCAAATGACCTTTCACCCAGTGAACTAGCATTTAATGAGGAATCTTGCCTGAATCCCTTATTTCTTGGGACAAAGTGTTAATTTTCTAATTTTATCATTCCCTCAACATTTATTAATAAATTATTTATTAGCAAGCATTCTTCTGTAGGGATTTCCTCTTTGATTTATTTTTTATCAGTATGCCCTAATGGATTTAGCTGACCGAGTTATGATCCTTACTGTATTGTCCTGTATTTAGCTAACGGGAGCCCCTTCAAATTGGCTTCTTTTTTCATATGACATGTATCTACCATCCTTTGAGTACTTACTTATTTTCTGGGACAACCAGATGTTCAAGGATCCTCCCCTTCTCTGCCCAGGCCTGGCATCAGCCATTGTTGGCAGGAGATAATTTGAGCAGATCGTGTGGATTTCAGAAGCATGAAAACTACTGTGAGGATTAAATAAGTTAGCATGTATAACATTCTGGTGCTTTTGTGGAGTTTCCAAATTGTCATGAACAAGCACTACTTTATAGACAGGAAAAAAAGTGATTCAAAATGTGAAAACGGGTATATGTACATAAGGTAAAAATAAAATCCTAAGCCCCCCATTGACCAAAGGGACCTTCTCCTGACCAAGGGGACACCAGAAAAACCTCAACACTGAATTCCCAGACATGATGGGATGGGAGGTCAGATGCGCCTGGTAATAGCCCCCTGTTTCAGAGTTTGGACACCACAACTGGCCGGCATTCATGTTAAAACAGAGATCGTAAGACTGACAGAACGGACTCTGTGGCAATAAGATACCAAATTATAAACAGGACCCAAAGCCATGCTAGGCGAGGGTAAGTCAGGCAACCCACACTTAGAGAATAAACTATATTCTAAGAGCCACAAGGCTTTCTGTTTCTCTATTAGCCAAACACACACTAGCCTTGGGATAGGGAATATTAAAACAATTGCAGCTCCACTAGGTGCCAACTAACTGACTCTGTTTCACCAGCCATAGCAGCTGTGATTGGACAAGAGACTGATTTCAGTGACTTTCTCCTAATAAGAGACCACCGACCAGCTGACCATGCCGACCAGCTGACCCGTTAATAGAGAGAGATGATGCACCTGCATGCCTTTGTGTCCTGAAAAGACGTTTTGCCATAAAGGCCCTAATTGTAAGATGTGTAAATGTTAAGTCTCCACCCCAAAGTGAACATGGGTCATATATTACATGCTTTGCTCAATAAGAGGGCATGTGTCAGGACCACCTTCATGAATATTCATAGCTCCTCCTGTTACCTGTTGAATATGTATGTTTAGCCAATCCCTTCAGCATAGCGCTCCTGCCCCAACCCCTCCTCCTTGGACGTGCCTGTCTCTGGCCTTGGCTGGAGACAGATTCCCAGCCTCAGACAGATGGCCGCCACCTTGCAGGCTACGACCGTTTACAAGAAATAAAGCCTTCTCTTTTTCCAAATTTGTGAATTGTGTGTTTTTAAACTAACATGAATGACAGAAGGAAGGATGGCCTCTTCAAGCAACGATGATGAGGCAGTTATTTATATGGGGGAAAAATGGATTCTACCGTGGGTGGACTAAAGAGGAAATGTGAAAAAATAAAAAGTGAGAAACCGCTGGTAGTGAATCGGTGCAAGCGCCCTGGAGAAGAGACTTGGCAATATTTAGTAAAGTCAAACAGCACGAACCCTACTACTCTGCAAAGCTGCTGCAGGAACTGGCGGAACGAGGTCACGAAGGAAACCTTGCCGGAAAGGAAATTGCAGCAGTGCCTGTGTGCGTGCGTCTGTTGGCAAAACGCTGCTAATAACGTCAATGCCCATCCGCTATTGAATAAACCTGCTTTACTGCCACTATGGAATACCAAACTGCAGAAAAATAATTAAAAGAACGTATCTCATATTACAGGGGAAAAAATCAAGTTGCAGAAGCACATTCAAGTGCAGTTCCTGTAGTTTCAGAAAAGGCAAACAGTGCGCTACCTGAGCTACTTACACACGTGGTACAGGAGTGAAAGGGGCAGGAGAGGGTTCCCAAGAATTCAGCGCCATCCGCCCAGGGTGGCGGGATTCCCAGCACGGAGAATCGATTGCTATCGTCTGCTGTCCCGCGGGCACGATGGAGCGCTCCTACCGTACTCTCCACTTTTGGTGTATTTGGAACGTTTCATGCCGTATTAAAATAAAACATGGCTAAGCTGGATGTGGGGTGGCGGTGTGGGATAAAATAGAGGGGTGCTGCAGCTGGGCGGTGAGCCCCCTGCACCTGTGCACCTGAACGGGTTTGCCCGCAAGGGCCGGGCCGGGGCCGGGGCCTGGGACGTGGGTGGAGCCGGGGCGGGGGCGGGGCCCTTCGCGGTGCCGTGAACGCTGAGGCCACCTCGCTGCGCAGGCGCGGTCGTGAGCTCCTCAGACGGGGCGGGGCGATCCGTAGGCAGGGCCTGACGCCGCAGTCCTCCTTGGCCGGAGCCTCAACGGATGGGCGGGGAGGGGGCGGGGCCGGGCAACCCGGAAGGTCCGGCGTCCCAGCCGCCTACCTCGCTGGGACCCTGGTCTTGCTGTCCCCCGCTGGCCTCCTGCCCAAGCGACTGCGGCCAGGATGGGCCGGAAGGTGACCGTGGCCACCTGCGCACTCAACCAGTGGGCCCTGGACTTCGAGGGCAATTTGCAAAGAATTTTAAAGAGTGAGTCTGGGGCGGCGGGGGCACCGGTTTGGGGTGGCGCACGGGCACCGTGGCTGGGCCCAGGCTTGCCCGTGGCGTGCTCACAGCCTTGCCCTGGGAAACTCTCGGCCCTGGGCATGGGATCAGGTGAGATAATGGGCAATGACCCCGCCAGTGGTACGTGCTCAGGTCCTCGTCGGGAAGTGAGTGTTTATAGTTCCCGGGGACGAGCGATATACAAGGCACGGTTAAGAAAAGTCTGGCGGCTTAGGCGGGAGGCCTGGGGATGGACCCGTGTTCTGATATCTCTGGGGTCCCGTGGTTGGGACTGAGCTGCCCATTCTCGGAGATATCTAAGTTGAACAGAATGGCTGCGCACTGGCGGGGATGGTGTGCAGAGGCCAGAGATTGATGGTCTCTGGTCCCCGTGGGCCTTCCTGGTGGGAGAAGGCGTCCCAGAAAGGGAAGTAGAAAAAGACGCCTGTCATCCCAGCATTTTGGGGGGGCCGGAGGGGGTGGAAGTCACCTGAGGTCAGGAGTTCAAGACCAGCCTGGCCATCATGGTGAAACACCGTCTCTACTAAAAATACAAAAATCAGCCGGGCGTGGTGGCCTCGAAGATAGGGTGTGGTTGTTGAAAGGTCACCATCTAATTTTCGTTCATATGGACGCACCGTGGAGGATGAAAAGTTAAACTATTACACCTGCACCTAAATGGGCAAGCCTGCAGGTGTAGTCAGGTTGCAGCTTGTCTTGCACTGGTCTGCTGACTGCAAGAGCCTTTGCCAGGAACAATAGAAACAGAATGTTTCAAGAGATGGCATCTAATCAGTATGTGCCCTGGATTATTATTATGATTATTATTATTTGACATGGACTGTCACTCTGTTGCCCTGGCTGGAGTGCAGTGGTGTCATCTTGGCTCACTGCAGTCTCTGCCTCCTGGGCTCAAGCGATTCTCCTGCCTCAGCCTCCTGAGTAGCTGGGATTACAGGCGTCTGCCACCATGCATGGCCAATTTCTGTATTTTTAGTAGAGACAAGGTTTCACCATGGTGGCCATGCTGGCCTCGAACTCCTGACCTCAAGTGATCCACCTGCCTTGGCCTCCCAAAGTGCTGGGATTCCAGGCATGAGCCACCGCAGCCAGTGGTTTTTTATTTTTATTTTTTAAATATCAACCTGCTTTCACCTCATTTGCTCAGAGCAAATCTAGTTGAACTGAAGAAGGCTTGGCCAAAACTAAGTTTCCACTCTGCCAGCCTCTCCTCCCTAGGTGCTTGTTGGAAGCTGCTGCCCAAGACCAGTAAGCCGATGGTGCCTGACAGTGGCACCACTGCTGGATCGTAATCCTCTAAGTCCTTTTTCCTCTAGATGGTGTTGGGCATTTCCTTGTTAATAAACTACCAGGGTCTGACTTCTTCCTCTTCCTCCGCCTCCTCCATGGTGCTAAGGGTCAGACCTGCAAGCCCTCCCTGTTTCTCATTTCCTGCAGATATAAGCAGGTATATGCAAGTATAAGCAGGTGCAGGCGTACTCGTGTATACAGGTGTATACAGGTGTATGCTGCCCTCTGCTGCCATGCTGTCAACAGGAAGCCTGACTGCATCCCGTCTGGGAAGGCACAGAGCATTTTTGTTTGTTGTTTGTTTTTTTTTTTATCCTACCTACTGCAGCAGGTTGTTTCATCTGTCTTTGAGTGTATAGGTGCTGAAATTGCTCCATTTTCTTTTTCTCTCTGTACTTACAGGTATTGAAATTGCCAAAAACAGAGGAGCAAGATACAGGCTTGGACCAGAGCTGGAAATATGGTGAGAACAGACACAGACACCCTGGGGTCGTCAGCTAGCGATACCAGCATCAGTTTTCCCCAGCTGAGAAGGCAAGGAAGGAGCAGGGACAGTCCTGAGAGCTGTGGACACGCCACACCCACTGTTGGGCCTGGTTAATGCCATTGAACACCTGAGCAAGGGCAGGCCCAGGGAGGCTGAATAAGTCTAGATTCCCATGTTGAGTAATTAAAAGAACTGACTTTTACCAGATGAAGGCCAGTTTCAAAGTTGGGCTGCTTCTGTGTTACCACTGCCCTTTTGCTGTGGTCTGAATGTTTGCGTCCCCACAAAATTCATATGTTGAAACCTAACCCCCAGATGATGGAATTAAGAGATGAGGCCTTTGGCAGGTGATTGGGTCATGAGGGCATGAGAGTGGAGCCTGCATGAATGGGATTAGTGCTCTTACAAGAGAGGCCCAAAGGAGCTTGTTGGCCCCTTCTACCATGTGAGGACACAGAGAAGGAGACAACCAGTCCTTACCAGATACCAAATCTGCCAGCACCTTGATCGTGGGCTTCCCAGCCTCCAGAACTGTGAGCAATACATTTCTGCTGTTTATTAATTACCCAGTCCAAGGTGTTTTGTTATAGCAGGCTGAAGGACCAAGACATATTCCCAGGTTTTCATTCCGTGATCTCAGAATCTTTCCACAAGCAAGCATAGGTTATCGTTTCTTATATGCCTTTTTGTAAAAATCAGGAAAACTGATTGCTTATTTCCCTTCTTGTCCCTTCAAAAACAAAAACAAAAATGAAAACAAAACAATGAGTAGCCACGTTGTAAGTCTCTTGTAAGCGATAGTCCTTTCTCATTTTGGATGTCAGCTGCCATCTGTGCTCTGCTAGTTTCCCGTTGGTCTTTAGGCCTCTGACCCGTTGTGGGATCTGGAAGTTCCTCTTCAGTCTTTGTCCCCTGCCTTAGTGTGTGTTCTTGCTTCTGGACTTAGAGTAAGCAGGAACTGTCTTCTCTTAGGAGGTTTTGTGTGAGTCCAGAGGCATCTTTCTCTAAGTCCTTCCAAGTTTCTTTCCTTCATTAGATTGATTTCTCTCCTTAGAATACCACCTTCAAATAGGGCTGTTTCTCCCATAATATCCAAGAATGTTTACTTTGTTCTTTAATTTGTCTTCATTTGATTGATTCTTTAAGAAATTCTTCACCTAAGTGCCAAGGGATCTAGGGTTCTGGGCTGTCTGATATCACAAAGCTTCGATCCTCTCCTGGCCCCGTGGCCGGATCTTCTCCTGGGCTGGACTCAAGGCCTGATCGTCTCGTGAGCCTGACCTCTCCTGGGCTGGTCCGGGGGCCTGATCCTCATGTCCTGTCTGCTGCTTGCCCTGGAGGAGCTGCAGTGGTGACAGCCCAGTCCCCCTGGCCTGATGTTGCCCAGATGCTTAGAGTTTACGTCTTCTTTTCTTTCTTCGTCCTAGTCTCTCTCTCCTATAAATGTTACATCCACCTCTCTCTTTCCTCCAAATATGGACCTGTTTCATTTTAAAAGTGGGAGGATGTCTAACTAAAGGCCCCCGGGATGGAATATTTGCATCCAGCAGGGACAGGGGCCCAGCTGAGCAGGTCTCCAAGTAGCTTACAACCTGCTGAGCAGGCTCCTGTGAAATATTCCAACAACTTACAGAGAGGAAACCGAGGCAGGAGAGGAGGGACATCACTTCACTGAGCACACCGCCTCTTGTTCTTACTGGTTAGAGGTCCAGCACCTGATACACAGGGAGGGCCCAGTGGCCCTAGAGCAGGCTGACTCATGGACCAGAGACCCTCTCACCTAGAAAAGTCAGCAGTTTCCTTTGAGCTGGTGCTGGAAGCTTTGGAAAGGGAAGGCTACCACCCAAATGGCCCCAGGACCAGCTCCTGCTGCTGACTCACCGAAGGGGTGAGAGGCCTCTGGTCGCTGGATGCCATGCAGCGGGACGTGTGGTGTTATAACGTTATTTGGTTTCACATGTGGGCCAGGACGCCAACAGGGCATGAAAACCCATGAAACGGATCCGTTGGAGGAGAAAGGACATCTCAGAACTCCATTCCCTACTGGGACATCTCCTGGATGCCTTTTCTATCTGAGAACTGGGCTTTTCCTCTTAGCAGAGCCAAGGCAGAGAGCAATGCTTTCCCAGATACTGAAAGTCACAATTGCTGGTTTTGGGGTTTATGCAGGTGTGTGCGAGGTTTGCTGGGCATTTGAAGTGTGCCTTCCAGGCTGATGTGTAGTAGAAAGGAGAACTTCTTGAAGAGTTATAAGTGTTCTACAGATACTCTATATTTTATTATGGGAACCCCAATACTAAGAAACCCAGCCTTCGCATTTAATGACACCACAGATTATTGAATTAATTCCTGTGGCTGCCGAAACAGATAGAAACAAACTAGAGGCTTAAAGCAACAGAAATGTATTCTCTCACAGTTCAGGAAGCCGGAAGTCCAAAATCAGGATGGCAGCAGCGTCTGGCTCCCTCCGAAGGCTCTTGGGGAGGGTCCCTCGTGCCTTTCCCAGCTCCTGGTGGTTCCAGGTGCTCCTTGGCTTGTGGCCTCATTGCTCCCATCTCTGCCTCCGTCCTCATGTTGCCTCCTGTTCTCCCTGTCTCTCCTCTCCTTTCTCTTACAAGGACACTTGTCATTGGATTTAGGCCCCCCTGCAAAAGCCAGGGTGATCTCATCTTGGGATACTTAATTTAGTTACATCAGCAGACTCTTCTTCTAAAATAAGGTCACCTTCGCAGGTTTCTAAGGTGGGGTGTGGACGGACCTTTTTGGGGTTCATCATTCAGCCGACTACAAGCATCTGTAGCAAGAAACACAGGGGCAGCTTTGTGGGTGGTTTTTCTGAATGGTTATTAGTGATCTTCTTTGCCAAAGAATGGATTTCTGTGGGTCCAGCTTTGTTTCTTTGAGGTTCTTCTCTTGTAGATCAGTGTCATTTGGGCCACATTAACAGTTACAAGGAAACCCAAGGGCGGGCACTTCCTGATAGAGAGAGAGTTTTTGTAGTAACTTAAAACTCAGAGAGAGGAGCAGGGGCCGTGCTCTTCGCTTTCAGTACGGCACATCTGGCTGCGGCAGTGGGTCTTATGCTGGCTGCTCATTGGAATCACCTGGAAGGCTTTGAGAAAACACCTGAGCCCCGGCCCCCAGACACGTTCAGACTGGACTGGCCCACAGGCCCTGCCCCTCCCCGCTCACCTGAGTTGTTTCTGGAGCTCACCTTCTCACTGTCTCTGCAGCGGCTACGGATGTTGGGATCATTATTACGAGTCGGACACCCTCTTGCACTCGTTTCAAGTCCTAGCGGCCCTTGTGGAGTCTCCCGTCACTCAGGACATCATCTGCGACGTGGGGATGTAAGTGCCAGTGTGAGTGTGGAAGGGCAAACCTGGGACAAAGGCAAGCTCAAGGGCATGACCCACCCAACCGGCCTCCATCCAGGGTGTGGAACATCCATGTGTCCAGGGATACGAAAGGCCTTATGCTTGAAAAGTGGGTTTTGTTCCTATCTCAGCCCCGTAAGCCACCTCATTTCCCCTGCAAGGAGGGAGCTCCTGAAAGCAGGATGTGTCAGTTCTTCCAGAAAGTCCTGTGCACACATCAGCAGACTCTGCACAAAGGGGAATGCAGCATTCACCCCACCCCGTGCAGAGAGCTTGACTCACATCACAGGGAGCCCTGGGGCTCATTCCATGTCCACATGTTGCCACACGGTTCCCATGTCCTAGGCTGCATATGTGTAGCTCCACAAGGAAGGCCTCTGCATGCTCCATGCTGGTGTCTGTGCTGTACCCTGCATCGCCGGTCCTTATGGAGGCCTCTGCACACGCTGTGCTGGTGTCTGTGCTGTACCCTGCATAGCCGGTCCCTATGGAGGCCTCTGCACGCTCTGTGCTGGTGTCTGTGCTGTACCCTGCATAGCTGGTCCCTATGGAGGCCTCTGCACACGCTGTGCTGGTGTCTGTGCTGTACCCTGCATAGCCAGTCCCTGTGGAGGCCTTTGTGTGTGCTGTGCTGGTGTCTGTGCGGTCCCTGCATAGCCGCCCCTATGGAGGCCTCTGCATGAGCTGTGCTGTGCCCTGCATAGCTGGTCCCTATGGAGGCCTCTGTGTGCGCTGTGCTGGCGTCTGTGCTGTCCCTGCATAGCCGGTCCCCTATGGAGGCCTCTGCTCACGCTGTGCTGGTGTCTGTGCTGTCCCTGCTTAGCCACCCCTATGGAGGCCTCTGTGTGTGCTGTGCTGGTGTCTGTGCTGTCCCTGCATAGCCGGTCCCCTATGGAGGCCTCTGCACGTGCTGTGCTGGTATCTGAGCCCTGCTTTGAATAGCCGGCTCCCTATGGAGGATGCTGTGCTGGAGTCTGTGCTGCGCACTCTGCATAGCCGTCCCCTATGGAGGCCTCTGCACATGTTCTGCTGGTGTCTGCTGCGCTCTGCATTGCCATCCCCTGTCACTGAACCTCGCATCGAGTCCTTTACGTCTCCTTCAGCCCCGCCTCATCCGGCATGGACGTGGCACCTTGGCTCGCTTCTTCCTTGGCATCTGCCTGGCACATATTCTCCTGCCACTCGCGTGCGACCCTCACCGTGACATTTGTGGACTGGGGCCTCTTCTAAGCAGCACATGGATGGGAATTTTAGTGCCCTGTTCACACGGATGATGCTAATTGGTCCTGTGGACTCTCTTAGTTTCCTTTTGCCGCTCTGATGAATTTCCATGGACACAAAACACACAAGCAACACCAGTCTTTTATCTAATGGTTCTGAAGGTCGGAGGTCAAGGGGTCAGGGGTCAGCAGCAAGCCTGGTTCCTTCCGGAGACACTCCAGGAGGATCTGCGTCCCTGCCTTCTCTAGCTTCCCTGGCCTGTGGCCCCTCCCAGCTGTGATGTCACCCCGACCCCCACGTCTGTTGTCGCAGTCCTCCTCTGACCCTCCCTTTTATGGGGACCCTTGCTGGCTGGCCCAGATTGTCCAGAATCATCTCCCATCTCAAGGCCTGTCACCTCATCACCCCTGCAGCGCCTCAGGTAACATAACACAGTCACAGGCTCCAGCAGTTAGGATGGGGACATCTTTGAGGGGCTGAGAGTCAGACGACCACAAGGACTTACTCTAGTCACTTCACCAAGTTTTCTATTCATTAGGTTTTCTTTTTTTTGTTTGTTTTTGTTTTTGTTTGTTTGAGACAGATTCTCACTCTGTTGTCCAGGCTGGAGTGCCATGGTGCCATCCTGGCTCACTGCAGCCTCGACCTCCTGGGCTTGAGTGATCCGTCCATCTCAGCCTCCTGAGTACCCGGGACTACAGGTGCACACCAGTACACCTGGCTAATTTTATTTTTTATTTTTCATAGAGACAGGGTCTCGCTATGTTGCCCAGGCTGGTTCTTTTTGGGTTTTGCCTTTTGTTGGTTCATTTTTGCTCAAACTTTTCCCCTGCTGACTTTGAATTTATCATCCTCTTTTCATTTTTCTACTTTTTACACTTAAATTTGTAACCATCATATTTGAAGGTATTTTTTCTTTTGAAATCTAGCATTTTTCTGGATTGGAGGCTCCATTGAACAAAACAAGAGTTTTATCATAATGTCATTGATAACTTCCATCCTGCATCGTTTCTTCAAACGGTCCTCAAGGAAGAGGGTGCTGAGTTGGGTCCCCGCCCTCTGTGGTTGGTGGTGCACCATCCTTAGTTCTGCTCCACAAGGGTTTGCCTTTATAAGCAAAATAAAGAAACAGAGTGGTGAATAGTTTTTTAAAAACGACTGTCTTATTTATTTGCTTTGCTCACTTACTGAGTTGAACTTTTTTTTGTTTGTTGGTGATTTATAACACTCTTCAATAGTTACCTGGTTTTTTGCCTACAACTGTTTTTGTCTCTTTTAATTTGAGTCCTTTATATGCGAAACATGTCAGTCCATTCCCACGTAAGGTAAAAATCCTTTTCCTGGTGCGTTGTTCGGTGTGTGACTTTGTTTTATGTGTTCAGTGGTAAAATGGTCACGTAGTGAAAGCGCCGCCCTGATCTGCTTTAGTTTGTTTCTGAGTTTGTTCTAGTGGCTTACTCCACTTAGAGATCAGATATTCACGGAGGGCCCGTATTTTATTTAAAACATCTATTTCTCTCACACTCTGGGCACACTTTGTCTAAGTGAGAACAAGTTTGTGTTCGTCAGGCATCTTCCATGGCAAGAACAGGAGCAAGAGAGAGAGGGGCGAGGTGCTACACACTTTTTTATTTATTTTTATTTATTTCTTTTTGAGACAGAGTCTCACTCTGTCGCACAGGCTGGAGTGCAGCGGTGCGATCTCGGCTCACTGCAACCTCTGCCACCCGGGTTCAAGCGATTCTCCTGCCTCAGCCTCCCAAGTAGCTGGGACTACAGGCATGCACCACCACACCCAGCTAATTTTTGTATTTTTAGTAGAGATGGGGTTTCATCATATTGGTCAAGCTGGTCTTGAACTCCTGACCTTGTGATCCGCCTGCCTCAGCCTCCCAAAGTGCTGGGATTACAGGCATGAGCCACAGCACCCAGTCGCTACACACTATTAAAACGACCAGATCTCATGAGAACCCACTCACTCACTGTCAGGAGAACAGCACGGAGGGGACAGTGCCAACCCATTCATAAGAACTCCGCCCCCACCAGGCCCCACCTCCAATGCTGGGGATTACAGTAGGACATGAGATTTGGTGGGGACCTGAATCCAGAACACATCGGAGAGGAATAGAAGCCATGATGGAGTGAGTCGCTTGTGGTGGCCGCAGCCAGGACCGGGGCAGGCAGTGGTGCCCCTGCATGCATCTTGCCCTTTCATCCCCATTTTTGGGAGGAAGAATCAAGGCTGATGTCAACCAGAAATAAAATTCTAAGGCCCTCCCAACCTTTTGAATGAACCGCTTCTCTCAGAGGGGCCCTCCAAGGTTAACCTGAAAGACGGGTTCAGGCCATGACTGGGAGTGGGGGGTGATCGGGGGTCGGACAGGCCTCATTTACCCTCCTCCCTTTTGGAAAAGCCGACCAGCATGAGCATCAACACAGACCTTAAGTCTCATAAGAAACATTTACAGTCTGTTCTCTCTGAAGCCTGCTACTTGGAGGTTTCATTTACATCATAAAACTTTGGTCTCCACAACCCGCTATCATAACCCAGACATTCCTTTCTATTGATAATAACTCTTTCAACCAATTGCCAGTCAGAACTGTTTAAATCCACCTATGGCCTGGAAGCCCGTCCCTGGCCCCCTCGAGTTGGTCCTGCCTTTCCAGTTCGAGCAGTGCCCATCTTGTATGTATTGAGTGACGTCTTCTGTCTCCCTGAAATGTGTACAAGCAGGCTGTGCCCTGACCACCGCAGGCACGTGTAGTTAGGACCCCCTCGGGCTGTGTCAGGAGTGCATCCTTCACCTGGGCAAAATAAATGTTCTAAATGGACTGAGACCTGTCTCAGATACTTTTGGGTTCACACCGGTTACTTAGCCAGTGGCAAGGCTGGAATTGGAACTCCACACCATCCACATTTGGTTTTTCTTCCCCTGAAACACTTTTGCTGTCGGGTCACACCTCTGGCAGGCGCCTGTGCTTTTCTTCGACACTGTGTCCTCTCAGTGCCCCTATGAGGGTCATCTTCCCCTTGTGCTGCCCTGATCTGGCCCAAACCTCCTGTCGGGTCACTCTGGTCCCCACTCGAGTGCCCCCAGCCAGGCCGCCCTCTCCTGCTATGGTCCCCTTATCTGCAGGGGGAGATGATAGGGTGTTGGCGAGGTGATGGGAGCGTGAAGCCAAGACCCAGTCCCGAGAAAGGGCCAGCCCGGAGCAGCAAATGGAGGGGTTCCACCTGTCCCAGGTGGTGGGTGGAAATGAGCTCAGGGCGGACAGGTGCTGAAAAGTGGATGCCTCAGGTTAGCATAAGGCAATTTGGAAGGGGAAGGGGAGGAGGCAACAGAGGCTGGAACATTCCAGGAGGAGAGGGAAGAACCCTGTGGTGGAATGAATTTGCCCTTCATTGAGAAGAAGCTCCTCTAGGCTTAGAGTCGGTGCTGCCTGGGTGGCAGAACCATCTCGGCTCCTTTTAGCTTTGATTTGAGGGTGCCACAGAAGAGCCTTGCAGTTCTCCGAAGGGATCGGAGGAAGCTTCGTAGTAAAGTAAAATGCATGATTCCAGAGCTGCAGCCGCTGCCTCCATGTGCTCTGTGTTTCATAACCGGGCAGACACACATGTACCTCCCCTCTCTCCTGCAGGCCTGTAATGCACCGAAACGTCCGCTACAACTGCAGAGTGATATTCCTCAACAGGTAGGCCCCCTGCCCCCACCCCGGGAGGGTGACTGGGGCCTCTCCCTGGCTCTCAGCTGAGGGCTGCCAGGACCCGTGCTGGTGCCCTGGGGACCCGTTGCTGGGAGGCTGCTTCTGGAAGTGCCCGGGCTTAGTGAGGGCCGATGCACCAGGCAGGTGATCCGGGTGCCTTTGCTTTTCTGGGTCTCAGCCACCACCGAGACAGGCATCATCAGGTATCAGAAGGAGAGAGACGCAGAGGGTGGGGGTGTGGGGACACAGGTCCTTGTGGCCTGGAAGCCAGTCCAGGTGAGCAAGTTCCCTTGGAGCGCCTGGTCACCAGCTGCTGGGGAGGCGCACACCTTCTGGGGCTTAGCTGCTTCATCGTTGACGGTCACGAATGGATGCAGCCATGGGGACCCGAGTCATAGAAAGCGGAAGCCCAGAGAAGGAGAGAGATTTGCTCGGGGCCCCATTCTCAAGCTGACTCTGCATGGCATCACCTCGTCACTTGGTGGCACTGACCACCGCCAGTGGCACGTTCATCTCAGGAGCCCGGTGTGCACAGCCCTGTTCCCCTGTCTGCAGGAAGATCCTGCTCATCAGACCCAAGATGGCCTTGGCCAATGAAGGCAACTACCGCGAGCTGCGCTGGTTCACCCCGTGGTCGAGGAGTCGGTGAGTCGGGTGCCTGACCACTCCTGGGATGTGCGTTAAGCACCTCCGCTGTGTGTAGCCTTGGGTCCTGATCATGGGAGTGTTACCGGTGGAGGGTGTCCAGGTTTTTGACATTTTGAACAAAGAATGGGACAAAAAGCACAAAGAAAGCCAAAAAAGAATGAAGCAACCAAAGGAGAGAGTGATTGAAAATGAAAGCCCCCTCCACAGGGTGGGAGCAGCCCCGGCAGGGGCTCAGGGCGCGGTTACACAATGTCCCGGGGTTTAAATATCCTCTAGAGGCTTCCCATCGGTTACTTGGTGTGAGCCCCATGTAAATGAAGAGGCTGAAGTGGAGTTACAAAGTTATTTACTTGGTGTACACACTATGCAAATAAAAAGGGTGTTTCCTGTCTGAAGTAGTTACAAAGTTATTTACTTGGTCTTAGAAAGCTGGGGTTTTGGGCTGGGCACGGTGGCTCACGCCTGTAATCCCAGCACTTTGGGAGGCCGAGGTGGGCGGATCACGATGTCAGGAGATCGAGACCATCCTGGCTAACACGGTGAAACCCCATCTCTACTAAAAATACAAAAAATTAGCTGGGCGTGGTGGTGGGCACCTGTAGTCCCAGCTACTCGGGAGGCTGAGGCAGGAGAATGGCATGAACCCAGGAGGCAAGAGCTTGCAGTGAGCCGAGATTGCGCCACTGCACTCCAGCCTGAGCAACAGAGCGAGACTCTGTCTCAAAAAAAAAAAAAAAAAAAAAAAAAAGAGCGGGGTTTTTCTGTTTGATTTAGTTCTAGGAAGTGCTTAGGTTCCCTGCCCCCAGACCCTATTCTACCTCAGCAGTGTCACAGATATCGACTAGCTGGGGCCAATGGTGCAGGCAGTAAAGGAATTTACCAAGACAGTTGTAGGTAAAGAGAGGCAGATTTATTAGAGAAGGTATGAAAGTATGTTACAATATCGCAACAGGCAGCACAGCAGAGAAGGGGCTGTCTGCAGAGAGGCAGGGGCTGGAGGGAAGTTTTATAGCATTGTGCTGGAGGGGGCTACATTGGGGATGAGGTAGAACTGCGGGGGCCACTGCGGAAGGAGGTCATTGTGCCTGTGTAGGACATTGTGCCCTCAGAACAACTGTTCATTGTTCTCCACATCTGGGGCCCCATACTCATTGCTTCCTTATCTGATCAGGCCTCTGCAAGTAGAAGATGCACAGAAACATGGACTAGGGTCTCCATCCCCTGGTGCCAGTCCCTTATATGCCTGATTTGATGCTGCTGATTAAATTGTAGCCATGTTCAGCGCAGATCACATGGAACTCTCAGTCATCAATCAGGGATATCAGTCATGTTAGGTGAAGTGCCACTTCCATCTTGAATGATACTGAATTTCCATCTTCACCCGGTTGACATTTGGGTCATTCTTTGTCATGGGGCGTCGGCCATGTGCATCCTCAGGCATTTACTGGCATAGCTGGTCTCCCCACAGATGCTCCCAGTTGTGACAACCAAAAATGTCCCCAGACATTACCAGATGTCCCCTGGGGGGTAAAATGCCCCGGTTGAGAAATTCTACTCTCCATTTTTATTACAGTTATTTCTGTTTTTTATTGTTGTTATTGTAAATGGACTCTTTAATATTATATTTTTAAGTGGTTAATTTTTTATATAGGAAAACTTGATTTTTATGTTGCTTTTGTAATTGACTACCTCATTAAATTCTCCTATTGTGTCTGTTGGTTAGTCTGTTGATTTTTGTAGTTTTTCTTTTAAGTTGAACTTATATAATATACAATGAATTTTCCTTTTCCTTTCCAGTATTTGCACCTCTTGGTTCATTTTCTTAACTTTTGTTGGCCAGCATTTCTAGAACAATGTTCTAGATCATTTCTGGAGCAAAATTCTTTGCTAATGGGCAATTTCGTCTTTTTCCTGACTTTCCTTGGAAAGCTCTTCATGTTTCTGCATTTGATTTGGGGCTTATATCTATCTCTAGCTAGTCTTACTTCAGGTTTTTAAAAATTGAGAATGGATGTTGAGTTTATCCCATGTCTTTTTAGCATATGTTGAGGTGAAGATAAAGTAAATCTTTGCTTTCTAATGTCTCCAGAAAAAAAAAGCGCCATCTTTTGATCTCCTAGGCTGAGCACCTACACTCAGCCACTTGGACTTTCACTTAACATGCCCCCATCCTCAGCCTCTAGACCTCAAGACCACCCCTTTCCCTGTCCCCTGTCTCCCAGGCCTAGTGTTCTGGTGCCCAGGGTCTGTCTGGTGCACTCTGGTTCCCAGTGGGATGATGTGCTGGGCCTGGGAGGTGGTCCAGGTATCGTTTGCTTCTGGCTCTGCCTCACCCCGCCCTCTAGAGCCTGGTGCTGCCAGACACGGGCTGCAAGATCTCCGTGGGTGGATGGCTTTGCTTCTCATGGCCACTCTCTTCTGCAGGCTCCAAGGCTGTAATTTCACTCTCTCTGCCAGCAGAGGTGGAGAGATGTCTGTTGCTGCTCCCTCGCGGTTCACTTTCTGTCTTGCAGGTGGAATCGTTGCCCGCTCTTGTCTGCCACTCACTCCTTTGCTGCTTTGCCATTTCTGACTCCAGGGCAGTTCCAGAACCGGAATGACCCTCATAACTGAAGCCATTAGTATGTCGGATACAATATGTATGCATTTATGTCTCATTTTCAAATGTGCACCACTGAGCTGGCAGGAAAGTACAGAATACATTGAGCCTAAAAACAGTGAAACTGGAGACCCTGGGACCCTGGGCGCAAAGCTGGCTTTTGCCCCAAGGGTTTCCTACGCCTGGAGACCTTGAGTTTTATTGTTGATAACTTCATGGAACTGGAGGTGGGGGGGTGGGCAGGAGATCCAATAGGAGACACCTCTGAATGCTGTAGCTACAGATGGCTCACACTAAAACCGTGACTGAGACATAAGTCCACTGCACAGAGAGGGAAGGCTGAACACATGCCTCCCTCAATCTGGTGCTTGGTGGAGGGGGAGAGATGTTGCCTAGAAATTGACAGCCTTTGTGCTGGAAACCTCCCTACCTGTGTAGTATAAGACTCAGGAGAATAAGTTAATTCCATGTGGACCCAAGATGAGTTCAGGAAGTGTCCAGTCTCCAGGCAATAGACCTTCCAGAAGTTACTGTAGCACCCGCAGGCGCTGGGCACAGGCAAACAGACGTCTCTCTGGAGAAATTCACCTTCAATCCAGGCTGCTCCGAATTTCTAGACGTGACATTTAAGGAAAATGAGAAGCTCAGAGTCCAGTCATAAAACATACAAGGAAATAAGGCACAATGAGTCAGAACCAGCAAAAAAAATACAGTAGACGCAGATGTGAAAGCTCAACACAGAATAGAAGATAAGTGTTCCTAATACACTGAAGTAAATTGATGAGAAGCTCAAAAGGTAAGAAGCAGCCAATCAGAATTAGAAAAAGAGCCAAATAATAATGTGAATGAATAACAAGTAAGTTAAACATAGTTGAATAGAGAGGTATGGAACTGAAAGATAGACCTCTCCCTGCAATTATCCAGAATTTAAGCCTTAAAGAAAATCTGATGAAAACCTAAGAGACATTAAGAAACATGAGAAAAGGGTGAAAGTGGATAACAAGGGTGGAATTCTTGTCTCAGAAGGAGATAATGGAGGTTATAGAGAAGAGGCGGTATTTGAAAGAAAATGGAAACATCCATAAGATGTTTAAAAGATGCTGTTCTCAGATACACTAACTGCAACAGATCTCAACAGGATAAACAAATAGAAATTCACATCTAGAAACATTCTTGTGAAACCGCAGAACACTAAAGACACAGAGAAATTCTCAAAAGTAGCCAAAAGGGAAAAAGACAAATTGCCCGCAGAGATTCAGCAGCTAGAGCAACTCCTGCTTCGTAGTGGTGAAGCCTGGAGCCAGGAGACGGTGGCTGGAAAAAATCCGAGGAGAGAGTCACCGGCAGCCAGGAGTGTTAGAATCAGTAAATGCATCCTTTAAGAACAAGGACAAAATCAAGACATTTTCACACAAGCAAAAACAGTTTTTTATCATTAAAAGACTCATTAGTGGAAATTCTGAACATGTACGTTAGGCAGAAGGAAAATCATCCTAGCAGAAGCCTCGAAATTTCAAAAGGATTGGTGAAAAAGGATATTGATAAATTTGTGGATACGTGTCAACAAATGGGACTGTATGAAACATAATGTCTAGTGTGTAGTAAAAAGTAGGCCAGCCCTAAATCACTGCATAGCTGTGCGTGTAAATTAGGGCAATGCTCTGTAGGAGGGTAAAGATAAAGATACTGATCAATTTTTGACTTTAGTTGAGAGACACAGAAAATTTCTAGGGTAGCCACTAAAAGAAAAGATATAGAACATATGATTGTCAAAATAGCAGGCAGAAGAAAAGAAGACTAAAAAGGAAAAAATGAAATAATTCCAAATAAAGCATAAATGGAAGTGAGTTCTTTAAAAGTCCAGTAGAAAAAGTAGGACTCAGAGATAGCACATAAGACAGAATAAATCTGTCAGTAGTCACTACAAATAAAAATGGATACAATAATTTGATTAAAAGACAGAGGTCATTATTCTGGATTAAATGAAAATCCAGGAATAGGCTGAAACCATATTGTAATTAACAATACATTTTGGCAAGTTTGCTGGATGATAAAACCAACCAAAAGCCAGGTTCATTTCATTTACCAGCAACATTCAGTCAGAACATGTAACTTTAAGAAAGATACCATTTATGACAGCAGGAAAAGTGCTTATGGCTAACTATAACCAGAGATGTGTAAGCCCTGTATGGGAAAAAATGATAAAATTTTATGGGAGGGCATTATTGACTACTGAGCTAAATGGAGATTGCCTGTGTGTGTGAAAAGGAAGGCACAGTGTGAAAAGCATTCATCTCCCCTAAGTTGATCTGTGGATTCAGTGTAGTTTCCATAAGAATCTGAACAGGAAATTCAATAAACTGGCTCTAATATTTCCATGGAAGAGCAAAAGGCCACAAATAGCTAAGATACTCATGAAGACCAAACGAAAGGCCAGGTGTGGTGGCTCATGCCTGTAATCCCAGCACTTTGGGAGGCCAAAGTGGTCAGAAGTTCAGGATTCGAGACCAGCTCAGAAGTTCGAGACCAGCCTGGGCAACGTGGTGAAACCCCCTCTCTACCAAAGAAAATACAAAAATCAGCTGGGCGTTGTGGTGTGCACCTGTGGTCCTAGCTGCCAGGACCAGCTTGGTTGTGGAGACCCTAATCCCGCAGCACTAGAGGAATTAAAGACACACACAGAGAAATGTAGAGTGTGGAGTGGGAATCAGGGGGCTGACAACCTTCAGAGCTGAGAGCCATGAACAGAGTTTTACCCACATATTTATTGACAGCAAGCCAGTGATAAGCATTGTTTCTTTAGATTATAGATTAAAACGGGAAACAAAGGGATGGGCTCTGGCTAGTTATCTGCAGCAGGAACATGTCCTTAAGGCACAGATCACTCATGCTATTGTTTGTGGTTCAGGAACGCCTTAAGTGGTTTTCCGCCCTGGGTGGGCCAGGTGTTTGTTGCCCTCATTCTGGGAAGCCAACAACCTTCAGCATGGGCGTCATAGCCATCACGAGCATGTCACAGTGCTGCAGAGATTTTGTTTATAGATCTGGGGGCCTGTTCCCAACACCAGCTACCTGGGATGCTGAAGTGGGAGGATCACTTGAGCCCATGAGGTTGAGCCTGCAGCAAACTGTGATTGTGCCACTACTCTCTAGCCCAGAAGACAGAACAAGAGCCTGTCTCAGAAAAAAAAAAAAAAAAAGACGTGTGTTAGTCCGTTTTCATGCTGCTGATAAAGACATACCCAAGACTGGGTAATTTGTAAAGAAAAAGAACTTTAATAAACTCACAGTTCCATGTGGCTGGGGAGGCCTCACAATCACGGCAGAAGGCGAAAGCCATGTCTTACATAGCGGCAGACAAGAGAGAATGAGAGCCAAGCAAAAAGGGAAACCCATTGTAAAAGCATCAAATCTCCTAAGGCTTACTGCCATGAGAACAGTATGGGGGAACCTGCCCCATGATTCAATTATCTCCCACCGGGTCCCTCCCACAACATGTGGGAATTACAGGAGCTATGATTCAAGATGAGATTTGGGTGGGGACACAGCCAGACCATATCAGCGCACCTGGGTGCATGAGTGATCTGTGCCTTAAGGACATGTTCCTGTGTTGAAGTACAAAGATAGGCAAGATTTGATGCGGGGAGCACTTCCAAGGAGAGAGCAGCGCACGCTGGGGGCTCGGAGGTCCAGGCGATGCTCTGCTCCTTCACCTGGGTACTGTGTGCACTGGGCTTATTTTAATATCCTTTAATTACACATGTGTGCCTTGGTACTCTTTTGCATAATATATTTTGCAATAAAATTAATCCATAAAGGAAGTCTGTGGCCAAACAGATTTTAGCATTTCTGCAGGAGCCAGCTTTTCCTGCTTAGGTGCCGTGGGATGTCTCTATTACTCCTGAGGTTCAGTAGCTCCAGCAAATGGCTTGGGGATTCTCCTTATTTTTTATGATACCTGTAAGGTTTTTTGACTCCACATTCAGGTCTTCTTATTTCAGGAAAGTTTACCTATTTTCTGCTTCCAAAGGCTTTCGTTCTTTTGCTTCTGTTCTGTTCTTCAGGAACCTCGATGGCTGGCAAGTGACATGTCTGTGTCTGCCTGCCTTATCTTTCATCTTCTTTCTAACCATCACTGTCTTCGTTTATTTGTATTTTTTTTCTGGCAGTTTCATTCCCCTGAATTTGTCTTCTCTGCAGTGCTCTTCACAGGGCTCTATCCTGTGCTTTGTTTTCTTATCTGCAAGTATTTTAAGACTTCAAATTCTTTTCTTAGTTGTAAACTTATCTCCTGTCATTTATTTGTGCTTTTGTTGAGAAATTTTATCAGTTGATGTTGTCTTTAGGATTTCAGAGCATAAGTGTGGGGCTCCTGTTCCTTCTTCCCCGTTCGTCTCATGAACGCCTCGGTGTCAGGTGTCACACTGGGCCCTCTGGGATGGTATTCCTTTCATCCCCGTGGAAGAGGTGGCAGGAAGGTGAGGCTGGAGCCCACCAGAAGCAACTGTACATTTTGGTTCACTTAGAGAAAGCTGAGGTTTCTAATCCTCTGGGAGCTGTGCCGAATGATGACAAGAAATGGTCATGTTCAGCATGCCCCTGCTTTAGTAAAGAGTACTTGGCAGGCTCAAGGAGCCATTCCAGGTTCCAGGTCCTCTTAGGAAAACATAACTAAGGCCTGGTCCTTGCCTGCAGAGAGCCATCCTCAAGGTGTGCGCTGGCTGTGGAGCACAGCTGCAGTGAGGAGCAAGGCCGGGTACATGCCTGTCCCGCTGGGTCTTTGTTCCGGTGTCCAGGGTGTCTTTGCATGAGTCGAGGGAAAGGTGCAGATGAAGGGAGAGATGTTTGGACGGTTCCTGCATTTAAAATGCATTTCGGTGCAGCAGCATCGCCGTCAACAGGCTACAGAGGGTGAATGGAGTGCTCAATATGGGATGGCGAGGCAGCCTGCAGTTCTGTAGGATATCTTCCTGTCCCCGTTCCCTACGTGAATGAGGGGGAAAGACATCATTGACTCAGTTTCTCAACCTTTAACATTTCTTAAGTAGAGAGAACTACTAAAACCATGCCCAGAAGGCTCCTGGGAATTCTAAGAAAGCAAAAAGGAAACGGAGTTCCTTGCAGATCTGAGTGGTGCATCTCGTAACAGCCTATTGGAAGTCAAATGCGTGAACTGTCTGTTTTGAAGATTCCGCCTCTTGGTGGAGCTTCTTGGGACACCTTGCACTAAAGTTGGTATTAAACCCTCCTCCTGATTTCTCGAATTGAGAGCATCATTTTATTCCAGGGATGATACTGGTTTGTCATTGTGTTTCGGGTTAATGCCACACGATTTTTCTGATTCAGTAACAGCGATCAGGAATTCCACCTGGATTTCTCCATGAGGCAACGTGGCCAGTTCTCAGCAAATCCCCTGTGACACATCTCTCAGTAAAGATGAACATGAGCGTGTGGGGAAACTGAGGCAGCCCGAAGCTCGGAGAGCCCAGCCCACCACCATGTCACATAGTCTCCTCAAGCCACCTTCATACTCTTTTCTTTTTACCTGAATGCGATTGTTTATTGCATTGGGGGGAACGCTTGGCAGTTCCTTTGCCAGTTCATCAGTTCGGAGGGTTCAGTTTGAGTTTTGTTTAAATGTAGCCGCCATTCCTCATTTGTCCTGAGATGCTCATCCTCAGCTCCTCGGTGTTTTCCTCTCCAGGCACACAGAGGAGTACTTTCTGCCTCGGATGATACAGGACCTGACAAAGCAGGTGAGTCCCTGGGTGTGGAGCCCGTTTTTCAGTCGGTTGTCGCTGTTCTCGGCCAACAGTGGACCAGGTGGGGCGGGAACGCTTTGGGATCCAGGTAATGGAAGGCACCACAGTGCTCACAGGTCTGAAACAGACAAAGGAGGCAGGTTCCTATAGTGAGGGGGGCTGCGTGGCCAGACAGCAGCCAGGGTGGCTCCTCCTTGCCTTGGGGCTGCTTTTCCTCCCTTCCCCCACTCACACTGGCTTCCTCCTCTTCATTTCCTCCTTGTGGCAGAAGACAGCCTTCTCCATCCCCAGGGGCTATGTTCTGACATTTAAGTGTTATCTAGACCAACAGCAAAATGCCCTACTCTCAATTTTGAATTCTAAGGGAAGGCACCCTGGTGTCCCCTCTCAGCCACTGCCTTGTGGCTGGGAGTGGGGGCCTAGCTTCATCAGCACAGGGCAGCAGCTGCTTCAGTGTGATCACAGGACAGGGTCGCTTCAGAAGCTGCTGGCCCCAATTGGCAGCCCCATCGATGTCCGTGACATTCTGCCCCTTGGCTGCTCAGAGTACAGGCGTCCCCTTCTTCCACACATAGGCTCCTAAGGGCGTCTCTGCCTGGCACCACCCGGTGTCCCATGCGCAGCCGCAGGGCACCCACCTCTTCGGAATGTGCGAGAGCCCAGAGCCAACTCCAGCTCTTGTGGCTGCAGGATGTCCGTGGCCCTAGGTAGTGCGTGGCCCAGACAGGGCATGGCTAGTGAATCTCATGCACTCTTCTCTTCCGACTGCAGGAAACCGTACCCTTCGGAGATGCGGTGCTGGTGACATGGGACACCTGCATTGGAAGTGAGATCTGTGAGGAGCTCTGGACACCCCACAGGTCAGCCCCATGCCCCTGTGCTGTCTGATCGCCCACCTCATATGGGCCAGCTGGGAGGACCTGGGACTGCAGACGTCCTGGGGCCGTGGCCGTGGCCGTGGCCGTGGGCTGGGAGCTGCCGTGGGAGAGTGCAAGGGGCTGCCAGGGAGGCTGGTTTGGAGGAGTCTGGTGGCCTGTTCTCTTCACCTGCCTCTGCCTGCAGCCCGCACATCGACATGGGCCTGGATGGCGTGGAGATCATCACCAACGCCTCGGGCAGCCACCAAGTGCTGCGCAAAGCCAACACCAGGGTGGATCTCGTGACTATGGTCACCAGCAAGGTAGGGGCTGGGCCAGGGAGCGTGCGCCACAGGGCAGACACTGTATCTCAAGAACTCCTGCATCCTCAGTGCCCATCGCAGGGCTGGGCCCACACACAATGGATGTTCCAGGCTAGTAATTATGGCCTGGACTCAACAAGTGTGCCCTGCTGCCCTCCAGGGCTTCGCCGGCACAGCCCATCTCACCCACGCAGCCACCCTATGAAGCAACCCTGTCACCCTCTCTGCCATGACCAGGAACCGGAACGTGCTCCTTGTTCGTTGGCATCATGGTGAGGCGTAGGGAACACCCGTACGTTTGCTGCTCCTGCTGTTGGGCAGTGAGACGTGCGAGGGGCAGTGCTGGTTCATCCTTCACGGGGCAGATGTGGGTCTAGCTGAGCCGCGTTTGAGTCTTGGCTTCATCATGCAGAGCTTTCTTTGGCTTGTCTGAACCTCATCATGCCTGAGGGAGGTGATGGGGTCTGCCTTGTAGGGTTGTTGTGAAGGAAAAACAAATGTTTTGTGTAGAGCCTGGCACCTAGCAAGGCGGGGCTCGCCGCAGCTTCACAGGTCTGTGCTTCCCCACACATATGCGTTATCTCTGCGGTGGTGGGACCACTCAGGATGACCTAGCGGGACTCGGCGGAGGTTCCTGTACTTGGGCAGGTGGCAGGTGAGGGTGGTGGACACAGCTGACCACTCCGCTATGGGGTCCTCCTTTTTCAGAACGGTGGGATTTACTTGCTGGCCAACCAGAAGGGTTGTGACGGGGACCGCCTGTACTACGACGGCTGTGCCATGATTGCCATGAACGGAAGCGTCTTTGCTCAAGGATCCCAGTTTTCTCTGGATGACGTGGTAATGAGCGGGCCTGGACATGCCTGGGGGAGGGTTCTCTGTGCAGAGACCGAGCTCCTGGCTCTCCCCTGTAAGCCGGGTGCTTAGTGAGGGCCCCTGTGGAGAAGCCCCCGGGGGTCCCGCCTGCTCCTGGCTCTCCCCTGTAAGCCGGGCGCTTAGTGAGGGCCCCTGTGGAGAAGCCCCCGGGGGTCCCGCCTGCTCCTGGCTCTCCCCTGTAAGCCGGGTGCTTAGTGAGGGCCCCTGTGGAGAAGCCCCCAGGGGTCCCGCCTGCTCTGATGGCCTCAAATTTACCTGGTTGGTGAGGGGGGACCTCCCGCCCTCGGGTCTGGAGACAGCTGAACCCCGACACACAGCACATAGTAGTGGACGGATGAGGTTGAGGGCAGCTTACGAGTCCTGCGTTCCCACAGTGCGGGAGGAGGGCTCCGTGCCACGCAGGGCCAGGTGGGAGTGTGCTCAGGAACAGAGGGGACGGCCCCCGCTGTGGGAGGCGGGCTCTGTGGTGATGAGAGGATGGGTGCCGCCTGGCCCCTGCGGGTGGGTGTCGTTGGTTTGTTTGAATTCCGAGGGCTGGCAGGGAACCAAAGCCACTCCTTTGAAATTAGCAGGCTCCATGGCCCCTGAGACAGGTCCAGGGATCCCATGTATGGTGAGGCCGTTCAAGGCCCTGTCTGTCTTCCTTGGGTGTTGAGGCCACATATACTCATCTGAGGCCTTATGCCACGCTGCCCCTGAGTCCTGGGAAGCAGAAGTGGAGACCCCAGGACACTCTGGTCAGGGAGGCTTTGTTCTGTGGGGATCTCTGAGCACACAGCGGCCAGCTGCGTGAGGGAGGGCCCTGGGGGAGCTGTGAGTTACAGGTCGGAAGCGCCATTGCTATCCCGAAGCGACACAGATATGTGGGTGCTCCGAGGAAGGAGATGACAGAGAACAAAGCTAAGAACCCTGCTTGGCACATTCCTCACCAGCAACTGAGCTGCCGCTTGGAATGGGGTTCAGGACCTTGTTGGGGCCCCAGATTCCTTTGGGAAGCTGATGAAAGCTCTGCACATTCTGCGGCTAAAGATGCGCATTAGCACAGGGCAAGGCTTCCCAGGTAATCGTTATCGCCATGGAGGCAAACTTCCTCCACAGAGAAGGGACCACAGTTGGAAAGTCCTTGGGGAGGTTTGGGCCACTCTCCCTTTCGGTTGTTTGTTTGTTTTTGAGATGGAGTCTTGCTCTGTCACCCAGGCTGGAGTGCAGTGGCGCAATCTTGGCTCGCTGCAACCTCCGCCCCATGTTAAAGCAATTCTGCCTCAGCCTCCCAAGTAGCTGGGACTACAGACCCATGCTGCCATGCCCAGCTAATTTTTTTGTATTTACTTAGTAGAGACAGGGTTTCACTGTGTTGCCCCGGCTGGTCGCAAACTCCTGAGCTCAGGCAATCCACGCACCTCAGCCTCCCAAAGTGCTGGGATTACAGGTGTGAGCCACCGCACCCGGCCTCTCTTTCTGTTTTTGAAGCAAACAAGAAAAAATGGGCTATTATTGCCACAAATGGAAACAAATCCCAAGTGCACAAATACAACAAAAAGTAACTTTTAGTTCTGCCCCAAGCCGGCGTGGGTGGGAGCGTCTCCACTCTCGGGCTCAGACCACACGCGGGTCCACAGCACTGCCTCCCACACACAGCATTGCCTGACTCGTCTTTGGACCCGACGGCCTTCCACTCTGCTCTTGTTGGGAATGGGCATTAAAGCAGCGGATTCACCGAGGCAGGCGGTAGCACCGGAGGCGAGTTCTGCAGCTGGCTTTGCAGGAGCAGGGCGAGCTTGTGTCCTGGCGTCGCCGACTCTGCGAGGCTGTCTGAGCAGTTCATTGCTTTGCTCCCGCTGCGTTCCCATCCTCATGATTCTGTCTGGTGCTTTCTGCACAGCATAGGTGTGGTCAGCACGGAGGCGGTTACAAAACCAAACCAGTTTCATAGTGGACCAAGTGAACTTCACCCTGAACAAGAATTCCACGGTCTTTTCAGGGGTTTCTTGCACGGGGGCAGGCAAGGGTGTGGCCGTCTCGACTCCAGGCCCTGCTTTCCACATGACAGTGTCCCCAGAGGCCTCCTTGCGCTTCATCATTAACCGCGACAGAGCTGGAAGGGCTTTGAAGAGAAGGATTAAGTTCCTGCTGATGGGAAGTGTGGTCCTCTCCCCGTTCACGTCAGAGCCACAGGCACATTGGTGGTCGTGTTGATTGGCAGGTGTGTTGGCAATCAATCACCTGCCCCAGGACCCCCGCAGGTTCCCGGCCCCACATCAAGCCACCAAATCGGAGTCCTCGGGGGTCTGTATATTTAGTGAGCACCAGGCAGTTGTTTCGTGCATTAGAATCCGGGAGCCGTTGCCTTACACGTCTCTAGAGTTCCTGATGTTGCCTGAGAGCTCCGTCGTAGGCTGTGGCCACAGGCCTGCTGTATTCAGAGTGGCCGCGCTGTCCTCAGGCTCGGGCCACTGCCCTCCACCAGGTCCTCCGTGGTGCACCTGAAATGGTCAACAGAAGTCTTGTGACACGTGGAATCATTTCAGAGTCACCCCTTCTGCCTCCTGCTCAAGCAACAGACCTGCCGATCACCCCCGTCGGGCCCGCGTTTCTCAGGGTCTTCCTAATCCCCTGGGCTTTCCGGCTTGTCGTGTGCCTGGAGTCAGGCCGCCGTGCGGCAGGCTGTTAACCTAGCCTCGGGGAGAGTGGGATGGAGCCACCTTCTCATGGAACGATCCTCGCCTTCCCTCATCTCCATTGTTTTATGGCTTCACACGGACCGTGGCTTTCTGCATGGAAGCTTGGTGGCCAGGGTGCTGTCACTTTGGGAAGCAGCCAGAGAACCACAGGATGCGTGAATCGGTCTCCTTGTCTTCATGGGCATCTCCGGCCAGGTATGGCCCCCTGTTACGGCGGTAGGAGCAAGGGGCGCGCAAGGTGGCCACGGCCATCCTGTGAACCGCCGCAGTGGTGCAGGTGCTGTTCCCGCTGTCCCACACTCGTGTTTAGCAAGGCAACACTCAGGAACACAATTTGATAAAGATATTTTTTCATGAAGGAATAACCCCTATGAGTTAAAACCTCATTTCTGCATATACCGCAATTGGCAGAACCCCTACCATAGCCGGGTTCAAAGGCAGGGCAGTGTCACCTCCTGTGACACAGGCAGCACGTCCAGGCCAAGACCCTGGTGTGGATGCCGGGGCTGCGGCTCCGCCTCTGCCCTCCCCCAGCTCCATCCTCCTTTGTGTTGGCCTCAGTCTCAGGTTGCTTCTCCAGCTCCGCCCTCCTCTGTGTTGGCCTGTCTCAGATTGCCTCTCCTCGTGGGCATGGGATGTTTGCCCCAGCTCCAGCCATCCCATCTTCACACAGCCACATGCAGAGGCAGCAAAGTGGCCTTGGCTCCTTGCGTGTCTTTTTGATGAGAGGGGTGTTCCCAGAAGTCGCTGGCAGAGGCTTACTGACACTGGGGTGTCTTACTGACAGGGGTGTGTCTTACTGACATGGGGGTGTCTTACTGACATGGGGGTGTCTTACTGACAGGGGTGTCTTACTGACAGGGGTGTGTCTTACTGACGGGGTGTGTCTTATTGACAGGGTGGTGTCTTGTGCTGTGATTAGTGGGTCACTGGCAAGTGTCTGAATGAAGTGGAGGTTCCGGTGGCAACAGTGACGGGGAAGGGCTATGGGTCCGCCTCAATGTCATCTGCCCCATCCCTGGGCCTCCAGGAATCCAGGGTCTCAGCCCCTGCTTTAGAAGGTGTGACAACACCTTTGACAGTGGCCAAATTACACGTGGGAGTTGAACAAACGGGAAATCACGGGTTCTCTTTGAAATTTCCTTCTCCAGGAAGTCCTGACGGCCACGCTGGATCTGGAGGACGTCCGGAGCTACAGGGCGGAGATTTCATCTCGAAACCTGGCGGTGAGTGCTCCAGTAGACACCTGTGTGGGATGCTCATCAAAGACGTGGAAAGTGGCCCCATTCGTGCGGGCCTGGTGGAGGCCGTGAGGGTGCAGTGCCTGAAAAGTCTGACAGGGAAGTTCCGGACTTCCCGAGCGTGGAAAGGGGCTGGTGCCGCAGACAGAACCTGCTTCCATCTGTTCCCCGTCATCCTCTGCTTGGGCCAGGCCCTGAGCTGGGGTGAGCTGGGGACAGGCAGGCAGAGAGGCTGACGAGACAGTCAGCGTGCTAGGGGCTGCCACACAAGGAAGACCCAAGCAGCCTTGGAGCCCAGGAAGGCCTCAAGGTGAGGGGTGGCAAGCGTGGTAGGAACAGGCACACAGTGTGCAGCCGAGGCTGGTCCCCACTTCGGCAGTTGGAGGCAAGGTCCAAGGCACAAGTGAGCCTGTGTCTGAGACCCTGGGATGCAAGTAACGCCCCTCCTGCAGCCCGAGGTCCTGCTGCTGGTAACCTGGAGCTCTGCGTTTCTGCAGGACATCGTCACAAATAGGATGTCCAACTGAGCAGCTGTCATGAGACAGTGATTTTTGCAAACATTGAAGAAGTGTGATGCTCATAACAGAGCGGACTCTTCTGCTGTTGATTGATTGAGACAGGGTCTCATTCCATCGCCCAGGCTTGAGTGCAGTGGTACCATCACAGCTCACCGCAGCCTGGACCTCTGGGGCTCAAGTGATCCTCCCACCTCAGCCTCCTGAGTAGCTGAGACAACAGACACACACCACCATGCCCAACTAATTTTTGATTTTTTTTAATTTTTTTTTTTTTTTAGAGACAGAGTCTCACTATGTTGCCTAGGATGGTCTTGAACTCCTGGGCTAAAGCAATCCTCTTGCCTCGGCCTCCCAAAGTGTTGGAATTACAGGCGTGAACTACCGTGCCCAGCCTTTTTTTCATAGCAGTTTTATTAAGTTGTATTTGCCATACCACCCAATGTATCCATTTAAGCACCTGATTCAGTGGTTTTTCATGTACTCATGGAGTTATGCAGCCACAATCTTAGCGCATTTTCATTACCCCAAAAAGAAACTGTACCCATTATGCACCCCGTTCCCCTCCTCCGGTCCTGGCAACCACAAGTCTACTGTCTGTCTTCATGGATTTGCCTATTCTCGACGTTTCATTGGGATGAAATCACACAGTGTATGGCTTCCACACTTTACTGTGCTGTTGTCAAGGTTTATCTATGTGTTGGGTGCAGCCACCCCTTGGTATCCACAGGGATTGGACCCAGGAGCCTGCACCGATCCCCTGCAGGGATGCCTGTGTCCCACAGTGCCCCCTGCAAAACTCACTGATATGAAGAGTCGGCCCTCTGTATCCATGGGCTTCAGATCCTGTGATTACTGTATCTTCTGTCTGTGTGCAGTTGAATCTGCGGGTGTAGAACCCACAGACACAGGGAGTGGCTGTAGCTTATCCCTTTGTATGGTCAGAGAGTGTTCCGTAGCGGGGATGGACACGTGTTCATTCACTCTTCCACTGATGGGCATCGGGAATGTTTCCACTTTCTGTCTATCATTAACAATTCTGCTACAAACATACATGTACTTCTGTTGGAGGGGACACATGTTTTCATTTCTCTTGGGTGTGTCTATCCAGGAGTGGAATTGGCTGGGTCTTATGGTAACTCTGTTAACTGTTTTTTGCTTTTTGGTTTTTTGTTTGTTTTTTGAGACGGAGTTTCACCCTTGCTGTGAACTACCATAGGCTGGAGTACAATGGCGCAATCCCAGCTCAGCACAACCTCTGCCTCGTAGATTCAAGTGAGTCTCCGGTCTCAGCCTCCCTAGTAGCTGGGATTACAGGCTTCCACCACCATGCCCGGCTAATTTTTGTAATTTTAGTAGAGACAGGGTTTCATCATATTGGTCTGGCTGGTCTCGAACTCCTGACCTCAGGTGATCCACCTGCCTCAGCCTCCCAAAGTGCTGGGATTACAGGTGTGAGCCACCGTGCCTGGCTCTGTTTAGCCTTTGAGGAGCTGCCAGAGCGTTTGCCACACAGCTGCACCATGGTAGTTTCCAGGCAGCCAGGTTTGAGAATCCCGGTTTCTCACCCCTCACCAGCACCTGTTGCCATTGGTCGCTTTGCTTCTCGCCATCCTCGTGGGAGTGAGGGTGGCCTCACTGTGGTTTTGACATGCGTTTCTGTGGCTGATGGAGTCCTGCTTGTCTGTCGGTCCTGGGGACCCAGAGGGTTTCCGTGAAGCTGGGAGTCATTCTGTCTTGAATCTCCATTGCCAGGCCAGCAGGGCGAGCCCCTACCCCAGAGTGAAGGTGGACTTTGCCCTCTCGTGCCACGAGGACTTGCTGGCACCCATCTCTGAGCCCATCGAGTGGAAATACCACAGCCCTGAGGAGGAGATAAGGTGTGTGGCCCCTGACCCCTGGGAGGGACCTGGCGTCTGTGTGGCCACGCCCCTGGGGTGGGGACTCCTGGAGGTCACGCAGTGGGTTTTCAGAACCTGCCTGGGTGGGGACTTGCAGAAGGCAACTGTGCATCCCCTGGGTTGAGGGCGTGGATGCTAGAGCCAGAACCCCTGGGTGTGACCCCCAGCCCTGCTGCTTCCCCGTGCTGTGACCTTGGGCCCCAAGGTGCTGTCCGTCCATTCTGTGGTTCAGTGTCCCCATTTTAAAATGAGGACGATGATAATACCCACGTCCTGGGTCTGTCTTCAGAATCACATGTGTCCCTTCTCACGAGGTGCCTAAAGCAGAGACGGGCGTCCTGAGAGCCCAGCGTTGACTCTGGCACTGCAGCCTCCTGGGGCCTGCTTGGGTGGGTTGTTGGGTGCTGTGGGCAGGGGCCACCGCCTCCGGGCTCCATGTTCTGATTGCCCTGCAGCCTTGGACCTGCCTGCTGGCTCTGGGATTTTTTAAGACGAAGTCAACAGGTAAGACTTCCAGTTTCTAGTGAGCCCACTTTGCTTGTTCTGCTGGTTGGTCTGGTTTTATTCTGGGGCAGGGTAGGGATTTTTTTTTTTTTTTTTAGTGCAAACAACAAAAAGCATTTCATCACTCTGCCTCCATGGGGAGCTTAGTCTGTGCTAGCCAGAGGCAAGGTGGGCACAGTGGCTGGTGGGTCAGCTCCACCTTTGGAGGCTCAGCGGAACCCAGCCCATCAGCATTCAGGGTCACGCTCACCATCTTGCCAGCATTGTAATCATGCGTATCTGCAGTTCGTCGGTGGAGTCAGCCTCTGACACGCCCCGCAGTGAAGTGTCTTTTTTCCCTCTGAAAAATCCATTCATCCTGCCACGTGCGGGTATTTGTCCTGACCCCATGGAAAGTGCTAACACCCACGTGCATTTCTGTGGACGCCTCCTTGAGGTCTATGGGTGGAGCTTGGCTGATCCATGGGCATGCTGCTTCTCCGAGGCTCTGCTCACGCTGTCTGATTGGTCCATTCCAGGCAGGGTTTTTGCTGCCCTTGAGTGGCGGGGTGGACAGCGCAGCCACCGCCTGCCTCATCTACTCCATGTGCTGCCAGGTCTGCGAGGCCGTGAGGAGTGGAAGTAGGTGACATCTGTTGGCTTGAGGGAGGCTCCAGGGTCCAGCCCTTGGGCTGCCTGAGTTAGGGACCTAGGAGGGGGCAGAGGAAACACCCGTGCCATGGACATCGGGGTGAAGGGGGCTTTGTGGCCACGCACAAATGTCACAGCATCACATCCCAGTCCTGCAGCTAAGGCAGCAAGGCCATCAGTAGCTTCCTGGGGCTTCGGGCCCATGTGGCTGAGTCTCCAGAGCTGTACCTGCCTGCTCTGTGCACGGTGTGGCCTGGTGGGGAGAACACAGGCGTCGGAGGTTCACATCCTCCCCCATGTGATATAGTATCAGACATCACCTTAGCATATGCAGCAGAACAGCGGTGATGATGCCCGATGGATGGGGCTGTGGGCCATAGCCTGGGCTGGCGCTGCACAGGCACCTGGGGGTGTAGACCGGGGTGCAGCCGTACGGGCACCTGAGGGCTGTAGACCGGGGTGCAGCCGCACAGGCACCTGGGGGTGTAGACCGGGGTGGAGCCGCATGGGCGCCTGGGGGCCGTAGACTGGGGTGCAGCTGCATGGGCACCTGGGGGTGTAGACCGGGGTGGAGTCACACGGGCACCTGGGGGTGTAGACCGGGGTGGAGCCGCACAGGCACCTGGGGGTGTAGACTGGGGTGGAGCCGCACAGGCACCTGGGGGTGTAGACCGGGGTGGAGCCGCACAGGCACCTGGGGGTGTAGACCGGGGTGGAGCCGCATGGGCACCTGGGGGTGTAGACCGGGGTGGAACTATGTAAACATCCCACACACTCAGGTGACTTCCACCCATTCTGTCCTGGTGGTTTTCAGATGAGGAAGTGCTGGCTGATGTCCGCACCATCGTGAACCAGATCAGCTACACCCCCCAGGATCCCCGAGACCTCTGTGGACGCATACTGACCACCTGCTACATGGCCAGCAAGAACTCCTCCCAGGAGACGTGCACCCGGGCCAGAGAGTTGGCCCAGCAGATTGGAAGGTAGAGTTGGTCCCTGGTATTGGGCATGGCAGGTGGCTGACAGAGCTCAGAGTCACTGGAAGCTCCGCCTGTGAGTGCATTGGTGACTGGCTTCATTCATTCCGCATCGTGTCATCCACTATGTGGATAAACGTGTAAGTGCTCCATCCCTTTTTGTGGGTGAATAATATTCCACTGTACGGATAGACCAGTTTGTTTCTCCTGTCATCAGCAATTGCTTAAATGTGCACCTAGGAGCTTATCAGGGCTCCACTTTCTCTTGGTTTGAGCCAGATTTCAGGGAAGCTGTGTGTGAGTCCTCCCTATCTGACCCACCCCAGTCTCAGATGGTGCCTGCAATTTCTGCCCTTCTGTCCCCTCACTCCTGGCATTCCCAGTGCAGGCTGCAGGTCGTATGTGCTCACCAGGGTGTGCAGCAGGTCCTGGGAGTTGGCTGCAGGCTGGCTCCTACCCCTCCTCCTTTCTCTTCCCCTGCCCTCACTGCCTCTTCCACGGGCAGTTCTCTATGTGAGGACAGTGGAAGGAGGGCACCTTTCCGGAGAAGAAAGACTGGGTTCTATCTAGAATATTCCATCCATAATGGCTCCTAGGAGAAAATGAGCAGCTCCCCATCCTGTTTGTTGAGCTCAGCTAAAAGCTGTCCCCATGCCCTCCAGTGATTCTCCTCCTAGATATGTACTCAGAGGAATCAGAAACAGGGACCCGAACAGATACTTGTTCAGGAAAGTCCATAGCAGCACCATTCACAGAAGCCAAGAGGCAGGGACAACCCAAGGTCCATCTCAGATGAACGGAGGAAGAAACTGTGGTCCATTCACACGGTGGAATATTAGTCACCCACGAAGAGGAGTGGAGCATGATCACATGACACAGTGAGGAGAAACCTTGAAGACATGGTGCGGATGAAGGGAGTGGAGCCAGCCACACCAGGCCACATGGTGTTTGATTCCATTTCCATTCCATTTCCACGCAATGTCCAGAACAGGCCATGGCATAGAGAGAGAGGGTGTCTGTCACTCTCTGCATCTGTCACTGTCAGAGCTGTCAGAGCTGGAGGAGGAGGGAGTGGGGACAGACTGCCAGTGGGATGGGGTTCCCTTCTCTGGTGATGGGAAGTTCTGAGCTAGATGGTGGTGATGGCTGCGCAGCACTGTGGATTGCTAAACACCACAAATCATACGCTTTAAATGGGTTACAATGGTCAGTTTTAGGTCATCAGGGCTTCACCGCTCATGCGCACACACATGCACACACGTGCACATGCTGCCTTCAACGCCTATCCTTCTCCTTCCAGCCACCACATCAGTCTCAACATCGATCCAGCCGTGAAGGCCGTCATGGGCATCTTCAGCCTGGTGACGGGGAAGAGCCCTCTGTTTGCAGCTCATGGAGGAAGCAGCAGGGAAAACCTGGCGCTGCAAAATGTGCAGGTGCCCCCGCCTGGGCCGGCGTCCCCTGGGGGTGGGGGTGCAGGGAGCACTGGGACAATCACTACAGGATGTGCAGGTGCCCCCACCTGGGCCATCGTCTCCATGAAGCTCATGGCACCGGTTACCTAGGGACAGCCAGTGCTGGGGTCACAGCCTGTATGCCTCACTGAAGACGTCGGTCATGCAGCCTTGTTAACAAGGAGGGGGTCTGTGTGTGTGTTGGTGCATGAGCATGTGATGTGTAAGAGCAAGAGCGGGGGTGTAAGGATGTGCGTGCTCGAGTGTGTGCATGAGCCTGAGTGCAAGAGCAAGAGGGTGTGTCTGAGCCTGAGTGTGAGCCTGAGCGTGAGAGGTTACATGAGTGTATGAGAGTACAAGTGTGTGAATGTATGCACAAGTGTGGGTGTGCTTGTGAGTGCTTGTGCAAAAGCAAGTGTGAGTGTGGATGTGTGAGTGTGCACAAACGTGAGTGCACAGTTGTGTGCATGAGTGCGTCTGCATGAGTGCACGAGCATGCCTGTGAGCATGTGGGTGGGTGGGTGTGCATGAGTGTGAGAGTGCACATGACTGTGTGTGAGTGTGTGTCTCTTTAATCCTCAGGGAACAGCCCAGACGCTGTCTGCCTCCTGAGCTACTGCACTTGACTGACTGCTCCGTGATGGGCAGAGGAAAAGAGAGGCCGGGGGCTCCAGCTGCTGGGATCTGTCCTGTCTCTCTCTGTCCCCTTTCTGCTGTGCCTGGGTGGCCTCTCCCCTCCTGCCAGTGGTAAAGGGATGGAAATGCAGTTGCCAAGCTTTCTCCCAGGGACCCCACGGCTCAGTCCTGCCACCAGTGCTCCCTCTGCCCTCCCGGGCTCTGGGTGCTCCCATCTTTGAAGGCAAGGCACCACTGAGCTTGTGTGAGCCCTGTGGAGGTGGGACCACCCCGAGAGGAAGGCCTCGGGACACTGTGGGACTCTGAGACTCTGATGTTCCCCGAACGCTAGAGAGCTCCTAAGCTATTTTAATTTTCTTGTTTTCAAGAGTTTGTGGGTGTGCGTCTCCCCCGTGTTCCTTTGCAAGGGAACCCGTTATTTCCTCTGTTGTGTTTTCCAGGCTCGAATACGGATGGTCCTCGCCTATCTGTTTGCTCAGTTGAGCCTCTGGTCTCGGGGTGTCCACGGTGGGCTCCTCGTGCTGGGATCCGCCAACGTGGATGAGAGGTGAGTGTGGCCCAGTGGCACGTGGTGGTGGGCCCCTGAACCTCTCAGGTCTCTGAAGGTGATACGCTGTGAGATTCTATCATCCTGTGCCTTTCATGGCGGGTTTGGTGCCTGGAATGACATCATTCCTCTAGAATTTCACCCAACCCGAGTGGCAGAGCGGATCAGCATCACGTTCCTGCAGGTGGCTCTGGGCGCTCACCACTTTCATCAGCCTTGTGGTTCTTCATCTCTACTGCGCCTCAAATTCATCTTCCCACCGCCCTCTGCCATGGTCAGGCTCCCCTCTTTCTTCTAGGCTGTTCCACTGTGTCTTAAGTCATTCCTTTGCAGCTAGTTTTTACCTCCAAACCAGAGTTCATTTTTTATGTGGACTGAAAATACTCCCCTTCTCATATTGCTTCCTTGTTCAACAAAACTCAGAGCCTCCCTGTTGTTTTCTGGATAAAATTCAAGCTGCCCCTCAAGTCCAGCAGTGGAGGCTGCTAGAAATTCTTTTCCAGCCTTGGTTTCCCCACTTCCCTTAGGTGAGCCTCTATCCCTCTCAGCTCGTCTGTGCTGTTCTTAGTTGCTCCTTAGGAGCTGAGGGATTTCAAAAACTATTTGTGATTTATTCATTTGTTTGTCTATGCATCCATCTATCCATCCATCAGTTGGGCCATCCATCTATCCACCCATCCATCCATCTGTCCATTCATCTATCCATCTATGTATCCACCCATCCATATATCCACTCACCTGTCCGTTCATCCACCCATCTGTCTGTCCATCCATTCATCCATCCATCCACCCATCCACCCATCTGTCTGTCCATCCACCCACCCACTCACCCACTCATCCATCCATTCATTCACCCATCTGTCTATGCATTCATCCATCCATTCATCTACCCACACATCCCTCCACCCACCTGTCCATCCATGCATTCATCCACCCACCCATCTATCCATTTATCCACCAATGTGTCTGTCCATCCACCCATCTGTCCATCTATCCACTCATCTATCCATGTATTCATTCACCATTTCATCTGTCCACCCAACCCATCCATCCACCCATCTCTCCCTTTGTCCATCCATCGACCCATCTGTCCACATTTCCTCCCTTCCATCCATCTATCCCTCCCTTTTTTCTATGGCGTGAGTGTCTTTTTTTTTTTTTTTTTTTTTTTTTTTGAGATGGAGTCTCGCTTTGTCACCCAGGCTGGAGTGCAGTGGCGCGATCTCGGCTCACTGCAAGTTCCGCCTCCCGGGTTCACGCCATTCTCCTGCCTCAGCCTCCCGAGTAGCTGGGACTACAGGCGCCCATCACCACGCCTGGCTAATTTTTTTGTATTTTTAGTAGAGACGGTGTTTCACCGTGTTAGCCAGGATGGTCTCCATCTCCTGACCTCGTGATCCGCCCACCTTGGCCTCCCAAAGAGTGTGAGTGTCTTAATCACTCTGCATCCTTGCCTGTCTGCAGATGTGTTCTCTTTTAAAACTGATTTTTTATTTTTAAGTCCTATTTTATTTTTCTAATTACAGAAATTTGAAATTAACACCTGATACTGTGTAAAAATTCTCATCCTCCTCATGCATATTTTGACCATTGCTTTTCTGGTGCCTCTGGTGCCTTTGTAAGGGACTGATTTTTCAGGAGGGGTGTGACGGCTGGTGTATATTCTCAGCTCTGGTGTAGTTGAGGAGATTGATGTTTGCTTTGGCTCTGCATTGCTTTTGTAGATGAGGAAGAATTTGATCTGTTATAAAATTGTGTTGTAAGAGTTCCCCCTCACAACTCTTGTCCATCATTTTCTAGTATTTAAAATGTTAACAAAGAAACAAGTATTTTTTTCCAGGGTGGGATTGGGTTCTGGGAGCTGGAAGGTCTCTAGATGCCATTTAGAAAATAAACAAACGGGCTGGGCACAGTGGCTCACGTCTGTAATCCCAGCACTTTGGGAGGCTGAGGCAGGCAGATCACAAGGTCAGGAGATCGAGACCATCCTGGCTAACACGGTGAAACCCTGTCTCTACTAAAAATACAAAAAATTAGCCGGGCGTGGTGGCAGGTGCCTGTAGTCCCAGCTACTTGGGAGGCTGAGGCAGGAGAATGGCATGAACCCAGGAGGCGGAGCTGGCAGTGAGCCGAGTTCGCGCCACTGCACTCCAGCCTGGGCGACAGAGCAAGACTCCGTCTCAAAAAAAAAAAAAAAAAAAAGAAAAGAAAAGAAAATAAGCAAACGTAAACGTAATCCCTCAGCTGCCCCTTTCTCACTGCGGGACAGAAGGCCCTGTGGCTGCAGACACTCCCCTCATGATGTAGTACTGAAGCCCTTCTCTCTGTTTCCCATGCTGCATCTCCCTCTGCCGCCTTCTTCTCACGGGTCACAGCCAGTCCTTCTCTTCCTCTGTGTTCTGGCAAGAATCTCAAATGTGTAGTGTTGATTTTTTTAAATTTCCCTGTAATTCTGTTGTTGAATTGCTTCTGATTCTAGTTCAGTCGCATCCCTGTCTGCTCATCAGGGGCCTGTTGGACACCTGTCCTCCCTCAGGCTTTCTTCCCGGTGGTGTGAATGAGTCAGAAACAATTCCTGTTCTCTGCAAGTGGGAGGAGACAGTGATAGCCCAGCAGATAACATGTGTATTGTAGGAAACGTCCGCCGAGAGAGCTCAAGGAGGGGAAGGGAGAGCTGGGAGTTTGTAAGCAGCTTGCCCAGGGAGGGCCCTACTGAGAAGTGGGTTTCATAAAGGCCTGCGGGAGGCGAGGGTGGGTGGAGAAGAGCCCGTGAAGCCCTGAGTCATGACTCCCCCAGGACTGAGAGCCCATCATTGTCTCCCTGAAAGGCCTGGTCTTGAGTGGGGACTGGAAGACCTGCAGAGCTGTTTTGGAAAGTGTGCGGCGTGTCGGGCAGAGGGAGGTGTGAGACGTCAGAGACAGCTGTTTCCAGAAATTTCACTTTGAAGGGGAGGGGAGGCGCAGGATAGGCGCTGCAGAGATCACTGGGAACAGGAAAAGGAGTTTGCTTTATTATTAGAGACAGGGTCTTGCTCTGTCACCCAGGCTGGAGTGCAGTGGCACCGTCACAGCTCACTGCAGCCTTGACCTCCTGGGCTCAAACAATCCTCCCACCTTAGCCTCCCAAGTAGATGGGACTGTAGGCATGCACCACCACGCCTAATTTTTTTTGTTTCCACTCTGTTGCCCAGACTGGTCTCCATTTGTTTATTTGCCTTAAGATACTGTCAAGAAAAGACCAGTAGAGAGGGAGTGGACTTGCTGGTGCAGGACAGTGGGGATGTTGCTGGTGAGGAGATGAGAGCAGGTGACCAGGCAGGAGGGTGGCTTTGCTGGGGGCCTGGCCAGCGCGCCCACAGCAGCAGGAGGGGTGGGTTCAGAGGCAGGCCCAGGAGAAGGTTCCAGAGAGAGCAGGAGGGGAGGGGAGAGTGAAGCCAGCCCTGCAGGGTTAAGTTGGGGTCAGCATGGGAATGCAGAGCTGAGAGGCTGTGTTGAAGTTAGGCTTCTAACAACATGATTTCAGCTGATGGAAGTGACCAGCCTGGGGGAAAGGTCCATGCAGAGTGCGAGAGGAGGGGACAGCTGCTGGAACTCGGTGGTCCTGTATTGAAATTTATGGCCACACTTGTTGCTGGCTTCAAAGTCTCACCAGTCCGCCAGTTCAGTCTTGATTTCACCAGAAAAAGTCTGCCTCAATTTTCCCCCTATAACCGTGCCTCCCCATCCCCATGGTCCCCACTTCCTGGCTGGAGTTTCCTTCCACCAAGATGAGGCAGCATCCTGGCCCCACGGGTCGCAGGTTGAGCTGAGCTCTGCACTGCGGGATTTCCCCAGACTGTGCTCTCTGAGTCAGCCCCGGCGGATTTCCCCAGTCCTTGGCAGTTACTGGGGATGGAAGAGAAAAAGTGCTAAGATGGAGACTGTCATCTCCCCTGGCCCATCTGGCCCGTATCCCAGCTCCTGCTGAAGGAGCTTTGGACGGGACAGGACAGGGAGCGATGGGGTGACTGGGGTAGCCCTCACTGAAGGCAGCACAGGGTCTCACCTGTCCCTCTGTTGGGACCCTGGGGGTCTTACACCCCCGACATTGCACCACAGTGAGGGTCAGGAAGGGTGAGAAGGCACGGAGGTGTGAGTTTGGGAGTGTCAAGAAATGCATCTGGTGGGATAGGCAGGGGCCAGCCTGGAAGGCCTTGCAAGGTCAAGGGCACCATTGAGGGAATTCAGACTGTGGAAGGGCTTGGCCTGGCCTGGTATGGAGGAGATGGGTGGTCAGCCAGGAGTCCCGTGGAGAACCTGGAGGCCTGCACCAGCGTTGGCAGCGGGGTGGGGTGGAGAAGGACGGCTGTAACCCAGGATCACAAAGTTTGTGCCTTCAACAACACACATTTATGGTCCCTCAGTTCTGTAGGACACAGGTCCAGTATGGGTCCCCTGGCTCAAGTGAAGGTGTGGACACAGTGGGTTCCTTCTGGAGACCCTGGAGAGAATCTGTTTCCCGCCATTTCCAGCCTCTGGAGTCCCGCCTTCTTTGGCTCACGACGCCTCCTCCGTCTTCACCACCAGCGGCCTCGCGTCTCTGCCTTTCCCCTGCAGTCAGGGCTCCCTCAACTCTCACTTTCACCCCCTTCTTTTAAGGACCCCTGTGATTGCATTTCAGGCCCACCCTGCAATCCAGCATCACTCCCACATCTCAAGTCCCCAGCTGAGTCCATCTGCAAAGTCCCTTTGGCCCTGAGAGGTGACAGAGTCACAGGTTCTGGGGATTAGGACGTGGGCACCTTAGTGAGAGATGGATTCTTCTGCCGACCACAGGCCTCAGAGTTGACAGGCAGGGGAGGGGCCCGCGGCCGCCCGGGCAGCAGAGTGTCCACGTGTGTCCAGTCCCTGCTCACTCCCGACACCCCAAGACCTCTGTCCCTCAGCTCTGTTCAGACGACTGCTCCCAGCTCCGTGCTGGTGACCCCCGAAATCTGCCTGCCATCCCCGGCGTCTCCTCTGGTGCACTCAAAGGCCCTCCTGGGTCCTCTGCAGCCTCTGCCACCTTTGCGGGTTGCTCTGGGACTTCTCCGGGATGCTTGAATATGCCACACTTCTGGCTTCAGGGCCCCTGGAAGAAGCGACTCCCTGGCTGGCCAGGGTTGATGGAGTCTGCGGCCCCTTGGGAACCCGCGCTCTTTCTCCCTCTCCCTGCAGTCTCCTGGGCTACCTGACCAAGTACGACTGCTCCAGTGCGGACATCAACCCCATAGGCGGGATCAGCAAGACGGACCTCAGGGCCTTCGTCCAGTTCTGCATCCAGCGCTTCCAGCTTCCTGCCCTGCAGAGGTGAGTGTGCTCACGGGCTGTGGCTCCACAGCCACGGGGCTCCTCTCCCAGCACGGCCCCGGCCACCCTGGCCCACACTCAGGCTCCTTCGTAGCTCCTGTTGCCTGCTGAATGGTCCTGCCCCTGAGCTGGCACTTGAGGCCTGCAACCAAGCCTCCCTTTCTTCCTGTGGTGCCTCCACAGCCCCCCGGCTCCGGCCAGATCACGGAGCTGTGGCCTCCTGCCTCCCCCGCCTGCCCTGCCTCCCTTCCCTGCCGTCCCCATGCCGATGCTTGGCAGGCCGAGGCTCGCCACATCTGAGCAGAGCGCCTGTGCTTTAGCAGTGACTGCAGATGGATCAGTGTCCGGACCTTTCTTCGGCCTTTGCCGAGGTTCCCTGCCACGGGAATGTGTTTTCTTCTTTGCTTATCCTCACTGGAGTGACTGTGCCCCCCAGGGGACATCAGGCAACGTCTGCAGACATGCTTAGCTTCGCCACACGGGGTGTGCTGGGTGTTAGCAGGTAGAGGCCAGGGGTGCTCCTCAATGTGGCGCAGTGCACAGGCCATTGACATTCCCTACAGCAGAGTCCCCTCGACCTAGGTGTGCCCGGTGCCCAGTGGACTGGCCCTTCACTGTGCCTCCATCTCTGCCTCTCCTCCTGGGGTCGTGAGGCCACACCAGTGCCCACACTCCTCAGCCCAGGATGCTCACCCCCGCTGGAAAGCCCAGCACCGCAAGCCTTGGTGACGTCCTACCCACGGTGAACGGAGTGGCCGGGACCAGCGTACTCGGGAAACTTAGTCTGGGGATTCTCTCCCAGAGCTCACACCACCCTCGCAGCTGCACTGACCGACCTCTGTGTGTTTTGGCTGCAGCATCCTGTTGGCGCCGGCCACCGCAGAGCTGGAGCCCTTGGCTGATGGACAGGTGTCCCAGACCGACGAGGTAATGGCGGTGGCTTTGCCATGATGCTTCCTGCCCTCCTCCCCACCTCCTGTGTGGTGGTGCTGGCTCTTCCTACCTCCCTCCTGACCCCAGGACAGCTGCATCGCTGTCACTGGGTCCCTGGCCTGGGTGCCCAGGGCTCAGTGTCAGTCACATCCCTGGCCTTTGACACTTCAATTCACTTCCTCATGGTTGGCGCCCCAGAAAGAGGATGACATGGTGGGAGGGGAGGGAGAGCAGATGGCGGGCGGAGGAACGCAAGTTCCTCACAGGCAGGAGGGGCATCTCTGCTCGTGTTTTAGAGCGATGTAGGAGGAGAATTGCCCTCGACTCCTCCACTGCATGCTGGCCCTTCGTGATGAGGCCCAGGCTGTGGTTGGTAGCTTAGTGGATGCTGGGGGAAGTGGCTGTGGGCTTTTTATGATAAAATCCATGACACTCCAGCCTCTTAGGTCACCAGGACTTGCTGCTATAGTTTCTTCCAAGCGTTTTCTAGTTTTCGTCCTTACATTTAGGTCTGTGATCTAGTTGAGTTACTTTTGTGTGTGGTATGAGGAAGGGCTTCAGTTTCATTCCTTTGCATGGGAATATCCAGTGGTCCCAGCACCATTTGCTGAAAGGATGATCCTTTCCCCCAGTGATGTATCTTGGCACCCTTGTTGTAAATGTAGGATTTATTTCTGGACACTCAATTCTGTTCCATAGATCTTTTCTGTTTTTCCTTATGCCGGTCCCACGCTGTCCTGATTATTATAACTCTGTAGGAAGGATTTTGGGTACTCTGAGTCTCTTGAACATCCATATGAATTTTGAGATCAGCTTGTCAATCTCTGGAGAAAAAAAAGCTTTTGCGTTTTGACGGGGACTGCATGACACTATAGATCAGTTTGGAGTTCGGGGAGTTTCGCCATCTTAATCATAAGAACTCTTCTGATCCATGAACATGGGACATGGAATGTCTTACTTATTTAAGTTGTCTCTAAATTTTTTTTTTTTTTTTTTAGACAATGTCTCACTCTGTTGCCCAGGCTGGAGTTGCAGTGGCACAATCTCAGCTCACTGCAACCTCCACCTCCCTGGCTCAAGCGATTCTCCTACCTCAGCCTCCGGAGTAGCTGGGATTATGGGTGTGCATCACCATGTCTCGCTAAGTTTTTTGTATTTGTAGTAGAGATGGGGTTCCACCATGTTGGCCAGAACATGAGGCCTCGGACTCCTGGCCTCAAGTAACCCGCCCGCCTTGGCCTCCCAAAGTGCTGGGATTACAGGAGTGAGCCACTGAGCCCGGCCTCTAATGTCTTTCAACAGTGTTTTTTCTAGTTCTCAGAATTTAAGGTTGCACTTCTTTTGCCAAATGTATTTCAAAATATTTTATTGTTTTTGATACTCTGGTGAGTGGAATTGTTTTATTAATTTCATGTGTAGATTGTTCATTGCTAGTTTATAGAGAAACACAGTTGATTTTTGCATATTGACCATATACCCTGCACCTTGTTGAGCTCATGTATTAGTGCTCAGAGCTTTTTAGTAACCTCCTTAAGATTCCGATTTACAAGGACATGCCATCGCAGCTGGAGAGAATTTCTGCCAGGCCTGATGATCCTAACCCAGGGCAGGCCCAGGCTGATGGATGTGTTTGTGTTCTAGTTTTTAACAAAAAATGTTAAAAAGCAAAATAAAAAAAAAATCATTTTTTTAATAGAGAAAAGCTTATAGAATAAGAAAAAATATTTTTATAATTAGATCCGTGACCCTCCAACTTCCTTAGGTCACAAGGATTTGCTCCTATAATTTCTTCCAAGAGTTTTATAGTTTTAGTCCTTATGTTTAGGTCTGTGAGCCAGTTGAGTTAATTCTTGTGTGTGGCAGCTGACAATGTATTTGTGTTTTAAGCTGTTATTATATGAGTCAAACAATTTTTTTTAATTAAAAAGTTTATAAGGTAAGGCTGAGCATGGTGGCTCACGCCTGTAATCCCAGCACTTTGGGAGGCTGAGGTGGGCAAATCACTGAGGTCAGGAGTTCCAAGACCAGCCTGGCCAACATGGTGAAACCCTGTCTCTACCAAAAAAATACAAACAACAAAACAAACAAAAACAAGAAAAGTTTATAAGGTATAAAAGTTACAATAAGCTAAGGTTAATTTATTATTGAAGGAAGAAAAATATATTTGTATTAATTGACTGTAGCCTAAGTTTACAGTGCTTGGAAAGCCCACAGTAGCACAGTAGCATCCCAGGCCTTCCCATTCACCCACCCCTCACTCCCTGACTCACCCAGAGCGGCTTCCAGTCCTGCAAGCTCCAGTCCTGGGAAGTGCCCTATGCAGGTGTCCCATCTTTTACCCTTTCTACTGTATTTTTATCGTCCCTTTTCTACACTTAGATACATAAATACTTAGCATTATGTTAGACTGGCCCAGAGTATTCAGTACAGCAACATGCTGTGCACGTGTGTAGCCTAGGAGCTCAGGCTGTACCATGGAGCACAGGTGCATAGGAGGCTAGACCATCTGGATGTGTGTAAGTGCCTTGAGGATGTTCACACGACGCAGTGGCCTGTCTATGTGTTTCTCAGAACGTATCCCTGTCATTCAGTGATGCGCGCCTGTCTTTCTTGATGATCCAAAAATTTCTTTTGTTTTGTTTTGTTTTGTTTCTGAGATGGAGTTTTGCTCTTGTTGCCAAGGCTGCCTGGAGTGCAGTGGTGCGATCTCGGCTCACTGAAACCTCCGCCTCCCGGGTTCAAGCAAGCAATTCTCCTGCCTCAGCCTCCCGAGTAGCTGGGATTTACAGACATGCACCTCCACGCCTGGCTAATTTTGTATTTTTAGTAGAGACGGGGTTTTTCCATGTTGGTCAGGCTGGTGTCGAACTCCCGACCTCAGGTGATCCACCCACCTCGGCCTCCCAAAGTGCTGGGACTACAGGCGTGAGCCACCGCGTCTGGCCAATCCATTGATTTCTATAAGGTCTGTAAGGTGTCTGTCTTTCATTACTGATTTTAGTTGAGTCTTCACTCTTTTTTCTTGGTCATTTTAGCTAAAGGTTTGTCAATTTTTTTTTTTAATCTTTCCAAGCATAACTTTTTGTTTTGTTGATTTTCTCTATTGTCTTTCATTAATTTCCCTCTGATCTCTGTCATTTCCTTCCTCGTGCTGGCTTTGGGTTTCATTTGCTCTTCTTTTTCTAGTATCTCAAGGTGGAAAGTTAGGTTGTTGATTTGAGATCTTTTTTCTTTTTTAAGGTAGGTGTTTATAGCTACAAATTTCCCTCCTAGCACTGCATTCAGTGCCTCCCACATGTTTTGGTCTGTTGTGTCTTCATTTCATTTATCAAAGTATTTTCTGATTCCCTTGGTGACTTCCTCCTTGATCCATTGATTATTTAGGAGTATGCTCTTTAATTTCCACGTATGCATGAATTTCCAAAATTTCTGTTACTGAATTTGTACTTTTATTCCAATGTGGTGAGAAAGCAACTTTGTATGACTTCAACATTTAAAGTTGTCTGAGGCTTCTCTCGTGGCTCAGCAGATGGTCTGACCTGGGAAGCGTCCCGTGTGCCCTTGGGAGGAAGGTGGGTTCCGCTGCCGCTGGGTGCAGTGCCCTGCAGGTGTGTGCCAGGTCTCCCTGGTTGACAGAGTTGTTCGTATCTTCTGTTTCCTTGTTGATTTTTCATCTTAGTTGTTCTGTCCATTATTGAAAGTGGGGTATTGAAGTCTCCAGCTATTATTGTTGAATTGAAGGAATTAAATGTTACACTGGAAAATGCTCACTTCATGGGAAAGAAACCAGCCAAGCAGCCACTTGTGCGCAACCCGTCAGGTGCTGGGGACCCTGTGGTGAGCAACACAGACGTGGCCACTGCAGTGAAAACACTTAGCGTCCCCTGGAGGGACGGACAAGAAGGCCCAGCGGTGGCTCTGGCCATACTGTCTGATGATGGCCCTGGGGTGTGGTAGGAATGAGAGGGAATGGGAGCAGATCTTGAACAATGGAAAGGGCCTGGGTTGTATGAGCCTCGGGGTAAAATCGGCTCCTCTGAGCCTGGCTTGAAGCATTTGTTGCCTGGCGCTGTGATAGTGATACCAGCGGCACCCTGTGGCCTCCAACATGGCCCAGATTTCAGTGAGCCCTCGGCCCTCTTCTTCTCTGAGTCCCCCACACTTCAGGGCACGGGCTCAGGAGGACAGCAGACAGGCTGCATCTGCTCCATGAGCCACACCTTCCATGGATGATTTGTGGAGCTACTGTCACTAATGACCCAGTGGCGTAAAACAACAGGAATTGCTTCCCTCACAGTTCCAGAGGCCAGGGTCTGAAATCAAGGTGTTGGCAGAGTCCTGGTCCCTCCGAAGGCTCTAGGGCAGTGGTCCCCAGTCTTCTTGGCACCAGGAACTGGTTTCGTGGAAGACAATGTTTTCCACAAACAGAGGGTTGGAGATGGCTTTGGGTTGAAACTGTTCCACCTCAGATCATCAGGTGGTAGATTCTCATAAGGAGCATGCAACCTAGATCCCTCGCTTGCACAGTTCACAACAGGGCTCGCGCTCCTATGAGAATCTGTGCCACCGAGGATCTGACGGGAGGCGGAGTTCAGGCGGTGATGCTCACTCGCCCCTCCCCTCACCTCCTGCTCTGGGATCCAGATCCTGACAGGCCAGGGACCAGTACCTATCCATGGCCTGGGGGTTGGTGACCCCTGCTCTAGGGGATCCTTTCTTGCCTCTTGCGTCTTCTGGGGACTCCAGGTGTTCCTTGGCTTGTGGCTGCATCACTCCATCCTTTGCTTCCTTCTTCCCGCAGTTTCCTCCCTTTCTCCACGTGTCCTCCTCCCTTTCTCCACGTGTCCTCCTGGCCCTCGTAAGAGATGTCATTGGATGCAGGGCCCACCCCACATTCAGAGTCATCTCACCTTCAGATTCTTTACTTAATTACATCTGCAAAGACGTTTTATCCTTTTCTCTTTTCTTCTTCTTCTTTTTTTTAGAGACAGGGTCTGGCTCTGTCACCCAGGCTGGAGTGCAGAGCTGCAATCTCGGCTCACTGCAGCCTTGATGTCCCAGGTTCAGGTGATCCTCCCACCTGAGCACCCACAAGTAGCTGGGACTGCAGGTGCACACACCACCACACCCAGCTAGTTTGTTATTTTTTGTAGAGACAAGGTCTTGCCATGTTGCCCAGGCTGGCCTTAAACCCCTGGGCTCAAGCAGTCCTCCCACCTCGGCCTCCCAAAGTGCTGGGATTACAAGTGTGAGCCACTATGCCCAGCCTACACTCTTTTTCCAAATAAAGTCACATCCCCAGGAACTGGGCCTTCAGACATGAGCGCTCCTTGGTGAGCCACCGTTCACCCGTTACGGTCCTCCAAACCAAATGCCTGGTTCTTCGTTGCTGTTTTCCAAATGCTACCTCCTTACTGGCTGACTAGCAATGGGGAGTAAAGCCCACCTCTGCTCCTGCCTCTCTGGGAAAGTATTGCCTCCTTGGTCTCTGGTTCCCATCTCCAAAAGAAGCTTTAGGCTCTCCCCCCGCTGTGACTTGCTGTCATCATGGAACAGATTTTTGTTGTGCACAGGAAGATATGGGGATGACATATGCGGAGCTCTCGGTCTATGGGAAACTCAGGAAGGTGGCCAAGATGGGGCCCTACAGCATGTTCTGCAAACTCCTCGGCATGTGGAGACACATCTGCACCCCGAGACAGGTAAAGCCTGTGAGACGCATCACAGAGGGAGGCCAGTTAGGTAATGTCCCCTTTGCAGAGGCCGGTTTGACCTGTAGGAACAAGTAGATAACAGTGTGACCCTAACGTAATAAAACTGTATCTCACACAGTAACACTTTTCAGTTATTTTTACCCACTCTGATCTTCTGCTGGCCCAAAGTTAATCTGAGTGAGGCTCACCCACAGCCAGGTAAACACGACATGAAACAAGCCTCCCTTTTTTTGAGGATAGAATGTAAACTTCAGGGTCAGAATAGTATTGCTTTTCTGCCTGTTGTGAGTCTTGCTGGGGCTGAAGCCCACAAGCATTGTAGTCCAATGGAACCTCCTGGAAGCCTTGTGAAATAAATCTTCGCAGGATTTATCTTAGATCTCCCAAGGCAGCATGCCACAGCATCAGAGGCAGGGAGACCCCAGTTTCACAGCATCAAAGGCAGGGGGACCCCGGTTTCATAGCATCAGAGGCGGGGGACCCCAGTTTCATAGCATCAGAGGTGGGGGACCCCGGTTTCATAGCATCAGAGGCAGGGGGACCCCGGTTTCATAGCTCGGCCAGTGTCCCCGGCCTGAGCACGGGCATCCCCCACACCTGCCATCGTGGAAGGTCCTGTGCGGGGAGTAACCCATTAGTCATTTGCTTGTATGATCCAGCATGGGAATTCCGGCCTGGGGTCTCTCCAGTTTTGGTAACATGAAGCTCGTGTGTTGCACGCCCACCAGGTCGCTGACAAAGTGAAGCGGTTTTTCTCCAAGTACTCCATGAACAGACACAAGATGACCACGCTCACACCCGCGTACCACGCCGAGAACTACAGCCCTGAGGACAACAGGTTTGATCTGCGACCATTTCTGTACAACACAAGCTGGCCTTGGCAGTTTCGGTGCATAGAAAATCAGGTAAATCCAGCAGAAATGTTTCTCTCTCCATGTTTCATGTCTGTAGAAGAAACGTGAGGTTATTTCCATGAAGGATTGAAAAACTTTCTTATATACACAGTAACTTTTTTACTGTCCTCCTTTCTGCAAAGGGACAAGTATGTTTAAAGCGTTTTTTAAATTTACTTTTTTCGTGTTGACAAATAAAAATTCTATATATTGATGGTGTCCAACATGACATTTCGATATGTGTGTCACAGTGGAATGGCTAAGTCAAGCTATTTCACATGTGCGTGCCTTACCCCACACGCCTATTATTTGTGTGTGGTAAGAGCACTTAAAATCTACTCTCTTAGCAATTTTCCTATATTAACTACAGTCACCATGTCATGCACTGGAGCTGTTGAACTTACTTCTTTTGTGGCCTTTGACCAACAATCTCCCCACCCACCAGCCCCTGGTAGCCACCGTCGCACTCTCTGCTTCCACAAGATCACCTTTTCAAGATTCCACAGACGAATCAGACCATGCGGTATTTGTCTTTCTCTGCCTGGCTTATTTCCCTTTAAGATGTTCATGTAGGTTCATCCGTATTGTTGCAAATGGCAGAATTTCCTTCTTTCCTAAGGCTGCATAGTTCTCCACTGTGTGTGCACCGCACTTTCTCTATCCACTCATCCATCGGTGCGCGCTCAGGCTGATTCCACAGCTGTGCTGTTGGGAATGGCGCTGTGGTGAACGCGGGCGTGCAGATGTCTCGTCGGCAGATGAGTTCATTTCCTGTCAGTTATACCCGGTAATGGGGTGGCTGGATCGCAGGGTAGTTCTATTTTTAATCTTTGGAGGAATCTCTGCACTGCCTTCCACAATGGCTACACTAATTGCTGAGTGTGTTTAGAGTCTGGCATGCACTCCTTTTGGCTAGGCTCTATTTGCTGGCATTACATAAACTAAAATTAGCAGCTGGACACCCCTCTATGAGTATGGTGACAATCACTGTCGTTTCTAAGTAGCCAGGGTATCCAGATGGCGTCATGGCTTCCAACCCACCCTGCTTTCCTTTTCTTTTTCTAATTAATTATTAATAGAATCAAGAAAGGACAATACAATCAATGAAAAAGGATAGGCCCTTCCCTTTTCCAAAGCCAGTTTGGGAGCCATGACAGAGCAGCTTGGCCATGGCCTCCCTAGCGCAGGGGATCATCTGACGAGAGGAGAGAGCCGGCCAGTGAGTCACTGTCAACAATGATAAATCAGAGGCCGGCTGCAATGGCTCACGCCTGCCATCCCAGCACTTTTGAGAGGATCACCTGACCCCAGGAGTTGGAGACCAGCCTGGGCAGCATGGCAAAACCCCATCTCTACAAAAAATACAACAATTAGCCAAACGTGGTGGTGCACACCTGTGGTTCCAGCTACTTGGGAGGCTGAGGAGGGAGAATCACCTGAGCCAAGGAGATGGAGGCTGCAGTGAGCTGTGATCGTGCCACTGCACTCCAGCCTAGGTGACAGAGCCAGAGCCTGTCGCAAAACAAAATTTAAATTAAAAAAATTAAAAACAGTGATAAATCCTGAGGAGTCTACACTGAGCTAGAGGACACCTAGTGTCCTTCCAGCACCTGTGAGACCATAGCACAGTGTGATCAGTGCACAACAGAGGCACACACAGGTGCTGTATGACCACAGAGTAGTAACCTTCTAATCAGGAAGATGTCTTGAACTCTTCCTTAAGGACATGAGGAAAACCCGCCTGTGCTGAGCTAGAGGCCACAAGATGCCGCTTTATACCTCATGATCGGTGACAGCATCTCTGAGCAGGTGGCCTGTAAAACGAGGGTGGATCAGTGGCAGGGGTTCTACATCTGGGACCGTTGACCCCCCGAGGAGACATTAGGCGATGACTGGAGATGATTTTGGTTATCATGACTGGGCTGGGGTCTGTGCTCCCAGCATCCCGTGGGTGGAGCCCAGGGATGCTGCTGAATGTCCTACTGTGTGCAGGATGGGCCCCTCCCAACCCCACACCCAGCAGAGAATTCTTTGTTCCACGTGTTGGTGGTGCCAAGGTTGAGGAATGCTGAACATTTGGGACTAGAAGACGTTTGGGGCTGCATGGTTGTAAGGAAGAGATACTGTATCTGGCTGATTTCCGTGGAAAGGAACTTGCTCAAAGAGTGACTTAGAGGGTGGAAGGGAGGGCAGGGGTCACAGGGTCTGGAAAGCTGGGACTCAGGCCAGGTGGCTGCTGCCCTATATCCCCTGCTGTGGCTGGACGGAGCCCACACGCCACACCCAGCCTGGGCTGGATGCCAATCTGCTCTGCCATCCCTGAGTCCCAGTGTCCCTGGGTCACCAGGCAGTGGAGTGGCCAAGCCTCGGGTGATGGGCCCTGTCATCTGGCCACCCAGGGCAGGAGAGGGAGCTGCCCCAGCTCTGGCCTCTGTAGTGGGAGGTGGGGGCTTGGCTCCCACCAAGATGTACTCAGGGGCGGGCTCCCCCAGATCAGGAAGGGGGTTCAGACACTATGCAGCCAAAAGAGTGACGCATGTGGGAGCATCAGAGACAGCTGCAGGTAAAGGTGGAGACGCTGCTGTCATCTGCAGTGACAGCTATGCGTGATCTGGACCCGCCCCTCCAGGCTTTTCCAGCACACACGCCCAGCATCTGGTGGGGACTCTGGTAATTTACTTTTTCACCTCTGGGACTTGTGACCCGCTTTTGGTGCGTGCCAGTGTTTCAACAGCCCCACAGTCCGTCTTTGCGGGGCTGTGGTGTCACAGGCCTCTCTTTCCAGGTGCTACAGCTCGAGAGGGCAGAGCCACAGTCCCTGGACGGCGTGGACTGAGGCCGGTTCCTTCCTGGAGGCCTCCTGTCCTCGGGGACCCCAGCACCTCATCATCAGCATTGCTGGAGCCAAGGGTAGGAGCCCTACACTAGGAGCCCAGGATGGGACGGCGCATCAGCCGAGAGGGAGGGAACTTTTCAGTCAAATTCCTCAAAAAGAGGCTGGAATAAAGCCTGGGCTTAAAAAGAGGCTGGAATCCAATGCACATGATTTTGACCTCCCGCCAGCGTGCGCTTCCCCGCGAAGTCTGGCATTCTCCGAAGGAAGCCGCCTGGGTAGGAGGGTTCCAACCGCCGCCCCGTGTGGCATCTTTGCTGCAGGAACAAGAACAGTAGCTCCCGGGAAGGGAGGGGTGTCATGAGCAGAAAATGAAGGAGAGAAGACCTTCTCTCCCACCCACACACACCTTCCTGTCCTGGGTTCCAGAAGGTTCTGGGGAGATGGTCCCTGCAGAGCTTTCTTCCTGGGAGTCTGGGGACCAGTCGGCCTTACTCCTGTCCTGTGGGAGAACCACCCCATCTAGGCATGGGGCCAGGTGTGGGGCAGGGGCGTGGCACTGTGGGTCCCCCTTCCTGCTGATCTTCATGCCATTCTGGGCACCTTTGTCTCTTTATGGAATGGGGTGAGGAGCGGCTTTTCTGTCCTCTCCAGAGCTCCCCTTGGTCCTGGAACCCTCTCTCCCGGGTTGCCCCAGGGAGTCTCAGCCTCCCATCCTTGCAGGGTGAAGATGAGACGAAGATGGGTGCACAGGCCAGAGCCTCCAGGGGAGTGGAGTGGGTTTGGGATCTGTGCTGCCCACCGGGTGTCCGCTCTTTCTCTCCCCCATGTCTGGCCCCTCTGCCTGGGACACTCCTGCTTCCCAGCCTCACCTAGAGCCCCACACCAAACCCAGGGCCCGGGCTGGGACACAGACCACAGCTGAGGGTGAATTTCCCAGGAGGTGCTGTCGGGATAGCAGAAAGTGGGGGACACTCGGCAGGTGCTGTCTGGATAGTAGAAAGTGGGGGGCACTCGGCAGGTGCTGTCTGGATAGTAGAAAGTGGGGAGCACTCGGCAGGTGCTGTCGAGATAGTAGAGAGTGGGGGCACTCGGCAGGTGCTCTCTGGATAGCAGAAAGTGGGGGGCACTCGGCAGGTACTGTCGGGATAGTAGAGAGTGGGGGACACTCAGCAGGTGCTGTCTGGATAGCAGAAAGTGGGGGGCACTCGGCAGGTGCTGTTGGGATAGTAGAAAGTGGGGGGCACTCAGCAGGTGCTGTTGTGATAGAGAGTGGGGGGCACTCGGCAGGTGCTGTCTGGATAGTAGAAAGTGGGGGGCACTCGGCAGGTGCTGTCGGGATAGTAGAGAGTGGGGGGCACTCGGCAGGTGCTGTCTGGATAGTAGAAAGTGGGGGGGGGGCACTCGGCAGGTGCTGTTGGGATAGTAGAAAGTGGGGGGCACTCGGCAGGTGCTGTCGGGATAGTAGAGAGTGGGGGGCACTCGGCAGGTGCTGTCTGGATAGTAGAAAGTGGCGGGCACTCGGCAGGTGCTGTTGGGATAGTAGAAAGTGGGGGGCACTCAGCAGGTGCTGTTGGGATAGTAGAAAGTAGGGGGCACTCAGCAGGTGCTGTCGGGATAGCAGAAAGTGGGGGGCACCCGGCAGGTGCTGTCGGGATAGTAGAGAGTGGGGGGCACTCGGCAGGTGCTGTCAGGCGGAGTGGTCACCACCGTTGTTGTCTTCTCCGTCACTTCCTCCAGAGTCTGTTACCCACGTCACATCGTGGATGCCCCCTGCCCGGATAGGTCTGAGTGCACTGGGGTGGCCGGCACCCCACACCTTCTCAGGGAGCACCCAGCAGGATACCTGAGATTCTCCTTAGGCCTTGGATGGGAGCTGGAGGCTTCTGGCTGCCTCCTGCACCCCAGATGTGTGGCAACGGGGTGGGGAGTGTGTCACCCGAAAGATGATCAGGTGAGGCTGGGACCCTGAAGGCAGCCCCATCCTGTGGAATTACCCTCGGAGGCTCCAAAACTTCCCACCTGCAGGAACTGAGCTCAGGGGCACCAGACCCTGGTCCCCAACCTTCAAGTTATAGGGTGGTGTCCCCCAGTTACAGGGCAGTGTCCCCAGTTACAGGATACTGTCCCTCAGTCATAGGTTAGTATCTTCTGGTTACAGGATAGCATCCCGTCAGTTACAGGGCAGTGTCCCCCCAGTCATAGCATAGTGTATCCCCAAGTTACAGGGTAGTGTCCCCAGTTATAAGGCAATGTTCCCCCATTATAGTGTCCCCAGTTATGAGGTAATGTCTCCCAGTTACAGGGTAATGTCCCCCAGTTATAGGGTGATGTCCCCACAGTTATAGGGTGATGTCCCCACAGTTATAGGGTGATGTCCCCACAGTTACAGGTGAATGTCCCCCCAGTTATAGGGTGATGTCCCCCAGTTATAGGTGAATGTCTCCCCAGTTATAGGGTAAGTCCCCACAGTTATAGGGTGACGTCCATCAGTTATAGGGCAATGTCTCCCCAGTTACTGGGCTGTGTCCCCCAATTACAGGGCAATGTCCCCTCATAGTGTCTCCCAGTTATACAGTATTGTCCCCCCATTATAAGGTAGTATCCCCAGTTACTAGATAGTGTCCCCCAGTAACAGGATAATGTCCCCCAATTGCAGGGCAATGTCCCCCATTATAGTGTCCCCAAGTTATAAGCTGGAGTCCCCCAGTAACAGGATAATAGGATAGTGTTCCCCAGTACAGGGCAGTGTCCCCAGTTACTCACTAGTGTCCCCTAGTAACAGGGCAGTGTCCACCCAGATACAGCCTAGTGTCCCTCAGTTACACAATAGTGTGTCCCCCAGTGGTAGGACAGTCTACTACTGAGTCCTCCTGGCATGAGTCGAGCTGAGATTAGGATAGGGTAATGACCCTTCAGTTTTGGGGAAGGGACCAGAGCTCGGCCAGTGAGAAGCTTCCAGCTCCGTCTGGCCATATCCAGGCTGCTGAGGGTCCTGGGCTCTGTCCTTAAACCTCATCACTGACATGACCCAGCAAACCTCCTCAAGAGGAAAAAGTCCCCTTGGGTCAAACACAGCTTGTGCAGTTCTCGGGGACCTCCTCCTGCCATCCTGGGGATGCTGTGGAGAATGGAGATGCACAGGGGGCTTTGTCCTCTCCTCTGCCTTTTGGAGAAAATATTTCACTCAAGGCAAACGCAGCCTGAGGGCAGCACAGGGGACCCCAAGGCTCACTGCGCATTTCTAGTCGCCCCCAAACGCGTGGGTTTTCCTCCTGTTCTCCTCGTGGGTGCCTTTGCTCATTCTCATCCTCCTGTTCTCATCCAGTCTGCCCAGTCTGACCGGCTCCCAGCAGCATCCGCCCAAAAGTTTCTCCCATGACAGCAGGAAGCAGCCTCAGACAATACATGATGGACAGGCCTGGCTGTGTTCCAATAGAACCCCGAGTCAGTCAGCCCGAGCCTCCCTCTCAGCTGGATACTGTTAATGACAGGGGTACACATTCCCCTCCCCTTTCCAATGTTTTAAAACTCTAGGACAGTGATTCTCAAACACTTTGGTCTCAAAACCCCTAAGAGCATTTGCTTATGTGGCTTTTATCTGTTGATAGTTGCTACCTGAGAAATTAAAACTGAGAAATCTAAAAATAGATTTATTTTAGGAAGTCACTAAAAATAATAAGCCCATTGCATGTTAACATGAAATAGCATATTTTTACAAAAAAATAAATTTTCTAAAAACAAAACATCTAAGTGAGAAGAGTGGCATTGTTGTACTTGTTTTGCAAATCTTTTCAGTGTCCGGTTTATGAGATGACAGCACTTTGGTTTGTTGCCAACCATTCACTTATAAAGAAACCCTTTTCCAATAATTAGCTGGGGCTGGTGCTAGAGCAATACCAGAAGTTCAGCGATGTCTGTAGATTTGTCCAAATGTATGTGAAGAGACTGTGTTTACTCAGTTTTTATGTTTGCAGTTAAATCTTCAATTTGATGAGTTATTTTATCATTGCAAAGTGGCAGTGTCAGGGTTTCCTTTATTGACTTATCCAGCAGGCATTCAGCTATATCAACTCTACATATGAAGTAAGGAGTTGAATTAAGCAGAGTAGTTAATAAAAAGCTTTTTTTTTTCATGTTTTAAAAATGTGACGTTGTCAGGCCTCTGAGCCCAAGCTAAGCCATCATGTCCTCTGTAACCTGCACGTACACATCCAGATGGCCGGTTCCTGCCTTAACTGATGACATTCCACCACAAAAGAAGTGAAAATGGCCTGTTCCTGCCTTAACTGATGACACTATCTTGTGAAATTCCTTCTCCTGGCTCATCCTGGCTCAAAAGCTCCCCTACTGAGCACCTTGTGACCTCCACTCCTGTCTGCCAGAGAACAACCCCCCTTTGACTGTAATTTTCCTTTACCTACCCAAATCTTATAAAACGGCCCCACCCCTATCTCCTTTCGCTGACTCTTTTCAGACTCAGCCCGCCTGCACCCAGGTGAAATAAACAGCCTTGTTGCTCACACAAAGCCTGTTTGGTGGTCTCTTCACACCGATGCGAGTGAAAACTGTTTTATTTCTACCCGCAGGCGGGGCCTGCCAGAGGAGGTAGGTGTGCTGGGCTCAGGGGACGTGTGGGCTGTGAGGAGGAGATGGTGACAGGAAGCTGGAAGGAAAGGGGGTGGCTTTGGAGGCCAGGCCGAAGGGGCCCTCAGGTCTGCTTGTAGGGTGGGATAGCCTTGAGGAGGGAGTCATGGCAATGCACAGCCAGGCTGCCAATTTTGAATTAAGAAATTCTTGGAAATCTAGCTGCCTGTTACTGTTGACATCCAGTCTTTTCGTCATGCAGTCAAGGACACTGCGGTCCTTCTGCTTCTTTGTGACGGCAGCCTCTTCTGTGTTCATGAAGCTTAGGAACTCCGTCTTGGAGAGAGCAGTTGTAACCATCCTCTCCAGGATCCTTCTGGAAAACAGCAATCAGGGACTCAATGCACCACTCAGTCTCTGCAGGGCTGGAGATTTTTGCCAGGTTGTAGCTGAGTGAGGCATGGGAGGCTGTACTTGGGAGTGGTGTGGAGACCTCTGGTAAAAAGCTTTTGAAAAGGATGATTCTATTCCATTAGGATTGGCTTATATGAGGGGAAAAATAGGATTGTATATAGTTAAAGAAAAAACAATTCATTGGCCCATGTCAGATCTAACAAATCAAAACACATGGAAGCTGTGGCGTCCTAATCAGGGAAAAGGAGCCAGGGTGGCAGGACCAAGGGAAAGCAAAAAGAGAAAGCAGATAAGCTACAAGTCTGCATTTCTTCACAGTCCAGCACACACAGCCCTCCTGTGCATATAGCTCACAATCTTCCCATGCCCAGGTATCACCAGACCCTCAGCTGATAGAAAAATGCAAGTTAGCTCACTGCAACCTTGGCATTGTAGGTATTGTATGCAGCCCTCTTCAGCACATGGCCCAGGAACCATCCTGTAAAATCCCCTGCAAGCCTTTGTCTCCTTGCAGTCAGCTCCTCTTCTCCTGGCCTGCCCATTGCCTTCTTGCAATGTACTTCCTTCCTTTCTTTAATAAATCTGCCTTTTTTTAAAACCTACAAGTTTCTTGGTAAACTCTTTTACCCCTGTGACACCAGCCTCAGATAGTCGCCATCACCCACCATAGAAGCTACTCCTGGAGAGCTGATTATTTTTAATTTGCAGATAATTTATTCGTGTATTTTTCAAATACGTATTGCGACTCCTCTTCTGGTTCTGATGGAACAGCTCATATTTGAGCTACAGAATCACTGAGAACAAGTAGGAAAGCCAGAAAAAATTAACACAAAACAGCAGTTGAAAGCACTAGAGAGAAACCCAGGTGTCCAGGACAGGAGGTGCCTGGATCCTGGTGAGAAGGGAAATGAATGCATCAGGTGCCAGCGCTCCACTCTCCTCCCGTGGGGCCTCTGCCCATTCGTTAGCGACAGAGAGAACAAGAGCACAAGCAGAAAGCAGCTGAGGCATTGGCAGTTCCTTCCGAAAATCAGACTTTAGGGTGACAAAGGCAGCCAGAGCTTGCAGGGCAAAGCTTCCAGGGAAAAGAAGAGCTCAGAGAAGTGAGTCCAGTGTGCAGCAGCTCCTCTTCCCTTGAAGATTATGAAACTGCCTGGGGAAAGAGGACAAGGAGCTAAGCAAAAAGCATCCATGAAGAGCCTTTAAAGCAAAACAGAGATTATGGAGGTTTTGTAGCTCTGGAAAATAAATATTTAATTTTAGGATTAATAAGAAAGGGCTTGGTAAAAACTTAAGGCTTTCTATTGAAACCCCTCAAGACTATATACTGGGAGAAGTACAGGCCAGAAATAGAGACTCCTTCACAAAGAATAAAGCCTGGCCTCTTATCTTACTGCCTCACTGGATCAATGTGATCTGCTGCTTGTCTAACTGTTTCGCAGAAGGAAAACAAATGGTCTCTGCAAGAAAGTAACATCACTCAAAACCTTTCTCAGTTTTTTATACTCTTTATCTGGTATTCAATAAAAGATCACTAGGAACTCTATAAAAATATACTTAAAATGTAATATAAATCATAATACATACAAAGCTATAAAAATATATTCAAAATATCAAACCCAACATAAGCAGAAGAAGAAAAAAATCCAGATAAGAACAGAAATCAGTGAAATTAGAGACAAAAAATAGAGAAAATAAATGAGACAAAAATCTAGTTCTTTAAAAAAAATCAGTAAAATTAACAAACCTCTTGCTAGACCAACAAAGAAAAAAAAGAGAGGATACAAGGATACAAACTATAAGCTTCAGGAATGGATACCAAGTTTGGGGATATCACTACAGACCCCACAGACATGAACCGGATAATGAGCAAACGGTGCAAGCAACTCTACACATAGAAATTCAACAGCTTATGTGAAGCAGACCAACTCCTCAAAAAGCACAAACTACCAACATTCAGCCAGGACAAAATAGATAATTTGGATAGCTCTATAATTATTAGGGGAATTGAATGTGTAGTTTTAAAATGCCAAAAGAAAGTTGGAATTTTAAATTTTCAGATGCAGAGAATTACCAAATTTTTAAAGACTGAACACCAATTCTACATAATCTCTGGAAAATAGTGGAGAAGAGAACCCTTCCAAATTCATTTTAAGGGGCCAGTATTACCCTGATAGCAAAACCAGACAACGACAATACAAAAAAAGAAATAACCAATGCCCCTCATGAACATAGACACAAAATCTTCAACAAAAGAAAGCAAATAGAATCCAGCAATATATTAAAGAATTACAAACCATGACCAAGTGGAGTTTATTCCAAGCATGTAAGACTAGCTCCACATTTGGAAGTAAATCAATGTGATCCACTGTGCTAACAGGCTGTAGAAGAAAACTCACACAATTGCATCAATTGGGACACAAAGAAAGCATTTGGAAATTTTTACCACCTGTTCATAATTTTTAAAAAACTCAGCAAACTAGGATTAGAGTGTCACTTCATCATCTACAAAAAACCTATAGCCAATTTTAGGCTTAATGGTGATAACTGAATGTTTTCCCCTAACATTTGGAGCAATTACAAGTGTCCACTCTCACCACTCTTCAACATAATGAAGTTCTAGCCAGGGCAATAAGGCAAGAGAACTAGAAGATATACAGATGAGAAATGAAGAAATATTTGCACACACCATAGTAGTCTATGTATAAAATCTCAAGGAATCTACAACAAAAACCCAAGAACTAATAACAGTGAGTTCAGCAAGGTCTGAGGATTTAGATCGACACACAAACATCAATCATTTCTCAACCTTACATCTGATTAGGTGTGAATATCAAAAATATATAAGGAATTCAACCAACTTAACAGCAAGAAAACAATTCAATTAAAAATGAGCAAAGGATCTGAACAGTTCTCAAATGAAGAGATATGAATAGCCAACAGATATATGAAAAATGCTCAACATCTCTAAGAATCAGGAAAATGCAAATTAAAGCCACAATGAGATATAACCTCACACCTGTTGGAATCACTGTTATCAAAAAGACAAAAGATAACAAGTGTTGATGAAGATGTAGATAAAAAGGGAACACTTGTACACTGTTAATGGGAATGTAAATTAGTACAGCTGTTAAAAAAATAGTATGGGGGTTCCTCAAAAACTAAAAATAGAATTACCATATTATCTGGCAATTCCACTTCTGGGTATATATCCAAAGGAACTGACATTGATTTGCTGAAGAGATATATTCACTCCCACATTTATTTCAGCATTATTCACAATAGCGAAGATATGGAAGCAAACTAACTGTCTATCAATGGATGAATGGGTAGAGAAAATGTGTATATACACAATGGAATACTATACAGCCTTTAAAAGGAAGGAATTTTTGTCATTCATGACAATGTGGATATAACTAGTGGGGCATTATGCTAAGTGAAAGAAGACAGGCACAGGAAGACAAATATTGTATGACCTCACTTATATCTGGAATCTTAAAAAGCTGGTCTCATAGAAAAAGTATAAAGGTGGTTACCAGGGGCTATGGGTAGGTGGGGAGGAGCAGGGATGGGGCCAGCAGGAGATGTTGACAGAAGGGCATGAAGTTTCAGTTAGACTGGAGGAATACGTTTTAGTGACCTATTGTACTTCATGGTAACCATGGTTTGTTCTCCTTGGGAAGAGTGGGGACGGGTCCCTGAAGCACCAAGTCACTGAAACTTCAATTTATTGTAAGGACAAATTCAAAAGTTGGAAATCAGAGATGAACCAATGTGGATCTTCCAGTGTTGACTCAATATGGGGCAAACATTTTCCCAAGAAAGAGATAGAGGGGAGAAAGCCAGAGTGGAAGGATTACCCCGAGGGCTCTAGGCACAGGGGTGTCCTGGGGATTGTGAGAATTAAAATGTAAACTCCTCACCTAGGTGACAACGGCACGTGGGTGCGAAATTTCAGGCATGATTTTTTTTCCCATCCAGCTCCCAGACTGAGAGAGACTCATTTTAATGCCCTCTGCTGTTACCAACATACGGAACCTCTCGAGGCAACTCTTTCATGGAGTGGGAAGCCGTTCGATGTCTCAGCTTTATGCTGAGATTCAATTGATTTAGTCTTCACCATGAAGTTCTTAAATCCAAGGCCCCGAAGTTCCTAGAACTACCAGATCCCTCAGAGTATTCACCCTGGCTTCATGCTTCCTAATCTCGTGGAATTTCTCTAATGCTACAGGAAACACAGCCATGCACTTAAACAGATGTCTGTTTTTACCAAGAATTTTCAATCATAGCCAGAAACATACCGGGTTCACTGTTTTTCCAGAAGTGGATGTCTACCTTAGAGTTTTCAGGAGGCTTCAAAACATGGCAACCTGAAGTCCCTAGCCTCCAGTAGAAAAATTCTTTCCTTACATTTATGACAGTTTTGCCTTATGTGTTGTGAGGAGCAGTCAAGTTCCGGAGACAGAAATCCGGAAGCACACACTGTCAGGGTCCCTGTTCCTTCCCCTAGGTCGTATCCATGAACCATCCCTTCACTGCTGCCTTGGGAGAGGGGAAGGTGTTCGGGCTGAGGATGAGATCAAACCAAAGTTTAACCACACCTCAGCATTCTATGACTTCACATCGCTGAGTCCATAAGAGAACCAGGACCCTCCAGACCCAGAAAATACTTGGGTGGATCCAAGATGGCCTGGTTCAGCCAAGATGGCTGAATAGGAACAGCTCCGGTCTACAGCTCCCAGCATGAGTGATGCAGAAGACAGGTGATTTCTGCATTTCCATCTGAGGCACCGGGTTCATCTCACTAGGGAGTGCCAGACAGTGGGTGTAGGACAGTGGGTGCAGCACACCGTGTGTGAGCCGAAGCAGGGCGAGGCATTGCCTCACTGGAGAAGTGCAAGGGGTCAGGGAGTTCCCTTTCCTAGTCAAAGAAAGGGGTGACAGATGGCACCTGGAAAATCAGGTCACTCCCACCCTAATACTGCGCTTTTCCAATGGGCTTAAAAAACGGCACACCAGGAGATTATATCCTGCACCTGGCTCGGAGGGTCCTACGCCCATGGAGTCTTGCTGATTGCTATTACAGCAGTCTGAGATCAAACTGCAAGGTGGCAGCAAGGCTGGGGGAGGGGCGCCTGCCATTGCCCAGGCTTGATTAGGTAAACAAAGCAGCTGGGAAGCTCAAACTGGGTGGAGCCCACCACAGCTCAAGGAGGCTTGCCTGCCTCTGTAGACTCCACCTCTGGGGGCAGGGCACAGACAAACAAAAAGACAGCAGTTACCTCTGCAGACTTAAATGTCCCTGTCTGACAGCTTTGAAGAGAGTAGTGGTTCTCCCAACATGCAGCTGGAGATCTGAGAATGGGCAGACTGCCTCCTCAAGTGGGTCCTTGACCCCTGAGCAGCCTAACTGGGAGGCACCCCCCATTAGGGGCAGACTGACACCTCACACAGCCGGGTACTCCTCTGAGACAAAACTTCCAGAGGAATGATCAGGCAGCAGCATTTGCGGTTCACCAAGATCTGCTGTTCTACAGCCACCGCTGCTGATACCCAGGCAAGCAGGGTCTGGAGTGGACCTCTAGCAAACTCCAACAGACCTGCAGCTGAGGGTCCTGTCTGTTAGAAGGAAAACTAACAAACAGAAAGGACATCCACACCAAAAACCCTTCTGTACATCACCATCATCAAAGACCAAAAGTAGACAAAACCACAAAGATGGGGAAAAAACAGAGCAGAAAAACTGGAAACTAAAAAGCAGAGCGCTTCTCCTCCTCCAAAGGAACACAGCTCCTCACCAGCAACAGAACAAAGTGGACAGAGAATGACTTTGATGAGCTGAGAGAAGAAGGCTTCAGACGATCAAACTACTCCGAGCTACAGGAGGAAATTCAAACCAATGGCAAAGAAGTTAAAAACTTTGAAAAAAAAATTAGACGAATGGATAACTAGAATAACCAATGCAGAGAAGTCCTAAAAGGAGCTGATGGAGCTGAAAGCCAAGGCTTGAGAACTACGTGAAGAATGCAGAAGCCTCAGGAGCTGATGTGATCAACTGGAAGAAAGGGTATCAGTGATGGAAGATGAAATTAATGAAATGAAGTGAGAAGGGAAGTTTAGAGAAAAAGGAATAAAAAGAAATGAACAAAGCCTCCAAGAAATATGGGACTATGTGAAAAGACCAAATCTACATCTGATTGGTGTACCTGAAAGTGACGGGGAGAATGGAACCAAGTTGGAAAACACTCTGCAGGATATTTTCCAGGAGAACTTCCCCAATCTAGCAAGGCAGGCCAACTTTCAGATTCAGGAAATACAGAGAACGCCACAAAGATACTCCTTGAGAAGAGCAACTCCAAGACACATAATTGTCAGATTCACCAAAGTTGAAATGAAGGAAAAAATGTTAAGGGCAGCCAGAGAGAAAGGTCGAGTTACCCACAAAGGGAAGCCCGTCAGACTAACAGCAGATCTCTCGGCAGAAACTCCACAAGCCAGAATAGAGTGAGGGCCAATATTCAACATTCTTAAAGAAAAGAATTTTCAACCCAGAATTTCATATCCAGCCAAACTAAGCTTCATAAGTGAAGGAGAAATAAAATACTTTACAGACAAGCAAATGCTGAGAGATTTTGTCACTACCAGGCCTGCCCTAAAAGAGCTCCTGAAGGAAGCGCTAAACATGGAAAGGAACAACCAGTACTAGCCACTGCAAAAACATGCCAAAATATAAAGACCATCAAGGCTAGGAAGAAACTGCATCAACTAACGAGCAAAATAACCAGCTAACATCATAATGACAGGACCAAATACACACATAATAATATTAACTTTAAATGTAAATGGGCTAAATGCTCCAATTAAAAGACACAGACTGGCAAATTGGATAAAGAGTCAAGACCCATCAGTGTGCTGTATTCAGGAAACCCATCTCACGTGCAGAGACACACATAGGCTCAAAATAAAGGGATGGAGGAAGATCTACCAAGCAAATGGAAAACAAAAAAAGGCAGGGGTTGCAATCCTAGTCTCTGATAAAACAGACTTTAAACCAACAAAGTTCAAAAGAGACAAAGAGGCCATTACATAATGGTAAAGGGATCAATTCAACAAGAAGAGCTAACTATCCTAAATATATATGCACCCAATACAGGAGCACCCAGATTCATAAAGCATCATAAAGCAAGTCCTTAGTGACCTACAAAGAGACTTAGACTCCCACACAATAATAATGGGAGACTTTAACACCCCACTGTTAACATTAGACAGATCAACGAGACAGAAAGTTAACAAGGATACCCAGGAATTGAACTCAGCTCTGCACCAAGCAGACCTAATAGACATCTACAGAACTCTCCACCCCAAATCAACAGAATATACATTTTTTTCAGCACCACACCACACCTATTCCAAAATTGACCACATAGTTGGAAGTAAAGCACTCCTCAGTAAATGTAAAAGAACAGAGATTATAACAAACTGTCTCTCAGACCACAGTGCATCAAACTAGAACTCAGGACTAAGAAACTCACTCAAAACCGCTCAACTACATGGAAACTCAACAACCTGCTCCTGAATGACTACTGGGTACATAACAAAATGAAGGCAGAAATAAAGATGTTCTTTGAAACCAAGGAGAACAAAGACACAACATACCAGAATCTCTGGGACACATTCAAAGCAGTGTGTAGAGGGAAGTTTATAGCACTAAATGCCCACAAGAGAAAGCAGGAAGGATCCAAAATTGACACCCTAACATCACAATTAAAAGAACTAGAAAAGCAAGAGCAAACACATTCAAAAGCTAGCAGAAGGCAAGAAATAACTAAAATCAGAGCAGAACTGAAGGAAATAGAGACACAAAAAACCCTTCAAAAAATTAATGAATCCAGGAGCTGGTTTTTTGAAAAGATCAGCAAAATCGATAGACTGCTAGCAAGACTAATAAAGGAGAAAAGAGAGAAGAATCAAATAGACACAATAAAAAATGATAAAGGGGATATCACCACCGATCCCACAGAAATACAAACTACCATCAGAGAATACTACAAACACCTCTACGCAAATAAACTAGAAAATCTAGAAGAAATGGATAAATTCCTCAACACATACACCCTCCCAAGACTAAACCAGGAAGAAGTTGAATCTCTGAATAGACCAATAACAGGCTCTGAAATTGTGGCAATAATCAATAGCTTACGAATCAAAAAAAGTGCAGGACCAGATGGATTCACAGCCGAATTCTACCAGAGGTACAAGGAGGAGCTGGTACCATTCCTTCTGAAACTATTCCAATCAATAGAAAAAGAGGGAATCCTCCCTAACGCATTTTATGAGGCCAGCATCATCCTGATACCAAAGCCTGGCAGAGACACAACCAAAAAAGAGAATTTTTGGCCAATATCCTTGATGAACATTGATGCAAAAATCCTCAATAAAATACCGGCAAACCGAATCCAGCAGCACATCAAAAAGCTTATCCACCATGATCAAGTGGGCTTCATCCCTGGGATGCAAGGCTGGTTCAACATACACAAATCAATACATGTAATCCAGCATATAAACAGAACCAAAGACAAAACCCACATGATTATCTCAATAGATGCAGAAAAGGCCTTTGACAAAATTCAACAACGCTTCATGCTAAAAACTCTCAATAAATTAGGTATTGATGGTGGGACATATCTCAAAATAATAAGAGCTATCTATGACAAACCCACAGCCAATATCATACTGAATGAGCAAAAACTGGAAGCATTCCCTTTGAAAACTGGCACAAGACAGGGATGCCCTCTCTCACCACTCCTATTCAACATAGTTTTGGAAGTTCTGGCCAGGGCAATTAGGCAGGAGAAGGAAATAAAGGGTATTCAGTTAGGAAAAGAGGAGGTCAAATTGTCCCTGTTTGCAGATGACATGATTGTGTATCTAGAAAACCCCATTGTCTCAGCCCAAAATCTCCTTAAGCTGATAAGCAACTTCAGCAAAGTCTCAGGATACAAAATCAATGTACAAAAATCACAAGCATTGTTATACACCAATAACAAACAGAGAGCCAAATCATGAGTGAACTCCCATTCACAATTGCTTCAAAGAGAATAAAATACCTAGGAATCCAACTTACAAGGGATGTGAAGGACCTCTTCAAGGAGAACTACAAACCACTGCTCAAGGAAATAAAAGAGGATACAAACAAATGGAAGAACTTTCCATGCTCATGGGTAGGAAGAATCAATATCATGAAAATGGCCACACTGCCCAAGGTAATGTATAGATTCAATGCCATCCCCATCAAGCTACCAATGCCTTTCTTCACAGAATTGGAAAAAACTACTTTAAAGTTCATATGGAACCAAAAAAGAGCCCGCATTGCCAAGTCAATCCTAACCCAAAAGAACAAAGCCAGAGGCATCACGGTACCTGACTTCAAACTATACTACAAGTCTACAGTAACCAAAACAGTATGGTACTGGTACCAAAACAGAGATATAGATCAATGGAACAGAACAGAGCCCTCAGAAATAATGCCGCATATCTACAACCATCTGATCTTTGACAAACCTGACAAAAACAAGCAATGGAGAAAGGATTCCCTATTTAATAAATGGTGCTGGGAAAACTGGCCTGGCTAGCCATATGGAGAAAGCTGAAACTGGATCCCTTCCTTACACCTTATACAAAAATTAATTCAAGATGGATTAAAGACTTAAATGTTAGACCTAAAACCATAATAACCCTAGAAGAAAACCCAGGCAATACCATTCAGGACATAGGCATGGGCAAGGACTTCATGTCTAAAACACCAAAAGCAATGGCAACAGAAGCCAAAATTGACAAATGGGATCTAATTAAACTAAAGAGCTTCTGCACAGCAAAAGAAACTACCATCAGAGTGAACAGGCAACCTACAAAATGGGAGAAAATTTTCACAACCTACTCATCTGACAAAGGGCTAATATCCAGAATCTACAATGAACTCAAACAAATTTACAAGAAAAAAAACAACCCCCTCAAAAAGTGGGCAAAGGATATGAACAGACACTTCTCAAAAGAAGACATTTATGCAGCCAAAAAACACATGAAAAAATGCTCATCATCACTGGCCATCAGAGAAATGCAAATCAAAACCACAATGAGATACCATCTCACACCAGTCAGAATGGCGATCATTAAAAAGTCAGGAAACAACAGGTGCTGGAGAAGATGTGGAGAAATAGGAACACTTTTACACTGTTGGTGGGACTGTAAACTAGTTAAACCATTGTGGAAGTCACTGTGGCAATTCCTCAGGGATCTAGAACTAGAAATACCATTTGACCCAGCCATCCCATTACTGGGTATATACCCAAAGGATTATAAATCATGCTGCTATAAAGACACATGCACACGTATGTTTATTGTGGCACTATTCACAATAGCAAAGACTTGGAACCAACCCAAATGTCCAACAACGATAGACTGGATTAAGAAAATGTGGCACATATACACCATGGAATACTATGCAGCCATAAAAAATGAAGAGTTCATGTCCTTTGTAGGGACATAGATGAAACTGGAAACCATTATTCTCAGCAAACTATCGCAAGGACAAAAAACCAAACACCGCATGTTCTCACTCATAGGTGGGAATTGAACAATGAGAACACATGGACACAGGAAGGGGAACATCACACTCCGGGGACTGTTGTGGTGTGGGGGGAGGGGGGAGGGATAGCATTAGAAGATATACCTAATGCTAAATGACGAGTTAATGGGTGCAGCACACCAACATGGCACATGTATACATATGTAACAAACCTGCACATTGTGCACATGTACCCTAAAAAGTGTAATAATAAAATTAAAAAATAAGTAATATAACAATGTTGACAAAGATGTTAGGAAAAAACAATTTTGAACAGTCAGAGTTCAAAATTGGTAGAGTCATTATGAAAACTGGGAGGGAGGTTATTTAAAAATTTAAAAAAACAACCTACCCTACAATGCAGCAATTCCACTTCTGTGTGTGTAACTGAAGGGAATAAAAGCAGCATCTTGAAGAATTATCTGCCCCCCTGCCCCACGCCATGGTCACTGAAACAATATTCACAATTGCCAAGGTATAAAGACAAGCTAAATGTTTGTGGATGCTGAATGGATAAAGAAAATATGATATAAATAGACAATAAAATATTACTCAGCCATACAAAAGAATGAAATTGGCCAGGTGTGGTGGCTCACGCCTGTAATCCCAGCACTTTGGGAGGCTGAGACAGGCAGATCACCTGAGGTCAGGAGTTCGAGACCAGTCTGGCCAATATGGTGAAACCCCATCTCTACCAAAAATACAAAAATTAGCCAGGCGTAGTAGCATGTGCCTGTAATCCCAGCTACTCAGGAGGCTGAGGCAGGAGAATTGTTTGAACCCAGGAGGCGGAGGTTGCAGTGAGCTGAGATCATGCCACTGCACTCCAGCCTGGGCAACAGAGCGAGACTGTCTTAAAAAAAAAAAAAGTGAAATCCTGTTATTTCAACAGGATATGTTGATATATGATACACACATATATATTCATGTGACATATGATATACACACATATATATACATATGCACACATACATACATACATACATATAAATGACACATTCCAGGTAAGCTTCATACTAAAAAAGAGAAAATTATAAAATGATAATATTATAACTGTATTACAGTTGGGCACTGGGGAATATAGCGTTTAAATGACCAACCTCAGTTCATACTAAAAAAAATAAAATTTTGAAGTAAAATAACTAGATTATCTTATATTTGGGCAGATGCTTAGTGTTTGGAGAAAATTACTGAGTATAAATTTCTGTAGACTCCCATTAGAAACCTCTGAAGCATACGAAATCATAAAGCAGAACACACAATATCTGTTTACAGGACTTCTGGGATTTCTGAACCAAACACCATCACCACGCCTCTCGCACACTTCAGACACGATGCAAAAAAGGAAATTAGAAAATATTTCGCACAGAGTTCCTCAAACATAGGCAGGTGCAAGCGTGTTCCCAAAAGCAGTGGCCCAGCAAGCAGTGAGAACCATACAGGCCTTTACTCGCCAGGAGGAGGACTCTGATTTTCACTGTGACCTTTATAAAGGAAGATCACTAAACAGGAAGCGGAGTCTGTAGAAGGTTTAAGAGAATGAGACAGAAGAGCTCCTGAAGGCAGCAAGAGAAAGACCCCCAGGCTCTCAGAAGCGCCCTTGCCCGCTTTACCTGCTTGGCGGCGCCTCCTGCGGCCAGTTCCTCGGAGCATCCACCTGTGCAGGGCCCGCGTCCTCCCCTCCCCGCGCCAGCCTGAAGCCCCCGGGCAGCCTCGGTTTCTCCTTTTCTTCTGGATCTCCAGGGACTGCGCGGCACCTGGGGTCCTCTGGTGGGGAATGAATGAGTGAGTGAATGAATGAATGAGGAACAGGGTGGCCATCTGGGTCTCAGTGTCTGTCTGGGGGCGGGGTGGGGGGCGTCCCCTGATGGGTCCGGCTTGTCAGCGCCACTCCTGGGGGCTTCCCGTGGGGGTGGCACAGGGCAGGGCCCCCCCATCTCAGGGCTGCTTCCTGTGGGGAGGGTCCCCGAGAAGCGGAGCGTGGGCTGGTTTTTAGGGGGTAACCCACGAAGGTTCCGCCAGCCCCCGGTCGGTTCTGGGAACCCCCGGGCTTGAGGAACCTGCCCGGCACCGCCCTGGAACCCGGGCCTGCAGCCTCCTCGGGGCCTCGTCTCCTTCCTCCCAGGGAAGCTGTGGGGCAGGGACCTGGTGGACGGCGGGTGGGACCCGACTCCCTCCCATCCCCTCACGGTGGGGTCGCGGCTCTGGGGGCTCCTGGGGCCGCTGCCGGACCCTCAGCTCTGTCGCCGGGGGGCCGCAGTCTCGGGGCGGCACAGATGGGGCGGCTCCAAGGCTTCAGCCACAGACATTGGTTTCCTCTGTTGGGGGCGCGGAGGCCCAAGGTCAGGGAGTCTCAGGGTTTGCTTCCTTCCCAGGCCCCTCCTGGGCTGGGGGCGGGTGTCTCCTGCGCCCCCTCGGGCCGCCCTCTGCGGGTCTGTCTCCTCTCCCCATGCGGATCCCAGTGAGTCGGGATCAGGCCCACCCTGGGGATATCATTTAAACTGAAAGACCTGTTCAATGGCCCCACCTTCAAATCAGGCCCCGTCCTGAGGGATTGGGGACCAGGCCTTCCACGCAGTGTGGGGCACACACTTTAGCCTGTCACACAGGATTCCCTGGGCCCCTAAGTACTGCAGCCAGGGTGGCTCTGGAACTGGGTGTGGCAGAGAAGGGGGTTGTGTCTGTTTCGCGGGGTCCCTGCTGGAGACGTTTCCGGCACTTCTTGATAGTGACTTTAATCCTCAAGGCAGCTGCGTGTTTTTCATGTCACAGGCACAGAGGAGTTAAGTATGAATAACTTGCCCGGAATGGCACAGCTGGCAGTGCAGGGATCAGATTAGCTAAGAAGGAACTAAGTCAGGGGTCTTGACCTTGGCCTGAGAACGGTATAAGTGAGACACTGGGAGAACTGCGGAGCTCTGATGCCGCCTGGAGAACCATCCTGTGGGGGAGTGAGTTGGGGGGTACTAAAGGGTGTGAGCTTTCCTTCTGAGGCGATGAAACGTTCTATAACTGATTATGGTGACGGGTGCACAGCGCTGTGAATACGTTAAAAGCATTGAATTGTATACCTTAAGCGGGCTAATTGTGTGGCATATGAATTGTATCTCAATAAAGCTGTTACCAAAAAAAAGAAGAGGTGTCAGAGAGGTTGGGGAGCAGTGAAGCCGTGGTTGTACTGATGGACAGAGAGTTCTGGTGAGATCAAAGCATTGGAGAAAGAGAGCTAGAAAAAGGAGGGTGGCTGGAAGCGGGGTGCATGGGACAGACCCCAGTGGGGTGCCCTGCTGAGAACAAGGTCACAGATATCACCACAGGGATGAGAGGTGGGGAAGGATCATTTACTTGTGTGTGGAAATCACTAAAAATTAACCTAGAAATTGTGTTGGAAAAAGTAGTCACGAGCCAGAAGCTAAAATCATGAAGAAATTGGGAAGAGGTTGGCAAGGCATACCAGACAGCACATAATGGAAACAGAGATGAAGGCTCTGGAGAAGACAGAGTGGGATGGGCTGGCGGTGAGGGGAAGACATTACCCATTCTCTGGGACCAGTTCCCAAACTGAACACTTGGGCTTGTCAGTTTTCTTACTCGATTCCTTTCTATCCTTACATTTTTTGTGTCTAAAGATGTACCCAATTCTGAAAGTGAGATCTTTAACTCTCCCTCCATAGTCTTTTATTTTTATGATATGTGTTAATTTTTATTTCATGGCTCACTGCAGACTCGATTTCCCAGGCTCAATGATTTTCCCACCTAAGCCTCCTGAGTAGCTGGAACTACCGGTGTGCACCAGTATGCCTGGCTAATTTAAAACAATTTTTTTTTTCTAGAGATGATATCTTCCTATATTGCCAAAGCTGGTCTTGAACTCCTGGCCTCAAGTGATCCTCCTGCCTTGGCCTCCCTGGATTACAGGCACCCTGAGATTGCAGGCATGAGCCACTGTATTTGGCCTGTTTGGTGTTTGGTGCTTTGGCCCTAAATCCCAACTGCCAACTTGCTGCTGTCTGTCCTTTTCTTTTCCTTTCTGGTCATTTCATTTTATTTTATTTATTTTTGCTGTTATCCGTCTCCCTTTTTATGTTCAACGTGTCTCTATCACTTTGTTTTAGGTGAATTACTTGGAAACTGCACAACACACCCGCTGTTTTCAACAGAGTTCAGTCACCTCTTGAGGGCTCTTCTGATTCTTATCTTGGTAGAGCATCTCCTCAAGGATTTCTGCAGGTGAGTACACTGGTGACATGATGCTGTATTCTTGGTCGAGTACACTGGTGACGTGTTGCTGTATGCTTGGGTGAGTACACTGTGACATGTTGCTGTATGCTTGGGTGAGTACACTGGTGACATGTTGCTGTATGCTTGGGTGAGTATGCTGTGACATGTTGCTGTATGCTTGGGTGAGTACACTGGTGACATGTTGCTGTATGCTTGGGTGAGTACACTGGTGACATGTTGCTGTATTCTTGGGTGAGTATGCTGGTGACATGTTGCTGTATTCTTGGGCGAGTACACTGGTGACATGTTGCTGTATTCTTGGGTGAGTACACTGGTGACCTGTTGCTGTATTCTTGGGCGAGTACGCTGGTGACATGTTGCTGTATGATTGGGTGAGTACGCTGGTGACATGTTGCTGTATTCTTAGGCCAGTATGCTGGTGACATGATGCTGTATTCTTGGGCGAGTACGCTGGTGACATGTTGCTGTATTCTTGGGTGAGTGCATTGATGACGTGTTGCTGTATTCTTGGGTAAGTACACTGGTGATATGTTGCTGTATTCTTGGGCGAGTACACTCGTGACATGTTGCTGTATTCTTGGGTGAGTACACTGGTGACATGTTGCTGTATGCTTGGGTGAGTACACTGGTGACATGTTGCTGTATTCTTGGGCGAGTACACTCGTGACATGTTGCTGTATTCTTGGGCGAGTACACTGGTGACATGTTGCTGTATTCTTGGGCGAGTACATGTTGCTGTATTCTTGGGCGAGTACACTAGTGACATGTTGCTGTATTCTTGAGCGAGTACACTCGTGACATGTTGCTGTATTCTTGGGCGAGTACACTCGTGACATGTTGCCGTATTCTTGGGCGAGTACGCTGGTGACATGTTGCTGTATTCTTGGGCGAGTACATGTTGCTGTATTCTTGGGCGAGTACACTAGTGACATGTTGCTGTATTCTTGGGCGAGTACACTAGTGACATGTTGCTGTGTTCTTGGGCGAGTACACTCGTGACATGTTGCCATATTCTTGGGCGAGTACGCTGGTGACATGTTGCTGTATTCTTGGGCGAGTACATGTTGCTGTATTCTTGGGCGAGTACACTAGTGACATGTTGCTGTATTCTTGGGCGAGTACACTAGTGACATGTTGCTGTATTCTTGGGCGAGTACACTCGTGACATGTTGCTGTATTCTTGGGCGAGTACGCTGGTGACATGTTGCTGTATTCTTGGGCGAGTACATGTTGCTGTATTCTTGGGCGAGTACACTAGTGACATGTTGCCGTATTCTTGGGCGAGTACGCTGGTGACACGTTGCCGTATTCTTGGGCGAGTACGCTGGTGACACGTTGCCGTATTCTTGGGCGAGTACGCTGGTGACACGTTGCCGTATTCTTGGGCCAGTAGGCTGGTGACACGTTGCCGTATTCTTGGGCGAGTACGCTGGTGACACGTTGCCGTATTCTTGGGCGAGTACGCTGGTGACACGTTGCCGTATTCTTGGGCGAGTACGCTGGTGACACGTTGCCGTATTCTTGGGCGAGTACGCTGGTGACATGTTGCCGTATTCTTGGGCCAGTACGCTGGTGACATGTTGCCGTATTCTTGGGCGAGTACGCTGGTGACATGTTGCCGTATTCTTGGGCGAGTACGCTGGTGACATGTTGCTGTATTCTTGGGCCAGTACGCTGGTGACATGTTGCTGTATTCTTGGGTGAGTACGCTGGTGACATGTTGCTGTATTCTTGGGCGAGTACGCTGGTGACATGTTGCTGTATTCTTGGGTGAGAATGCTGAGGACATGCTGCTGTATTCTTGGGCGAGTACATTGGTGACATGCTGCTGTGTTCTTAGGTGAGTACACTGGTGAAACAATGCCCAATCGCACGGCCAAGAGATTTGAGGAGCAGGGACATCTGGTAAGCAGACTTCAGTTTCTTTTCAGTAATGTGCCCCTCTTATGCTCTCCTCAGGGTTTAGCATGCATCCCTTAAACAAAGAAAGTAGCCTCATATAAGCAATGGTTTTGTGACTAGAGTGCCTCAGTCCATTATTGCTGCTATAAGATAATAATTGACCTGGGTAATTGATAAAGAACAGAAATGTACTTTCTCAGAGTCCTGAAGGCTGGGAAGTCCAAGATCAAGGTGCTGATATCTGGTGTGGGCCTTCTTACTGTGTCTTCACATATTGGAAGGCAGAAGGGCAAGAGAGCATGAATATGTTGTCCTCACATGGCAGAAGAACAGAAAGGGGTGAATGCCCTCTCTCAAGTCCTTCTTGGAGCAGCACTAATTCATTCCAAGTACCTTTTGTTAGGCCCCACCTCCCAACACTCTTGCATTGGGGATGAAGTTTCTAATACATGAATTTTGGGGGACACATGCAGACCATGGCATAAAGGAACCTCTCTCCCCACATGGAGTACAACTGAGCAGGGAACCCAGCTGAGCAGCTGAAGTAAGCAGCCTAAGAGGAGTGAACACTCTGCCTGGGGAAGAGAGAAAACAACAGCAGAGAGACTTGTGAGATTTTCAGAAATAATTGAGTAGGGGAAAAGATTCCCCACAAACAACAAGATGAGGATAGATTATTCTTATTTGGATAGGAAAGGAAAGGATATTGTCTGGGTGCAGTGGCTCACACCTGCAATCCCAGCACTTTGGGAGGCCAAGGTAGGAGGATCACTGGAGGCCAGGAGTTTGAGACCAGCCAGAGCAACATGGCAAGGCCCCATCTCTACAAAAAGTTTAAAAGTTAGCTGGGTATGGTGATACATGCCTATATTCCCAGCTACCTAGGAGGCCAAGGCGGGAAGATTCCTTAAGCCCAGAAGTTTGAAGGTGCAGTAAGCTGTGGTCACGTCACTGCAATCCAGCCCAGGTGACAGAGGAAGACTTCATCTAAAAAAAAAAAAGTGATCCCCAGTAATATAGTTTGCATGCTTCCTCCAAATCTTATGTTGGTGGGGCCTGCTGGGAGGTGTTTGGATCATGGGTGTAGATTTTTCATGAATGGTTTAGCACCATCTCCTTGGTGATGAATAAGTTCGAGCAAGATCTGGTTGTTTAAAAATATGTGGCACTGACCAGGCATGGTGGCTCATGCATGTCATCTCAACACTTTGGGAGGCTGAGGTGGGCAGATCACCTGAGGTCAGGAGTTCGAGACCAGCCTGACCAACAGGGAGAAACCCTGTCTCTACTAAAAATACAAAATTAGCCAGGTGTGGTGGTGCATGCCTGTACTCCCAGCTATTCGGGAGGCTGAGGCAGGAGAATCACTTGAACCTGGGAAGCGGAGGTTGCGGTGAGCCGAGATCATGCCATTGTACTCCAGCCTGAGTAACAAGAGCAAAACTCCATCTCAAAAAAAAAATGTGTGGCCTCTGTCCCTCCACCAGCTCTCTCTTTCTCAGCTGTCACCATGTGGCATGCCTGCTCCTGCTTTGCCTTCTACCATGAATAAAAGCTCCCTGAGGGCCTCACCAGAAGCTGAGCAGATGTCGGTGCCATGCTTGTACAACTAGCAGAACCAGGAGCCAATTAAACCTTTTTTATTTATAAATTACCCAGCCTCAGATATTTCTTTATGGCAACACAAAAAATACAGAAAACTGTACCAGGAATGGTATGTTGCTATAAAGTCACCTGAAAATGTGGAGGTGACTTTGGAACTGGGTAATGGCCAGAGATTGGAAGATTTTTGGAGGGCTCAGAAGAAGACAGAAAGATGAGGAAAAGGTGGGAACTCCTTTGAGACTGGTTAAATGGTTGTGTCCAAAATAATTAAAGTGATAAGAACAATGAAGTCCAGCCTGATGAGGTCTCAGATGGAAATGAGGAACTTACTGAAAACTAAAACAAAGATCACTTGTGTTACACCTTGGCAGAGAGCTTGACCATATTGTGCTTCATGCCCTAGGGGGCTCTGAAAATTTCTACTTAGGAGTGATGACTTAGGATATCTAGTGGAAGAAATTTCTAAGCAGCAAACATTCAAGCTGTGGCCTGACTGAATCTAACATCGTATTCTCACATGCAAGAGCACATAAATGAATTAAAGTTGGAATTTATATTTAAAAGGGAATCAAAGTGTAAAAGTTTGGAAACTTTGCAGCATGGCCATGTGGCAGAGAATGAAAAAGCATTATCAGGAGAGGAATCCAAGCAGGCTATAGAGCAACCACCTGCTAGAGATATTAGCATGACTCAAAAAACAAACAAAAAAACCCAAGTGCTAATAGCCAACACAATTGGAAAAGACTTCAAATGCATTTCAAAAGTGTTTGAGACAGCCCCTCTCATCACTGACCTAGAGGTCTAGGAGGACACCATGGTTTCAGGGGCTCACCCCAGGCCCTCACTGCCCTGCATAGCCTTGGAGCACTGCTCCCCACACATAGGCTACTCCAGCTCCAGCCTCAGCTCAAAAGACCCCAAATGTAACTCTGGCTTCAGAGGGTGCAAGCCATAAGCCTTGGTAGCTCCCATGTGGTGTTAAGCCTGTAGGTGCGTAGAATACAAGAGTGAAGGAGGCTTGGGATCCTCTACCTAGATTGCAGAGGATTTATGAGAAAGCCTGGGCACTCAGGCAGAAGCCTGCTGCAGGGGCAGAGCCCGCACAGAGGATATATACTAGGGCAGTGTAGAGGGGAAATGTGGAGTAGGAGGCCCACACAGAGTCCCCACTGGGGCATTGCTTAATTGAGCTGTGGGGAGGAGGACACCATCCTCCAGGCCCCAGAATGGTAGAGCCACTGGCAGCTTACATCTTGAGCATGGAGAAGCTGCAGGCACACAACTCCAACCCATGAGAGCAGCTGCAGGGTGCGAACCTTGCAAAGCCACAAGGGTGGAGTTCCCCAAGGCCTTAGGAGCCCACCCCTCACTCCAGTGTACCCTGGATGTGGGACTGGGAGTCCAAGGACATTATTTTGGAGCTTTAAGATTTAATGGCTGCCCTGCTGGATTTCAGACATGCATGGGGTCTGTAGCCCCTTCCTTTGGGCTGATTTCTCCCTTTTGGAATGGGAATGTTTACCCAATGCCTCCACCCTCATGTATCTTCAAAGTAAATAATGTGTTTTGATTTTCACAAGTTCATTGGTGGAAGGGACTTGGACTTGGGACTTTGGACTTGATGTTGGAATGAGTCAAGACATTGAGAGGACTGTTGGGAAGAGATGATTCTATTCTGCAATGTAAGGACATGAGATTTGAGGGGTCAAGGGGATAATGATACAGTTGGGATGTCCCCTCCAAATCTCTTGTCGAAATGTAATCCCCAGTGTTGAAGGAGGGGCCTGCAAGGAGGTGTTTAGGTCATGGGGGCGGATCCCTCATGACTGGCTTAGCGCCATCTCCTTGGTGATGAGTGTGTTCACTCAGATCTGGTTGTTCGCAAGTGTGTGGCCCCTCCTCACCCCTTGCTCCCACTCTCACGATGTGGTGAGCCTGCTCCTGCTTCACCTTCCACCATGAGGAAAAGCTCCCTGAGGGCCTGCCCAGAAGCTGAGCAGAGGTGGGTGCCATGCTTGTGCAGCCTGCAGAACCATGAGCCATTCTAACCTTTCCTTTATAAATTACCCAGCTTCAAGTATTTCTTTAGAGCAATGCAAAACTGAGAATGGCATGAGTAAAATATAAAGACCATGGATAATTTTGAAATCTAAAAATGTGAAATTAATATTCCTGGGGGAGTCAACACAGGAAAGATGAGAGCACGTGGGCAAAGGCTGTTGCCCATTGGTCACATGTGGTCAGCAGAGAGCAGGTGACCAGCACCCTGGAGCTTTGCGGGAAGCACCAGACAGCCTGGAGCTGAGGTTTCAATTGTAGGGGCCAAAACAAATAGGGAAAAAGACAAATTTAGTAAACAAAGAAAGTAGATGCTCAACTGAGCCAGGAGGAAGTCACTAGCAAAGAGGAAAAAAAATAGAGCTCTGGAAAAATAGCGTAAACAGTCACAAGGAAGCGACCCTGTATTGTGCCTGACCTCTGGACAGGTATATAAAGAGCCCGGGCTCAGGGGGCTCCACACCTGCACCTCCCTCTCACCTGCTCCTCTACCTGCTCCACCCTCAATCCACCAGAACCATGGGCTGCTGTGGCTGTTCCGAAGGCTGTGGCTCCGGCTGTGGGGGCTGTGGCTCCGGCTGTGGGGGCTGTGGCTCTGGCTGTGGGGGATGTGGCTCCAGCTGCTGTGTGCCCGTCTGCTGCTGCAAGCCCGTGTGCTGCTGTGTGCCAGCCTGTTCCTGCTCCAGCTGTGGCTCCTGTGGGGGCTCCAAGGGAGGCTGTGGCTCCTGTGGGGGCTCCAAGGGGGGCTGTGGCTCTTGTGGGGGTTCTAAGGGGGGCTGTGGTTCTTGTGGCTGCTCCCAGTGCAGCTGCTATAAGCCCTGCTGCTGCTCCTCAGGCTGTGGGTCATCCTGCTGCCAGTCCAGCTGCTGTAAGCCCTGCTGCTGCCAGTCCAGCTGCTGTAAGCCCTGCTGCTGTTCCTCAGGCTGTGGGTCATCCTGCTGCCAGTCCAGTTGCTGCAATCCCTGCTGCTCCCAGTCTAGCTGCTGTGTCCCCGTGTGCTGCCAGTGTAAGATCTGAGGCTCTGGACTCAGGTCTCATGTGAGTCCTGCTAACCCCATTTTCCGAAGCTGTGACCTGTCCTTCATCGTTGAGCCCCAAACCACTGCTCAGGGTCCATTCCTCACTATAAGATGAAGCCATATCTGCCTGCCTTTTCCTAAGGAGAGTCCACCCTAATTAATGTCCATTCCCTCCTAACAAATTCTCTTCCCAAGTCAACTGCAACTGCGGCTGAATCACCCCTCACCCGCTAGCCTTGCCTTTGCTTGTGTATTCAGAGGCCTGAGCTCCTGAACCCACTTGAAGTCCTGTCTTTTCCAGCTGGAGCAGCTGGGCATGAGTGTCCCACCTGCAACAAGGTGGGCGTTTAAGAGGCTTCCTTGGAGTGGCTTTGCCTGTCCAACACTCTGCTTTATCTTAAATGAAAAGTTGCAAACTAATAAAAATACCATGCCGACAAACTGAAACACATATCTTGCTGATTTCTCTGTTGTTCGGGGTCATTACTATGGCTATGGCTATTGTTTTCTTGTTCTTGTTGTGTTTCGGACTGCGTGGGTCTGATGCTGATGTTGCTGGAAGGTGCTAGGATGGGGCTGGCTGTCTCCTCTGCCTCTCATCTCCTTCCTGGCTGACCCCTCTTTTCTCAGAACCCCTCTCTTCCTAGGTCTTTCCAGCTATTGATCTGATGGAGACAGGACTGTTCCTCAGGCCAGGGCCACAGAAGCAGAAGAGGCTGCTGAAAACTCTGGGGAGTTCAGACTTGCCTCCTTTCCCTGGTCCAGGCCTCTGCCATCTTCCTTTGGGAAGTTTTTGTAACCAACTTACTCTGATTGTCTTTGTTGTTACACAGCCTGTTGCCTCTGTAAATAAACACTCCTAGCACCAAGCCAATATTGCTTTTTAAGAATTTTGAAAGGGCCGGGCGTAGTGGCTCACGCCTATAATCCCAGCACTTTGGGAGGCCGAGGCAGGCGGATCACTTGAGGTTAGGAGTTTGCGACCTGACTGGCCAACATGGTGAAACCCTGTCTCTACTAAAAATATAAAAATTAGCTGAGTGTGGTGGCACGTGTCTGTAATCCTGGCTACTTCGGAGGCTGAGGGAGGAGAATGGCTTCAACCTGGGAGGGGGAGGTTGTGATGAGTCGAGGTCGCGCCACTGCACTCCATTCTGGGCGACAGAGCAAGACTCCGTCAAAAAAAAAAAAAGGCAATATTAATAGAGTTGAATTATTTCAAGTTATTTGGAAACACAGCAATTTATTGGTGGGATATGTCCTAAGCATAGAAAGAACACAAAAATAAAATTCCTAAGCTATTTTTAGTAGTCATGGTGGCAGCAGTGGTGTCGTTATTCTGCTGTGAATGCTGTATGGAAAAAGCAAATGCATAATTAGGTTGGTATCAGAACTAGAATTTTTGGTGTGGAACTGATGAGGTTAAGTAAAAACCTTGTCATCCTGAATTTGAATTAGATATATCGATATGAAATCATGATGTTTTTTATCCAAATAAAAATAGTTTCCTCCTCCATTGGAAGACTTAGAAATAATGAGCCATCCTGTAGCAGTGAACACTCCTAGCACCAAGACTGTTTGTTATCTTCAAATGCTATTTATTGTATCTACCTGGAACCTGGCTTCTCTGGTGAATGGGCTGGAAGCGAACAAGACAAATCTAGAACATCTTGTTATCCCAGAAAGCAGAGATGATAACTAAGACTAATGCAGTCACATCAAAAGAACTAAAGAGTCAGCCGGGCAAGGTGGCTCATGCCTGTAATCCCAGCATTTTGGGAGGCTGAGGCGAGTGGATCACTTGAGGTCAGGAGTTCGAGACCAACCTGACCAACATGGTGAAACCCTGTCTCTACTAAATACAAAAAATTAGCCAGGTGTGGTGGTGCATGGCTGCTGAGGCGAGTGGATCACTTGAGGTCAGGAGTTCGAGACCAGCCTGACCAACATGGTGAAACCCTGTCTCTACTAAATACAAAAAATTAGCTGGGTGTGGTGGTGCATGCCTGTAATCCCAGCTACATGGGAGGCTGAGGCAGGAGAACCCTTTGAACCTGGGAGGCAAAGATTGCAGTGAGCTGAGGTGGCGCCATTGCACTCCCGCCTGAGCAGCAAGAACAAAACTCTGTCTCAGAAAAAAGAAAAAAAAAATGGTGAGAGGCAAACCTAGAGAAACTCTCTGTAGACAGACTTGGGACAACCTGAACACCAATTTCTTAAATGGACTGATACACATCAAATATGTTTAAACTAGGAGTGAGTAATCATACACAAAAAATAATAATACAGATCCTATGCAAACTGTAAAACTTAGTTGCCTTTAGAGGATTCTAGGAATCAGTTCATTATTTTAAAGATGACTAAGTAAAGGAAAATAATCAGGCACTTATTCTATCTCTGACAGACAAACTCTATCTTATGGTAACAAAATTAGAGGAAGTATTCCAGTTTATAAATAAAGAAGAAATCATAGAATTAGAAACTCATCATTTTGTAACCCCTAATGAAATAATGGGGCTATCAAATTTACTGCATGCAGCCAAATCAGTGGAAAATTTATAGCCTTAAATGCATATGTTAGAGTAAAAATGAAAAACTTAAGCTCATTTAGCCAAAAACCTATCTATAGGACTGGCAGCATTGCCACGCAGAGCACAGAATGGGGTGATAATTAGGGCTATTTGTAGGCATCCTGGTTCTCCTCTCCTTCTGGGAACAGGTTGGATGGCAGGTAATAGGGTGGCCCTTTCATGAGCCCTCTCTAAGTCAGGTGTGGCCATGTGATTTGCTTGCGTCAGTGGGAAGAAGTTTGAAGCACCTGCTGCAGTTTTCTGCATTCTCTCTTTCTTCCCCCACCATGACCACTAACGTTCCAAGCAGTGGCTGCTGCTTCCGACTGAGTCCCAGAGTGATGAAGTACAGAGCAGAGTCACCAGCTGATGTGCAGTGACCTGCGATGTGAACAAGAAGTAAGCCTGTGTCGTGTGAAGTCACTGAAACGTGGGGGTGGCGCGTGTGAGCAGCGTAATTGGTCTATCCTGGTTGACCCAGAAACCTACCAGAACACAAACATAGCATTGTGGCCTTGGTTTATTGGTCAGGGGGTGGGTGGAAAGGAAAGCTATCGGAGGCGAGAAAGGTAGTTATTATGTGTTTGGTAAGACTGTCCTAGATCGTGTATCCCTGAGGGAAGAGTTCAGAAAACACAGTGCCACTCCCGCGTGGGTCATTGTGGCTGCATTTATCAAAGCATTACAAGAACAGGGTGAGCTCGAAAGAACCGGCTGGTTTCAGCCAGGAGGAAAGTTCTAGAAAGCCTGGAGAAACCTGGGGAGCTACAGAGTTCTCAGTTCTGCCTGGTAAATGATAAGACTTAGAAGGCCTTTGAGCAGCAAAGGACAATTAAAGCAGAAATGAAAAGAACCGTCTTTAAGGGTACACTCTGATGAGATTCCATGAGGGCGGACCACACCACAGGTAGGGAGTTGGTGGCTGCCTCCAGCCTTGCCAGTGGGGCAGGAGGGGCTGCTGTGGGGTCAGTGGATCCAGAAGACGCCAGAAACTTCTCCCCACTGTGGCTCACCAGGCGTTCTCTTTGCTTGGCCTGTGGCTCCCGTGGGTAAATTTGTGTCTTGCTGTGTAATAAAGAGGTTTCTCCAGGGAAGAGGGGGAAGTCTTTGGCCCAGGCTGGACCAAGTGACCTGCAGATTAAAGATAGCCTCACTATCACAGTAACAGGCACCAAAGAAAGGCCTGCTGCCGGCCATTGTTGGAAATAGGCCCAGCAGAACCAATGCTGTCTGTGCTTGTGGTGTGGGGGGTAGAAGAGAAATCAAAAGAAACCCCAAACCGGCCAGGCGCGGTGGCTCATGCCTGTAATCCCAGCACTTTGGGAGGCTGGGGCGGGTGGATCACGAGGTCAAAAGATCAAGATCATCCTGGTCAACATGGTGAAACCTCATCTATACTAAAAATACAAAAACTAGCCGGGCGGGGTAGCACGCATCTGTAGTCCCAGCTACTTGGAAGGCTGAGGCAGGAGAATTGCTTGAACCTGGAAGGCAGTGGTTGCAGTGAGCCAAGATCCTGCCACTGAACTCCAGCCTGGCGACACAGCGAGACTCTGTCAAAAAAACAAACAAACAAACAAACAACAAAAAAACCCACAAAACCTTCCTTAAAAATGAACAGATGTCACATAATTGTTAGCAAGATTTAGGACATAGTTGTAACTCTCCATGAAATCAACAAAGAGAAAATCACGTGTTGGATATTTTATGCATTTTTTTGATAAAATCATAGGATTGCCTGTTGCAACATCCTTCATTTCACAGTTGGCCGTTACAGAATGACGCTGAAGACATTACAGAATGACGTTACAGAATCACGTTGCAAAACCAACTGAGCTCCTTCTCATCCTTCACGAACGCCTCTCTTCGAGGTCAACTCACCCCATTGGGAAGTCCCTATCTTGTCTCCTTGGCCAGCTTCTCTTTTAGGGTGAACCGCCTGATCTTCACTGCAGTGGCCTTGCCTGGCTCCCAGCAGATGTTCTCCAATGTCACTTTCAGTGACATCACAGAATCCTACATTTCTTTCTTTTTTGCAAGCATTGCAATTTTACTTAAAATTTGCACTGTAAATATGACTGTGGAAAATGTATTTAAGAGAGCTGGTTCTGCAAAGACAGGGAAGAGATTTGGGAGGCAGGGGTGTGGGAATAAGCGATATTCTTAAGTAAGTGAGCTGCTTGAGTGGAGGACACTTTTAGAAGTGGTCAGCTTGGGCTTGGCATGGTGGCTTACTCCTGTAAGCCCAGTATTTTGGGAGGTTAAGGAAGAAGGAACACTTTAGCTCAGGAGTTCAAGACCAGCCTGGGTGACATAGCAAGACCCCGTCTCTACAGAAAAATAAAATAATTAGCTGGGCTAAATTATTAGCTGGGCTAATAATTTTTTTATTTTTTTTCTACAGAAAAATAAAAAAAATTAGCTGTGGTGGTGCACACCTGCAGTCCCAGCTAATGGGGAGGCTGAGGTGGAAGAATCTCTTGAGCCTGGGAAGTTGAGGCTACAGTGAGTTATGATTGCACCACTATACTCCCGCCCGGGTGACAGAGTGAGACCCTGTCTTAAATAAATAAATAAATAAATAAAAGACATGGTCAGCTTGTTTACTTGTTTGTGATTATTTTCTTTTTTTCCTTCTTCTTCCTCTTTTCTTTTCTTTTTTTTTTTTCAATAGAGGTAGAGTCTCACTGTGTTGCCCAGGCTAGTCTTCAACTCCTAGGCTCAAAGGATCCTCCTGCCTCAGTCTCTCGAGTAGCTGGTACTACAGGCATGCACCACTGCCGCTAGTGAATATTTTCAAGACCAGATGGTCCCCCCAACCCAAGGAATCTTGGATAATGAGTGAAGGGAGACCCTGTATGGGGCCTGGAGAAGCTGGCTATGTGTGGAGTGGTCACTGAGGGAGCATCTTAGCATGAATCTTGGTCAGAGTGATCGGGGAACCAGACTCAGTCTGGAAACAAGCAGGGTACACCTTCAGCTTACAGACAGCAGATTGTGGAGCTGCTCAGCCTCCATAATTACATAGTTCAATTCTTCAGAATCATCTGTGTATCTCTCTATCTATCTATCCATCCATCTATCATCTATGTGCCTCCATATCCATTTATGTTTTTGTTGTTGAGATGATCAAGTTGGTTCTAAAATTTCGTTGGAAAAGCAAAGGAATTGAAAAAAAGAAAACAATCTTTAAAAAGAAGAATGAGGTTGAAGTCTCACAATACTTGACTTCAAAATCTCCCATAATGTCACAGTGACGCTGTGTTTGCATTAGGAAGCAGCATACAGACCTGCGGAGCAGGACACAGGAACAAACTCGCCATAGTGTCGGCTGATTCTCATTAAAAACATCAGCGATTTCAGTGGGATAAGGATGGTTGGTTTATTTATTTGTTTATATAGTCATTTATTTATTCATTTTTCAGATGGAATTTTGCTCTTGTTGCCCAGGCTGGAGTGCAATGGGATGATCTCGGCTCACTGCAACCTCCACTTCCCGGGTCCAAGCAATTCTCCTGCCTCAGCTTCCCGAGTAGCTGGGATTACAGGCCTGTGCCACCACACCCACCTAATTTTGCATTTTTAGTAGAGACAGGGTTTCTCTATGTTGGTCAGGCTGGTCTTGAACTCATGACCTCAGGTGATCTGCCCATATAGGCCTCCCAAAGTGCTGGGATTACAGGCAAACCACCTTTGTTTGTTTGTTTGTTTTGAGACGGAGTCTCACTTTGTCGCCCAGGCTGGAGTGCAGTGCCACAATCTTGGCTCACTGCAACCTCTGCCTCCTGGGTTCAAGCGATTCTCCTGCCTCAGCCTCCTGAGTAGCTACGATTACAGGCGCCCACCACCACGCCCAGCTAATTTTTGTATTTTTAGTAGAGATGGAGTTTCGCCACGTTGGCCAGGCTGGTGTTGAACTCCTTACCTCAGGTTATCTTACCTCGTCGGCCTCCCAAAGTGCCTGGATTACAGGCGTGAGCCACTGCGCCTGGCCACGATAGTCTTTTTATCAAATGCTGCTGAAACAATTGGATGAAAATGTGAAAAAATGGATCTCAACTCCTACCTCACATTACACACAAAAATTAGCTTGAGATCCAGCATAGAACTAAATATAGAAACAAAAACTCTAATGCTTCTAGAGGAAAAGCTAGGAAAGAGAGTTTTCAAAAAGGTCACAAGAAAGCACTAGCTGTCAAAGAAACAAATGTTAAATTGCACTTCAAAATCAAAAACGTTTCCCTATAAAAATAAGATAATAATAAGGCAAATCAAATACTGAAAAATTATATATTATGTATTATACATACATATATATTATATATACACATATGTAGGGAAAAGAAAGAGAGATCAGACTGTTACTGTGTCTATGTAGAAAACGAAGACATCAGAAACTCCATTTTGACCTGTACCCTGAACAATTGCTTTGCCCTGAGATCCTGTTAATCTGTAACTTTGCCCCAACCTTGAGCTCACAAAAACATGTGTTGTATGGAATCAAGGTTTAAGAGATCTAGGGCTGTGCAGGACGTGCCTTGTTAACAAAATGTTTACAGGCAGTATGCTTGGTAAAAGTCATCGCCATTCTCCAGTCTCGAGTAACCAGGGGCACAATGCACTGCTGAAAGCCGCAGGGACCTCTGCCCTGCAAACCTGGGTATGGTCCAAGGTTTCCCCCCAGGTGATAGCCTGAGATATGGCCTCGTGGGATGGGAAAGACCGTCCCCCAGCCCGACACCCATGAAGGGTCTGTGCTGAGGAGGATTAGTAAAAGAGGAAGGCCACTTGCAGTTGAGATAAGAGGAAGGCCTCTGTCTCCTGCCTGTCCCTGGGAACTGAATGTCTCAGTGTAAAACCCGATTGTACATTTGTTCTATTCTGAGATAACAGAAAAACCCCCCTGTGGCAGGAGGCGAGACATGTCGGCAGCAATGCTGCTCTGTTATTCTTTACTCCACTGAGATGTTTGGGTGGAGAGAAGCATAAATCTGGCCTACGTGCACATCCAGGCATAGTACCTCCCCTTGAACTTAATTGTGACACGGATTGCTTTGCTCACATGTTTTCTTGCTGACCTTCTCCCCACTATCACCCTGCTCTCCTGCCTCATTCCTCTCGCTGAGATAGTGAAAATAGTAATCAATAAATACTGAGGGAACTCAGAGGCCTGTGCCGGCACAGGTCCTCCGTATACTGAGTGCCGGTCCCCTGGGCCCACTTTTCTTTCTCTATACTTTGTCTCTGTGTCTTATTTCTTTTCTCAGTCTGTCGTCCCACCTGATGAGAAATACCCACAGGTGTGGAGGGGCTGGCCCCCTTCACACATATATGCATGTATATAAAATACATGTGTAAATATATATATATATACATACATATGGCAAAGCATTTCATTCATATATTCTTGATATTGAATTTATGAAGAGTTCCAACAACTCAATAACCCTACAATAAAGTGGGCAAACAATTTTAACAAAACCTTTTAACAAGAAAGATGTGAAAATGACCAGTAAGTGCAAGAAAAGACCCTCACAAACATTAGTCATCAGAGAAACGCAGATCAAAATCCACATGAGAGGCAATTTTACACCCATCCGACGCCTCACATTTGAAAACCCAATGGCGGTACTGACAGGCCTGGGGCAGCGGACGCTCTCAGGCATTGCTGAGGAGAAGGGAAAGCAGCTTGAGCGTTTGGAAAGCTGTCTGTTTCTTAGAAAGTTAAGCATACACTACTCTATGGTCTAGCAAGGCCAGTCCTCAATATTTAACCAAAAAATTAAAACCAAAAACATGAATACGGAAGGACTGGAAGGCATGATTATGTGTTATTTATCATCGCCCCAAACTGCGAACAATTCAAATATCTATGAACAGGAGAATGGAGGAACGCCGTGGAGAGTATTTTTACACGAAACACTACGCGATGATTAAAAAAGAAGAATAAGGCCAGACGTGGTGGCTCATGCCTGTAGTCCCAGCACGTTGGGAGGCTGAGGCAGGTGGATTGCCTCAGCCCAGGAGGTCGAGGCTGCGGTGAGCCATGAGCGCACCACTCTGCACTCCAGCCTGGGTGACAGAGCAAGACCCTGTCTCAAAAAAAAAAAAAAGAAGAAGAAGAAGAAGGGCAAATCATTGACACACACAATAACATCGTGAGGGAAAGAAACCAGAGTACATTTTTAATGATTTCATTTCCGCGACATTCAATAGCAGGCAAAACTAGTCAGCAAAGCTGTGCCTGTAGTGATGGGCAGGAAGGGAAGGCCGTGAAAGTGAACCTTCTGGGGTTGAAGCAGTTGGTCATGGTTGGGGTGATGGGCACACGAGTACATGTTTAGCGGAACTCATGGAATTGTACACTTAAAGTATGTGCAGAGGCTGGTAGGCCAAGGCTGCAGTGAGCTAGGATCGCACCACTGCCCTCCAGCCTGGGCGACAGAATGAGACACTGCCTCAAAAAAAAAAAAAAAAAAAAAAAAAAAAAAAAAAAAATGCAGTCCGGGTGTGGTGGCTCATGCCTGTAATCCCAACACTTTGGGAGGCCGAGGCAGGTGGATTACTTGAGGTCAGGAGTTCGAGACCAGACAGGCCAACGTGGTGAAACCCCCTCTCTACTAAAAATACAAAAATTAGCTAGGCATGGTGGCACACGCCTGTAATCCCAGCTACTCAGGGGGCTGAGGCAGGAGAATTGCTTGAACTCGGGAGGCAGAGGTTGTAGTGAGCCGAGATCATGCCACTGCACTCCAGCCTGGGCAACACAGTGAGATTTAGTCTCAAAAAAAAAGCATTTCACTGCATGTAAATTTTACCTCAATATAAAATTAAAATTAATCTTCGGAAAATAAAAGTACATTAGAGAGGATGGCTAATCAAAATTTTTGTAGCCTTCAAGGAGAATAAATTTGAAGCATATCTGTTGATTTGTGGAATTTTTACAAAGACTTAATTGAGGAAAACTTGAAAGCATTAGAAAGGGTCCCGTTCCTCTGTTCCCTCTGTGAGCCCAGCTTGCCTGAAGGGAACGTGGGTCTAATCCGTGTCTGGAGGAGTGAGCCGAACCACAGGAAGAAGAGGTAAGAAAGACAAAGGAGAACCAGGGCCACACTCAAATCCACGCTCTTCAAAACTGTGTTTTACAAATTTGACAAAATATTTATCCTGGAAATTTTTAAGCGGTGGAACCTATAGACAGCCTTTTCTTTCAGCTTATTTTGTTAGTTTTAATTTTATTTAATTTTTTTACAAAATGACCACCGTTGATATAAACACCAATGCCAGGGGGTGGAGGGTCTGCATCGCTGAGGAGAGCCCTGAGCGCCAAGGAAAATGGTCCACCCGCTGGCCAAGCCACCACCGTCTCCCAGGCTCCCGGGACACCTGCTGGAGAGGGAGCCCAGTGTCTTCTAACAAAGGGAAACACCTATGAGGAAGAGGCCAAATTTAGAAACCAAGGAAAGGAGAGCTTGGCTGGAGCTGATGGCGGCTCATGGGATTGTGAAGAGATTAAAAATAACACTCGTGCATGTGAAATAGCAGAAACAACAACAGAAGTATTCATGTGTTCAGTATAAACACCTGGGCAGGGATATAAAGGGCCCAGGCTCAGGGAGTTCCACACCTGCACACCTCCCTCTCACCTGCTCCTCTACCTGCTCCACCCTCAACCCACCAGAACCATGGGCTGCTGTGGCTGCTCTGGAGGCTGTGGCTCCGGCTGTGGGGGCTGCGGCTCTGGCTGTGGGGGATGTGGCTCTAGCTGCTGTGTGCCCATCTGCTGCTGCAAGCCCGTGTGCTGCTGTGTGCCAGCCTGTTCCTGCTCCAGCTGTGGCTCCTGTGGGGGCTCCAAGGGGGGCCGTGGCTCCTGTGGGGGCTCCAAGGGGGACTGTGGCTCCTGTGGGGGCTCCAAGGGAGGCTGTGGTTCTTGTGGCTGCTCCCAGTGCAGCTGCTATAAGCCCTGCTGTTGCTCCTCAGGCTGTGGGTCATCCTGCTGCCAGTCCAGCTGCTGCAAACCCTGCTGTTCCCAGTCCAGCTGTTGTAAGCCCTGCAGCTGCTCTTCAGGCTGTGGGTCATCCTGCTGCCAGTCCAGCTGCTGCAAGCCCTGCTGTTCCCAGTCCAGCTGCTGTAAGCCCTGCTGCTGCTCTTCAGGCTGTGGGTCATCCTGCTGCCAGTCCAGCTGCTGCAAGCCCTGCTGTTCCCAGTCCAGCTGCTGTGTCCCAATTTGCTGCCAGTGCAAGATCTGAGGCTCTGCCTACAAATCTCAGCTGGTCCCACAGATCTGGGCTCTCCAGGAATGACTGTAGCTGTGTCCTGAATTCCTGAAGCACATCTCTGAGTCTGTCCTCCTCTGGACTAAGGCAGCCTAGCGTCCAGGGCTCAGTACTCAGCTGCTCAGCCTCTGAGGTCATGAGGGCTTCTGGCATGCTGGGTGCTGCCCATCAACCCTCCCAGAATCCCCTCTTCCTTTCCTGACCTCATCACTTCAACCTTCTCAGGGCTTCAAGATCCCACATCCCTGGGCCCCTCCTGTGAGCCTGCTGGAAACACACTGAAACTGGAATCCTCCGACCTGCTGCCGCCTCTCCCCGGTCCCTGCAACCTCCTGGCTCCTCCACCCTTCATCTTCATCCTGCCTGAGCTGCCACAGCTCCGATTGTTTTTGGAGTTGACCTAGAGGACTCAGAATTATTAGAGACCCCAGGATCCTCTCCTGAGGAGGAGGGGCGCCCAGTCTCCTCTTCTACCTCTGACCTGGCCTTGTTTCTTTCCCCAGGGCTTCGCCTTGTAAGTGCCTAGGCTGAATCTTCTAAATAAATACGATCCACACCTCCCACGAGTTTGCGTTGTGATTCTTTTGTTTCAACTTCTGTGTGATTAGATAAATGTACAATTTTCACAGAGTCGCACTCCCAGGCATTTGGGAACCCCCCGTTCCCTGCTGTGTGAGTTTGCTAGGGCTGCCCCACAAACCATGTGGCTTATGCAACGGGAGTGGATCGTCTCACAGTTTGGAGGCCAGAATCTGCCATCGAGGTGCCTCAGGGCCGGGTCCTCCTGAGACCTCCCTCCGTGGCTTACTGATGCCGCCATCCCTATATCCTCATGTGCTTGTCCCTCTGTGTGTGTCTGCGTCCTCATCTCTTTGTATAAGGACACAGATTAGATTAGGGCCTACCCTACTCCATTATGTCCACGTTTTAACTAATCACCCCTGTAAAGATCTATCTCCAAATAAGGTGCCATTCTGAGATACTGCAGTGAGGACTCCAACGTATGTACCAGGGGGCACAACTCAGCCGTGGTATCCACTTGGCTTGGGGCATCACCATCTTTCCCATCTTCCAGGATACAGAATTGGGAGGCCCCTTGGGCTTCTCTCCCCTACAAGTCGCCAAATCCCACAGCATCTCCTGGAAGACATCCTAAGACACCTCCTTCCTGCCTTCTTGTGACACCTCCCTACCTAGACCTCTGCTTCAGGCCCCCAACTGTCCCTTCCCTGCTGCCTCTGTCAGCTCGGGCTGCCAGAACAAAACCCACAGAGTAAGCCTGGAAGACGGAACAACAGACACCATTTCTCCCAGTTCCGGAGGCTGGAGGGCCTAGACCAAAGTCCGGCATGTTCGACTCATGGGGAGGGAAGGCAGGAGCTGGCGGAGGAGGAGGTGGGCTGCAAGGCTGGAGCCCCCAGACCCAGGCGTCTGTAACAGCAGAGCACGGGAGGCTGCTCGGGAAGCCACCTTCTCACAGGATGGCAGGCCGTGAGTGTCTGATGGAACTGTGACAAGAAAGTGAAAACTCAACAACACGGAATTTTTAGAATGTGCTTCTGAGTTTCTGTTTTAGTAAGTAAGGTTGACTAGACACTATTCACAACCTGGAACTTCTCAAAGGACATGGTGAAACCCCGTCTCCACTAAAAATACAAAAATGAGCCGGGCATGGTGGTGGGCGCCTGTATCCCAGCTACTCAGGAGGCTGAGGCAGGAGAATCGCTTGAAACCGGGAAGCAGAGGGTGCAGTGAGCCCAGACTGCACCACTGCACTCCAGCCTGGGTGACAGAATGAGATTCCATCTCTAAATAAATAAATAAAGTTTTAAAGTGCTGTATTTAAAACATATATTTTTTAAGTCACTGAGCTGTTGAAAAAATAAAATAATCCTCAGAGCCAACAAGCAAGAGAGAGCTGGACCCACAGAGGAAGGTGAAAGTCAAAAACGGCCTCCACCCTGTGGCTGGACCAGAAAGAGGCCCTCTCTGTTTTCTTCCACCTGTGGTATTGCTTCTGTTGTCAGCATGAATCTGAGAAAAACGTAGTTTCTCTACACTCTCACACAGAACACTCTCATTCCTGATGTGCGGGTTTTCCCCACACTACTCAATTTTCTGCCTCTTTCCACACTGACCAATTCTCTGACACCAGCTGGGTGTCCTGCAATTCACTCCCATCTTGAAACAGAGTTCATTTCAGATCCCACAGGCGAAGGGCTCAGTCCCACAAGACTGTCCCCACTTCAGAGGCTGACATGGTTTTCCTCTGTCCCCACCCAAATCTCATCTTGAACTGTAGCTCTCACAATTCCCCTGTGTTGTGGGAGGGACCCAGTGGGAGGTAATTGAATCACGGGGGTGGGTGTTTCCTGTGCTGTTCTCATGATAGTGAATAAGTCTCACGAGATCTGATGATTTTATGAATGGGAGTTTCCCTGCACAAGTTCTCTTATCTTGTCTGCCACCATGTGAGATGTGCCTTTCACCTTCCACCATGATTGTGAGGCCTCCCCAGCCAGGTAGAACTGTGAGTCCATTAAACTTCTTTCTTTTGTAAATTGCCCAGTCTCAGGTATGTCTTTATCGGCAGTGTGAAAATGGACTAATACAGATGCCAATCACGAGTCCAGCCTCCCAAGCTTCTAACCGATGGGCTATAAATCAGGGTTTACACTGATACCTGAAATGAGTGGCTGAGGCAAAGCTCTCTGTCCATCAAGGTTTACTAAGCCTGCTTTAAGGCGCACCTGAGAAAAATGCAAGATGCAGGCACATCTGTGGCTGTTTTCCCAGAGAGATTTTTGGGAAGTTTGGTATTTATACATTTCCTTAAAGGGGGGCAGGCAGGTAGGAAGAGGCAGGTAAGCATTAGGCAAATGATTGCATTCCTGTGAGACTTTAGTTAGTGCCCAGTAAATCTACATTTTACATGAGGTAAGGTGAACGTTTGAAGAGAAAAAGGGACTAAAGGAAGAGTCGGTTGTGCAGACCTCTCTGGGTAGATGGAGGAGGGACTGGTGTCATCTTGTTTTTGTTCTGCTTCTGGGAAGATAAACTCATAATCTATATGATCAGTGTGGAATGGAACACTTTCGTTTTAGGAGCTGGACTTGGATTGCAGGCCTGAAGTCACAACGGGCACATCCTTGTTGATGGCAGGACGCACTTCTTGAGAGGTTTTGCAACCAGCATAGCGCATATTTATGAGTGATTTGTGGAGGAAGTGTCCTGAGACACCTGAAGCCTTTGCCGTTTCCTGGGCCTGGCAAGCGAAACACACAGCAACACAGGCTGTGGAGGAACAGTGCTGCTTTTGCGAGAGGGCTTGGGGTTCTGAGATTTTTATTTTTCTTTACTCAACACCACCCTCCTTGGGTTTGATAATCTGCTAGAACAGCACCCAGAACACAGGGAAACACTAGCTTATGTTTACTGGTTTATTATAGAGGATGAGACACAGACGAACCCCTAGGTGAAGAGGCACCAAGGGTGAGGTCCAGGATGGTCCTGAGTGTGGGAGCTTTGTCCCGTGGAGCCGGAGTCATCGCTCTCCCGGCGGGGGGATGTGTGCACCAACTGGAAGCTGATGGGATCTCACTATTCAGTTTTGCAGAGCTCTCACCTGCAGCCCTCCCTGTCCTGGAGCTGAGTTCCCAGGCTCTTCTCACTGGGTCTTTCTGACCACCAGTCTCATCCTGAGGCCATCTAGGGGCCCCACCCTAAGTCACCTCATTAACATAAACACAAGTGTGATCTAAGGGAGCTTATTAGGAATAACAAAAAACAAACAAACCAACACATAATTAAAAAACCCAAGAAAACAATATCCCTCAGAGAAATTGCAAGGGCTTGAGGAGCTCTGTGCCGGGAGCCAAGAAGGAAGGTCAAGACCGTCTCTTCTCACACAGTGAAAGCTCCAGGTCAGTGTGCTTTGCGCATGTCCATGAGTCCTTTCCATCATTTGGTTCTGTGCAACTGCTGCAGGAGGAAGCTATTACGAATCAGGGAAGAAAACAGCCGAGCTTTTAAAAAGGCTTTGAGACTGGGCGCAGTGGTTCACACCTGTAATCCCAGCACTTTGGGAGGCTGAGGTGGGTGGGTCATGAGGTCAGGAGTTCGAGGCTAGCCTGGCCAATATGGCAAAACCCTGTGTCTACTAAAAATACAAAAATTAATTGGGCTTGGTGGCACATGCCTGTAATCCCAGCTACTCAGGAGGCTGAGGCAGGAGGATCACTTGAACCGGGAGGCAGAGGTTGCAGTGAGCTGAGATGGCACCACTGCACTCCAGCCTAGGCAATAGAGCGAGACTCCATCTCAAAAAATAAAAAAAGGCTTTGAAAGGCCCAATGTGGATGGGTACGAGCATGTAAATCCCCAGAGGTCCCTGCCTTGGTGAGTCACTAACAGCCTGCCAGCTCTATTTCCCCACGGCTCCTGAGAAAGACTGCATACATCGGGTAAGAGAGGCATCAGGGCCGCTGCAGGAGTGGGATGGAGAGGAGAGCCAGGCCACCCTGAGAGCGAGGCCACAGCAGCTGCAGGTGGAGGAGGGCCAGGGAGCCCAGGGTCGTCTGGAGGACAGACACAGGGGCTGCTGACGTCTGAGGAAGGCAGGAGAATGGACAGACGCCCTGTAAGCAAGATCCCAGATCTGCTCCAGAGAAGGGTCCCTTCCTGACCTCTAGCACTTGAGCCGGTAGAACTTAATCTAGCTAACGAAGCCATGAGCCTGGAACTGCCCAAGGGGGTTCACCTTGCCCGCTGCCTGGACAGAGCTGATTCATCAAGACAGGGGAACTGCAATAGAGAAAGAGTCATTCACACAGAGCTGGCTGTGCCTGAGACCGGAGTTTTATTATTACTCAGATCAGTCTCCCTGAGCATTTGGGGAGCAGAGTTTTTAAGGGCAACTTGGTGGGTGGGGAGAAGCCAGTGATCCAGGAGTGCTGATTGGTCAGGGATGAAATCACAAGGAGTCGAAGCCATCTTCTTGCACTGAGTCAGTTCCTGGGTGGGGGCCACAAGATCAGATGAGCCAGTTTATTGATCTGGGTGGTGCTACCTGATCCATCAAGTGCAGGGAGGGTCAGAATCTTGTAAATGACCTCTGGCTACATGACTCCTAAACTGTAATTTCTAATCTTGTGGCTAATGTTAGTCTAGTCCCCAGGCAAGAAGGTGGTCTGCTTTGGGAAAGGGTTGTTACTGTCTTTGTTTAAACTATAAACTACCAACTAAATTTCTCCCAAAGTTAGTTCAGCCAACACCCAGGAATGAACAAGGACAGCTTGGAGATTAGAAGCAAGGTGGAGTGGGCTAAGTTAGATCTCTCACTGTCTCAGTCATAACTTTGCAAAGGCGGTTTCAAGCCCAGCTGCCAACCAGAGGAACTCACTCAACACGTGAGCAGCAGGCAGAAGCAAGAGCCTTCCCCTGAGAAATAGGAAGGAAATCCTAGCCTCGCCCCCGCAACCACTGACTGAACGGGACCCCTCTTGGCCAAGGGGGTGTCGACAAAAAGTGTCAAACTCTGTAAAATATTTTAAAAGATTCTGAGCCGAACATGACTGACAAATGGCCCGTGACACAGCCCTCAGGAGGTCCTGAGAGCAGGTGCCCAAGAGGTTTGGGGTGCAGCTTGGTTTTATATATTTTAGGGAGACATGAGACTTTAATCAAATACATTTAAGAAATACTAAGGCCTAAACTCTGTTGTTGTTTTTTTTAATCTTGCTCAAATTCCTATCTAAGGGGTCTGCGCATGCCCTACAAATCATAAACTCTCAACAGACAGGTTTTGTTTAGCCCTAAATATTGTGACTTACTTTCCAACCCGACTCTGGCATAACATTATGAGACAAGGAAGAAAATCAAAATACTTTACCCCAAAACATGTTTCTTTGCTGTATTTTGAAATGGCCCTGCAGAGCGTCCTTTGTGGGGGAAAATTTGGATCTGCAAAGAATCTCTATTAACATAGCTAGATCTTTTTCTTCCAGACCCTCCCAGTCCTAAAGAGATTAACTAAGGTCTGAATAGGAAACATTTGTCATCTATTGTCTCTAAGGGCAGCCACTATCAGACTTCAAAAGAACTTTGGTCTCCACAATCTTTATCTTAACTTGAACTTTCCCTTCCTATCCATCCCAGGTCTTTAGACAAACTCAACCAACCGTGAACCAGAAAATGTTTAAATTTACCTATAGCCTGGAACCCCCTCACCCCCCATCCCCCACCACCCGCTTTGAGTTGTCCCGCCTTTCTGGACCAAACCAATGTAATTTTGAAATGTATTTGATTGATGTCTCCTGCCTCCCTAAAATGTGTAAAACCAAGCTGTACCATGACCACCTTGGGCCCATGTTCTCAGGACCTCCTGAGGGTTGTGTCTCAGGCCATGGTCACTCATATTGGGCCCAGAATAAATCTCTCTTCAAATATTTTACAGAGTTTGACTCTTTTTGTCGACATTACATTGGTTTGGTCCAGAAAAGTGGGACAACTTGAAGGGTGGGGAGTGCTTCCAGGCTATAGGTAGATGTAAAAATTTTCCGGTTGACAGTTGGTTGAGCTTGTCTAAAGACCTGGGATCAACAGAAAGGAATGTCTGGGTTAGGATAAAGGATCATGGAGACCCAGGTTGTTATTTGCAGAGGAAGCCTTTAGGTAGCAGGCTTCAGAGAGAAGAGGTTGTGAGACGTTTGTTATCGGACTTAAAGTCTGTGTGGATGTTAATGCCAGAGAGGTAGAATGAGGCATGTCTGACCCCCACTGCCCATCATAGTGTCTCAGGTTAAATTTTAAAACAGCCCTGGCTGAGGAGGAAGTCCATTCAGATGGTCGGGGAGGAGGTCTTAGAATGTTATGTTTGGTTAACCGGGAAACCTTGGAAGCTGAGTTCCTGGCTACGGGGGGATGGGAAGCTGGACTTGCGCCCTTCTCCTACTCCCTGGCCAGCCATGACCCAGCTCCCTCCCCTCAGGGAAAACAGAAACCAATTCTGTGGAGACTGCACTGAGGAGATCAGTGTACCCCTGACATTGCCCCCTCCTTCTTGATAGGAGATCCACCACGGAGAGGCCCTGGCCATTCTACGGAAGAGGCGCAAGGAAGTCTTCTGAGTCCGCTGCTTCACCTTTTGACATCAGAGGGCCAAAAGCTCCACCCTCAGATCAGGCTAACACCTCTGGTTTTTGCACATAGAGAGGGGGTGAAGCTGGATTGCGCATATGCCTGGTTTTGGGTCTGCAGTTGGTTCCTGCTGGTGGGTTCGTGGTCTCGCTGACTTCAAGAATGCACCCATGGACTTTCACGGACCTTCGCAGTGAGTGTTACAGCTCTTAAAGATGGCACAGACCCAAAGAGTCAGTGGCAGCAAGGTTTATTGTTTATTCGCGAAAGGACAAAGCTTCCACAGCGTGGAAGTAGACCCGAGTGGGTTGCCGCTGCTGGCTGTGTGGCCAGCTTTTATTCCCCTATTGGCCCCGCCCATGTTCCGTTTCTGTCCTATCAGAGTGCCTTTTTTTCAATCCTCCCTGCGATTGGCTACTTTCAGAATCCTGTGCAGATTGGTGTGTTTTACAATCCTCTTGCAAGACAGGAAAGTTCCTGATTGGTGCATTTTACAATCCTCTTGTAAGACAGAAAAGTTCCCCAAGTCCCCACGGGACCCAAGAAGTCCAGCTGGCCTCATGTCTCAGTTTCTCCTCTTATCAATATTCATGTCCCTCCCACAGCTTATTGAATATGCATATTCAGCCACCCCCACTCAGTGTAGATCTCTGCTTTATTCTTCCCTCCCTCCAAGTGTCTGTTTCCAGCTTCCTACCAGAGGCTGCGCCTCCCAACCAGTCAGAACAGCCACACTCAGCCCGCAGCACTTTATGAGAAGTAAAGCGCTCCTTTCCAAATTGACGACCTCGTCCTTCTTCAGTTAACACCTCCCTCTCTCAATGACGATGATGGAGCATGTCCAGGTGTTGGTGACACAGCTACATGGCTGCGTGTGGGATAAAGTCGCTGCCCCTTCAGAACTCACACCCCCCTGGAGTGGGACACACACCTCTAAGAACAAACAAGGATGAGAGCAGAGCCAGCTTGGCATCGTGGGAATCAATAAATGAAACAGAAAGTGCAAGGTGGTGGGGGTAGCTATCTCGGGACGGGGTGTCAGAGGTGGATCTGAGTTGGGCAGACAGGAGGGACGCAGTCCAGGGCGGTCCTGGGTGAGTCTGTTCCATGTAAGGAACTGCCAGCACACAGGTCGTAAGGAGGAGTGCGGTGTGGCCCCGGCACCAATCCAGGGCTGGATGAAGAATGATTGAGGCAGTCTGAAGATGACACCAAGTCATTCTCCTCCCACGGAGAGGTGGACTTTCTCTTCTCTCTGCAATCTGGGCTGGCCTCAGTGACTTGAGGAGGGAGAAATACTCTAGGATTCCTAGGCTGGGTCATAAGGCACCTTCTAGCCTCTGCTCGAGTGACCTCCTAGGAAGTACAGCTGCCCTGAGCCCACCATGCTGTGAGGAAGCCCAAGCCAGCCGTGGGAAGAGGCCGTGAGGTGGGGGAGGGGAGGGAGATCTGTCCGGCCTCACCTGTTGTAGCCATCCCATAGGTGTGTGAACACAGCATCTTGGACAAGCCAGCCCCAGCTGACATAATTTACAGAAAAACCAAGGAACCCTGCAGACAGCCGGAACTGAGGTCCCAAAATACAGCCCAGCCAAGCCATGCTGCCATCGTTAGCCATTGGTACCTTCCCAATTGAGACCCCACAAATCATGCGGCCTGTGCCACCATCCAGTGCCGGATCTGAACTACTGATCCACTGAGCTTTGGGCTGATTGGTTCTGCAACGATGGGTGGCCAAGGCCACGGTCAAATCCAGCTGGAGAGGTGGATGGGGCCAGTGTCAGGGGTTTGGATTTCACCCCAAGTCAGCTGAGGCACACTGGAATGTCGTAAGCCTGCACATCCACTCATCACACATTTTAACCGCATCTGAGTGTGGACCGTACCGATGGGTTCCTGCACCTGCAGCCTCCACACCATTGCTGGTGCCCTGCCTCCTAGCTGGAGTATCCTTCCTGTCTCTTGGCTGCTCTTTGTACCCATCATGGTCCCCCTACCACCCTCCAAGTTCTGCTCCAAGCTTTGTTTTCCTCCAAGAGAAGAACCTGTCCAGACAATAGTTTCAAAGCAGCGGGAAGCTCTGCTCACGTGTCCCCAAGGACCATGCTGTGTGAAATTCCCTTCTGTAATCACAGAGCCCATTGCCCTGGCCTATTCCTGGTCCAGGAATAGGGAGGAGGTAGACAGAGGATGCCTCCTTCCCCACTGCTGAGAACCCTGCCATCCTCAGCCACAGTTGCCACAGAGAAGATACCACATCCCTGGGGGAATCAGCAGGAATCAGGTAGAGAGTGGCACTGCTCTGGGGAGGGAGGGCGTCTCACAGCATCAAACGTCAAAAACCCACAACATTGACCCAGTCCTGCCAAGACGGAACCCTGCATGAGCATGGGGGATGGGGAGTTGGGGTGTTGCAAAAGACGCAATACATGAATGATCTCAGGTAATTCTCAGGCAACCCCCGGAGGCTGGTGTTGCTAGCACCCCTCTGCAGGAGAAGAAGCTGGGGCTCGGGAGCTGACTGGATCTGCTCAAAGGCCCAGGAAGAATAAGAGTTAGGAACTGGGACAGACCTTGAGGAAGCTGCACTTCCTCCTGAGGTGAGCCAGCGTTGGAGCTGTTTTTCCTTTCAGTATGAATTCCACAAGGAAATCATCTCAGGAGGAAGGGCTCATACTTGGATCCAGAAAATATCAACATAGCCAAAGAAAAACAATCAAGACATACCTCCAGGAGCTGTGTAACAGCAACCGGAAAGAGAAACAATGGTGTGTTCCTATGTGGGATATAAAGAGCCGGGGCTCAGGGGGCTCCACACCTGCACCTCCTTCTCACCTGCTCCTCTACCTGCTCCACCCTCAATCCACCAGAACCATGGGCTGCTGTGGCTGCTCCGGAGGCTGTGGCTCCAGCTGTGGAGGCTGTGACTCCAGCTGTGGGAGCTGTGGCTCTGGCTGCAGGGGCTGTGGCCCCAGCTGCTGTGCACCCGTCTACTGCTGCAAGCCCGTGTGCTGCTGTGTTCCAGCCTGTTCCTGCTCTAGCTGTGGCAAGCGGGGCTGTGGCTCCTGTGGGGGCTCCAAGGGAGGCTGTGGTTCTTGTGGCTGCTCCCAGTGCAGTTGCTGCAAGCCCTGCTGTTGCTCTTCAGGCTGTGGGTCATCCTGCTGCCAGTGCAGCTGCTGCAAGCCCTACTGCTCCCAGTGCAGCTGCTGTAAGCCCTGTTGCTCCTCCTCGGGTCGTGGGTCATCCTGCTGCCAATCCAGCTGCTGCAAGCCCTGCTGCTCATCCTCAGGCTGTGGGTCATCCTGCTGCCAGTCCAGCTGCTGCAAGCCCTGCTGCTCCCAGTCCAGATGCTGTGTCCCTGTGTGCTACCAGTGCAAGATCTGAGGCTCTAGTGGGAAACCTCAGGTAGCTCCTGAAGATCTGTGCTTTCCAACAAGTGACTACCCTTGAAGCACATCCCCTTCTGGATCTGAAAAGAGCCCTTGGCTCAGGGCGTCTTTTTCCAGCCCCTGAGGAAATGGAATGAACCACTCCCTGCCCATTCCCTATAAGAATATCCCAAGACCCAGGCAATTTTGCCCCTCTTTCCCACATGCCCCCATATGTCTGAGCCAAACTGCACTGGGGGCTGCCCTCATGCCAAGCAAGAGCCTGGAATTCCCCTTCTTGATAATTCCATGGGAGACAGCAAACCCTTCTTTCCTTTGCCTGCCAGGAGCTTCACGACATTTGCAGATGGATGTCCTGCAACCCAAATGATCACATGTATCTATGGAAATCCAAAATGCATCTGGGTGCAGCACTAAATAAATTCTCCATCCCTCAGCCTTGGTCTCACTGACTCTTTTCTTCCAGCCTCTGTCTCATTGGCAAACTGGCCACATGTCCTTCCCCTCCTCCCTGATAGCTTATTGCTCCCACTGCTGTAACAGTGTGCCAGGCCCAGCTCCCATTCCAGAAACAGTTGTTGAACTGATTAATGAAGGAACCACTAGCAGTATGTATGAATGAATGAAGACGAGGAATGAATGAGTGAATGAGTGAGTATCTCTCATTAGTACACAGGGAGTCCCAGCTGTATCTCAGTGGGATTCAGTCTGTCTTGGTTGGAATTTGGACTCCTACTTCTTCCCCATGGGAGGATATGTTTGGGAGAGAAGGAGAACTTTGCCCTCAGTGCCTAGGAAGGGATGTAATGGGTGCTCTCTGGGTCCAGCCAGTCCCCAGTTTGTGGGTCAAGCCAGGAGATGGGGAAGCGAGACTAGAATGAGCTGTGTCCCTGAGATGCTCTGTAGGACAACACTGGAAACTGTGCTGCTTCAAGGATCCAAGACGGTGTGGCTGAACACAGGCTGAAGTGCACCCTCCATCTCTGGGCTCAGAGTGAGGAGGAATCCAAGTGTCCACAGGCTTCCCAGCTTTGGTTTGGCACAGGGAGGAACAGAAGGGACTTTTCTCAGCCTGATAAAGGCCATCTACCCACAGTGAACACGGTGCTTAACTATGAAAACCTGGATGTTTTCCCCTAGGATCAGGAACAGGAAAAGAATGTCCACACCCACCACTTCTATGCAACATTTCACTGAAGCTATAGCCAGAATAACATAACAGGAAAAGAAAATAAAGCCATCCAGGTAAGAAAAAAGGAAGCAAAACTATCTCTATTCACAGAAAACCTCATCTTGTATACAGAAGATGCTGAGGGACACACACACACACACACACACACACACACACACAACTATTAGAGCCAATAACCGAGCTCAGCAGAGTGCAGAACACAAGGACTATACACAATAGTCAGCTGTGTTTCTTTACAACAGCAAAAAGCAAGCAAAAAGGTTGTAAGGAAACAATAAAATTCCTGGGAACAAATGCAACCAAAAAAGTACAAGACTTGGACACTTAACACTACAAAACACCATTGGAAGAAGTTAAGGAGGACCAAAGTAATGGGGGAAAAAATCCTATGTTCATGTATTGGAAGACCTAATATTGTGAAGATTGAAACACTCCAAAAAAAAATTGTTCTACCAATTTAATGCAATTCCGATCAACATCTCAGATTTCTTTTTTCAAAAATTGACAAGTTGATCCTAAAATTTATGTGGACATTCAAGGGACCCTAAATAGCTAAAACAATCTTGAAAAAGAAAAGCAAAGTTTGAGGACTCAGGTTTTCCAATTTCTAAATGGGCTGCAAAGCTACAGTCATCAAGGCAGCATGGCTCTTGCATAAGGATAGAAAGATGGATCAATGGGGTAGGTTTGAGACTCTTGAAATAAAGCCTCACAGTTGTGGTCAATGTATTTTCACAGGTACTATACAATTCCATGGGAAAAGAGGAATGTTTTCAACAAACAATGCTGCTAAGACAACTGGATGTCCACATGCAAAAGAGTGAATTTGAATCTTGACCTCATACCATATACCAAACAAACAAAAAAAAAATAGAAAAAATAGATCAATGACCTAATTGTAAAAGCCAAAACTAGAGGATTACTAGAAGCAAAACAGGTTAAGTTTTCATGACCTTGGAGTATGAAATGGTTCTTAGATAATGACACCAAAACCACAGGGAAAAACTAGATTAACTAACTACATCAAAACGAATAGTTTTTGTGCTTCTGAGGGCACTATGAAGAAAATGAAGATACACCAACAGAGTGGAAGAAACTACTTTGAAATCATATATTTGATAAGAACTTGCATCTAGACATATAAAGAATTCTTACTACTCAAACACACAATCCAATTAAAGACCCAGCAGAGGATTTAAATAGGCATTTTCCAAAGAAGATATACAAATGGCTAATAAGCACATGAAAAGGAGCTCAACATTGTTAGACATCAGGGAAAATCAGGGAAATGCAAATCAAAACCACAATAAGATAGCAGTTCACATCCTCTGGGATGGCTATTATCAAAAAGACAATAAGAAGCACTGATGAGAATGTGGAGAAATGGGAGCCCTTGTGCATTGGATGAAAATAAAAAAATCATGCCACTACTTTGAAAAATAGTTCCTCAAATGTTCCATGTAGAGTTACCATATGACTCAGCAATTCCACTCTTAGGTAACTACTGAAGGGAACTGAAATGTATATCACATAAAAACTCATATGATGATATTCATAGCAGCCTTATTCTCATTTGCCAACAAGTGGAACCATCTAAATGTCCATGAACTGATGAGTCGGTAAACAAAATGTGGTATAGTCATACATGGACATATTCATATTCTGGATGTTATCCCCATATCATTTTTAAATTTTAGTGTTTTAATGTTAAAAATGATAGACAATTGTAGAAGACAACAAATTACTCATAACCCCAATCTCTAGAGTGCTAACATTTTGGTTGCTCCCATGTAATTTGTGTATTCGGGCATCTCATGACCTCTCTATTACCCAAGGTCACCACGGTGTTCTGCTTGCCAAGGCACAGGCTCTTCACTGGCCCCATAACAATGACCCGAGCCCCCATTGTAGGCAGAGGGTTGCATGTCCCACCTGAGTGAGTTTATGTGGGAATCCCCAGGGCCTTTCGTGTTCTCCACGCGTTGGTGGAGCGGCCCCTGCTTCTCCCCCAGGGTGTGCCTGCAGCCCCTTCCCTGCCTCCTGCCATTCCCATGGGTGGTGCCAAGAGAAGCTTTAGGGCAGCCAAGCTCCTCCTTCCTTCTTGGCATCAGCTAGAGGTTCCTACGAATGCTAATGGTTGGGGGCATGGTGGGGAGAATTCATTATTTCTTCCAGCACTGCTCTCTTAAAAATTTGTATTATCAATAGTTTAGAAAGGTTGTTTTTAGTTTCATAGCTCACTATCAATAACTATGTTAATTTTTAGGATTATCAAATTTGGGGAGATGTCATCGAATTGCTTTCCTATATGAGATATAGTATTTGGAAGACATTTCTGAAAACCAGCTCTGCCTCTGTACCTTTCCTTTTTTTTTTTTTTTTTTTTTTTTTTTTTTTTTTTTGAGACGGAGTCTCACTCTGTCACCCAGGCTGGAGTGCAGTGGTGCAATCTTGGCTCACTGCAAACTCCACCTCCCGGGTTCAAGTGATTCTCCTGCCTCAGCCTCCGGAGTAGCTGGGACTACAGGTGCCCCCCACCATGCCTGGCTAATTTTTTTTTGTATTTTTAGTAGAGACGGGGTTTCACCGTGTTAGCCAGGATGGTCTCGATCTCCTGACCTCGTGATCCGCCCGCCTCGGCCTCCCAAAGTGCTGGGATTACAGGTGTGAGCCACCACGCCTGGCCACCTTTCTACCTTTCAAACCTTGATTCTCTTCTGCTGCCCACAGGTAGCCACTGAAGGATGCATGGTATCATGACATAATCTACAATCTCTGGCCATTCATCTTTGTGTCACCTTACTGGGGCAAATTGTCACAGTGGATGGTAGGAGTAGTCCTGGAAGTCATTCATCCTCTAAAGGATAAGAAATTATTGGAATACAGTTGGAAAGGACTCTGAATTCATAAATGTATCCCACTGAACCAACCCCAAAATGACTAACGCCCCAGCAATATTACTTTACACAAAGCCTGCTTTGGGCTAAAACCCTAACCCTGGTACATGCACTTGAATAGATACACTTAGCTTGACTTTCTCTCATTTCTTATCCTTCTCACACTCTGGACTATGAGACGGGTGACATCCTGTGCCTGGGCTGGCGTGTAGGCCGTCTCCTCCAGGACAAGCTCGCCTGTTTCTGCTTATGCTGTTCTGGGAGCCACCTCTCTTGTGGAACTGGGGATGATGGTGGGTCCTTGAGTGGCGACTGCTTCAGATGAAGTCCCTGAAGGGGTCTTTCTAATGGAGATGGGACTACCTTAGCTGGGGGTGGGTGGGTGTGAGGGGGTGACTAGGGTGGGCCAGGACAGGCTGCTTAGAGTTCAGGGAAATTTGGGGATTCCAAGTTTTTGGCTCACCTATGTCCACCCGGATGATTTCATCCCAAGAGTTTCAGCAAATGCCCTCCTCGCCAGTTGTGTCCCTACCTTATAATTAGCACCTGATTGCAGGGCTGTGCATTTTAATTGCCATTCCAGCTTTGCAGCCCCCACGGTCAGGTGTGGGTGTGATCCCCAGCCAGGGCTGCTCACAATAAAAGATACCGACACCCCAGGGTGCTCTGACTGTAGTTATGGTGTTTTTTTTTTTTAATTTTTCATTCTACCAGTTTTTATTTCTTGCACAATGACATCGTGACAGCCACAAACAAAATAATTCTGAAAATAAGGGAAACTTGCCCATAATCCCTTTACTCTAAAGCATCAAGTTCTTATATTCCATGTCCTCATGAAAATTCATTTGTTTTTCTGCTTTTTTTTTTTTTTTTTTTTTTTTTTTGAGACGGAGTCTCGCTCTGTCGCCCAGGCTGGAGTGCAGTGGCGGGATCTCGGCTCACTGCAAGCTCCGCCTCCCGGGTTCACGCCATTCTCCTGCCTCAGCCTCCCAAGTAGCTGGGACTACAGGCGCCCGCCACTACGCCCGGCTAATTTTTTGTATTTTTAGTAGAGACGGGGTTTCACCGTTTTAGCCGGGATGGTCTCGATCTCCTGACCTCGTGATCCGCCCGCCTCGGCCTCCCAAAGTGCTGGGATTACAGGCGTGAGCCACTGCGCCCGGCCTGTTTTTCTGCTTTTTTACAGAATTGCGGAAAAAACATTTGACAAAGAAATATACACCAAACCCAGCTCTTTTGTTTAAAAGCCAATTGCAAAAACACAGAACGAATGACCTGGTTTAATGGTGGCTAAGAACAATAGAAAAAGGGCCTGGTTTATTTGAGTTAAATTTGAGCTCAGGATGAGGCTAGGGTGTGGTGTTGCTGTCAAAACCCACTCTGTGGTCTGAGGGTGGATTCGTAGCCACACAGTGTCCAACTGAGGGGTGAATGAGCCCCTCCGCATCAGCCCATGCTAGTTCCTTTAATGGACTTTTTTTTTAAGAGCAGTTTTAGGTTCACAGCAAAATTGAGAGGAGTGGGCCACGACATCCCCTGTGCTCTAAAATGAGAGTGCTTCCTCAGAGTCCATGGCAGTGGGTCACTCTCTGGGGGTCCCCAGGGACTCAGGGTGTGGCTGGCCTGTCCCCAACTCAGGAGAGACCAGGAGTTGTCCAGTGTTTCCTTCATTGGAAGTCTCTGTGGATGCCTCCCACGGACCTGGATGTTGAGGGCCCATGATTTCCACAGTACATTTAGGAGCCAGGATGCAGGGCCCCCATTTCCTCTATGTGTGCCCTGGACACCCCAGGCCCATGGGACAGGCCTGGCCCTGCAACCTTATCAGGGTCCTGACACCAGGCTTGACCTGGCCTTGTGATAAGCAAGAGAAGAGGCAGGTCCAGAGACACCTCCTGCATGGGATCGCCTGCATCCGACCCCCATGACAGGCAGTGGCCAGCACGGTGTGGAAGGGGCCAGGATGGCACCCGGCAGGCTGCCCTGTACCCCAGATGGCTCCTGGCCTCAGGAAATTAATATCCACGGGGAAACTGGTCACTTGGAGGCTGCCAGAGGGAAGGGTGAGTGTCACATTCCCTCAGCCATGGCCAGCCAGCAGCATGCCGTATGGCCTCTGGCCCAACCTGTGGGACAGGGACCCCAGACAGGGCACAAGTCCCTGTCCCAGAGGGTCCTGGCCTGGTGCTCACCCAAGCCCTGTAAAGGGAGGGGCACCAGGGGTGCCATGGGCACCCAGCAGCAGCCAGGATGATCACACAGGGGACTGAGACTTCTGTGGCAGTGGCCAGACCCAGAACTTGGCCAAAAGCAGGGCAAGCCACCTGGGACAGAGTGGATGCTGTGCCTGTGCGTGCCCAGCAAGGCTGAGCCAGTGACGCTACCAGGGTCCATGAGGCAAGGGTGGGGCAGGAGCAGGCTGAGCAGCCGCCAACCTCGTCCGCTCCAGGAGGCAGGGATGGCCGAGCTCCCACACCCTAGTGGCCGCCACCTGCCCACCGATGGGGCAGAGGCCTGAGGTCAAGCAGTCAGTGCTGGGGCCCTGCTTCCAGGGTCTACAAACTGCTCCAGTCCGGAAGGCCAACGATAACTGGGCATGTGAGGGCCCAGGAGGTCAGGTCCCTACGTCTGCCAACCTTGGCAGATGCATTTCACAGTCCGAAAAAGTCAAGAAAGGTGACACCTCTCAGGTGTTATTATGAAGGACTCTCCCAAGACACGTATTTTTTACATTTATTTTTATTGTATATATTCATGGTGGACAACATGGTGTTGTGGTAAATATGTACACAACTGAAATGATGGCTACAATTAATATCTCCAAAACTTTCCATGGTTCCCTTTTGTATGTGTGTGTATGAGTGTGTGTGCATGAGTGTGTTTGTATAAGTGTGTTTATGAGTCCGTATGCATATGTATGTGTGTGTTTGTATGATTATGTGTGTATGAGTGTGTGTAAGGTGTGTTTTAATTGTGTGTGTGTGAGACTGAGTGTGTGTATTTATGTGTGTGTATGAGTGTGAGTGTGTGTGTGTATGATGCGTGTGTGTGTATGTGTGTGTGGTAAGAGTACCTGGAGTCTTCTCTCAGCACACTTGCAGCACACAGCACCTGTCACCGGTAGTCCTTGCACTGTGCACTTGACTGCTCGGCTCCCTCTCCTACACAACTGCAAGCCCTTGACCTCCTCCTCCCCCTTTCCTTCTTCCTCCAGACCCTGGTAACCACTGTTCTATTCTATGTTTCTATGTATTTGACTTTTTCAAAATGTGGAATATATACATACATCTATATATGTATATATGGAATATTCCTCAGCTTTCAAAAGAAGGAGATCTGGTTACTTACAACAACATGGACGAATCTGGAGAACATTACACAGGGTGAAAAGAGGCAGACACAGAAAGACAGACACCACATGCTCTCCCTCACACATGGAGTATACAGGAGTGAAACTCACAGAAGCACAGAGTGCAAGCACGGGAACCACAGGCAGGGAAAGGGGAAATGAGGAGGTGCTAGTCCAGGGATCCAAAGCTTCAGTTCTACAAGATGAATAAGGCTTGGAGACCCAATACATAGCAAAGTGACCACAGGTAACAACACGGTGTTTAGTGTGTACTTAAAATGTACTGAGAGGGTAGATCCTAAATGTTCTCACCACCAAGAAAAGAGAGAGAGAGAGCTATGTGAAGTGGCGGATATCTTAATTATCTTGACTGTGGTGATTATTTCACAATGTAGACATATATGAGATCATCGAATTGTATGTCTTACATTATACACAATAAAAAATAATAAAAACAACCCCCAGTGCCAGGCCCTACAGGCACGCCCACCCAACCCTCTTGCTTGCACATACAATGTATAAAAGAATAGATGCACATACATGATTGGGTATTGTTACCAATTAGAATTTTATTATCCACATTTCTTTGCAACTTAACTTTTTTCACTAAAAGCTGTAACATGGTTGCCTCTCCTAGGAAGTAGATCTGGGTATAAGTCTATGTTTCTTTATGCATATGCATATTCATATATATGAAATTTTTCCATAAGTAAGATCACACATACTGGTCTCACTTTTCATTGCCATTTTCTTTTTGTTGATTCCTACACACCTTCCCCACTCCACCCAGCCACTGTCCTATGTACCTCCAGGCACACACTCAACATATGTGTAAGAGATATTTTTGTTGTTTGCTACTAAAATAAGATCCTGCTGTGCTCATTTCCCTGCATCTACATTTCACATTAGCCAGAGCCTTGAGGCTCCAAGTCCACTGGTACAGCTGCAATCTAATATTTTACTGGGCATTACTTTCAGTATTCATTTTCAATTTGCTAGGATTCTTTTTCTGACACTGCAAACAATGTATCATACACATATATGTATACATAAATATGTTTACATTTAATCTTATTTTCAGTAATTTCAAGACTAATAGTATTGATATTACCTAATTTTATTAGATATTGTTTTCAAAAAATACTATAATAAATTATATCCCCTGAACAATGTAAAACAGTGCCTTTTCCCCGCAATTTCACTAGCAATAGGTGTTATTATTCTTGTTAATTTTTGCCAGTCTAGTAGATATAAAATGTTGCAGGTAACCACTAACTGGGGCCACTGGCGTGGGCAGTAAAGGAATTTACCAAGACAATTGTAGGTAAGGAAAGGCAGATTTATTAGAGAATGTAGGAAAATACGTTGCAAGAATGGAAAGGGCAGGTCAGCAAGGGAGGAGCTGGCTGCCAGGAGACAAAGGCTTGCTGGGGATTTTATAGGATGGTGCTTGTGCCGGAGAGGGTTACATGCAGTGCTGATAATGCCAAGGTTTCAGTGAGCTAACCTGCATTTTTCTGTCAACTGAGGTCATAAGTTGAGTGCAGGAAGATTGTGAGTTATGTGAGTTATTTGCGCAGGAGGGCTAAGTCCTGCACCATGAAGAAAGGCAGACTTGTAGTTCATCTACCTTCTCTTTTTGCTTTCCCTTGGTCCAACCAACCTGGCTCCTTTTCCATCATTAGGACTCCACAGAAAATTCCCATGTATCTGACCACCAGGGAGTTTGGTTTACTTTTTATATTTTTAATTGCACATTTCCATTTGTTTATCAGAGAGTCATCTTTTTAAAAACTTGGTTGTTTGTCTTCTACTTGTCAATTTGTCAGAGCTACTAATGTTTTATAGATTTTTTATTTTGAGACAGGTTCTTACTCTGTTGCTGGAGTACAGAGGCAAAATGTCAGCTCACTGCAACCTCTGCCTCCTGGGTTCAAGCAATTCTCCAGTCTCAGCCTCCCAAGTAGCTGTAATTACAGGCATGCCCCACCACCATGCCCAGCTAGTTTTTGTATTTTTAGTAGAGATGAGGTTTCACCATGTTGGCCTGGCTGGTCTCGAACTCCTGGCCTCATGTGATCTGCCTGGTTCGAACTCCCAAAGTGCTGGGATTATAGGCATGAGCCATCATATTCAGCCAATGTTTTATAGATTATAGAACTAATAAATGAATCCAGCAAGTTTTTAGAATACAGGACCAATATATAAAAATCAATTGTATTTCTACTCACTTGCAAATCTGAAAGTGACAAAACACTGTTGAAAGAAACTGAAGAAGATCTAAAACATCCCAGATTTGTTGTGGACTGAATATTTATGTTCTTTCAAATTCATATGTTGAATCCATCACTCCTATTGTGGCTGTGTATGGAGACGAGTTCTCTAAGGAAGAAATTAAGGTTACATAAGGTCATAAGGGCTTCCATAGAATTTGCATCTTCATAAGAAGAGACACCAGGGAGCATGTGCCTCTGTCTCTCTCTCTCTTTCTCTCTCTCTCTCTTCCTCCCTCCATCTCTTTCTCTCTCCACACACAAAGGAAAGGCCATGTGAGCAAAGAGTGGGAAAGCAGCCATCTGCAACCCAAGGAGAGAGCACTCACCAGAAACTAAATTTGCTGGCACCCGATCTTGGACTTCTGATCTCCAGAATTGTGAGAAAATAAATGCCTGTTGTCTGAGCCACCAAATCTGTGGTATTTTGTTATGGCAGCCCAAGCAGACTGATGTTCATGTATCAGAAGACTTAACATTTTTCAGATGGCAATATCCCCAAAATTGATCTACAGAGTCTATAATCTCTATCAGGAAAGCAGCTGGCTTCTTTGCAGATATTCACAGGCTGATTCTAAAGTTCGTGTGGAATCTCAAGGGACCCTGAATAGCTAAAACAATGTTAAAAAGAAGAACAGGCGGGGTGTGGTGGCTCACGCCTGTAATCCCAGCACTTTGGGAGGCCAAGGCGGGCAGATCACGAGGTCAGGAGATGGAGACCATCCTGGCTAGCATAGTGAAACCCCATCTCTACTAAAAATAACAAAATTAGCCAGGCGTAGTGGCAGGTACCTGTAGTCCCAGCTACTCGGGAGGCTGAGGCAGGAGAACGGTGTGAACCCGGGAGATGGAGCTTGCAGTGAGCCAAGGTTGTGCCACTGCACTCCAGCCTGGGCTACAGAGTGAGACTTCGTCAAAAAAAAAAAAAAAAAAAAGAAAGAAAGAAAGAACACAGAAGAACAATGTTGGAGGGCTCACACTTGCCAATTTGAAAACTTACTACAAAGCTGCAATCATCAAGGCAGTTTAGTACTGGCATTAGAATAGATGTATTAAACCAGTGGGATAGAATTGAGAGCCAGAAATAAACCCTCGTGTAGATGACCAACTGATTTTTGACAGAGTGCCAGATTATTCAATGGAGGAAGAGCAGTACTTCAACAAATGGTGCTGGGAAACTAGACATCCACATGCACAGGAATGAGCTGAACCCCTACCTCACACCACAATAATTAATTCAAAATCGGTCCAAAGGCCTACATGTAAGAGTCAAATCTATAAAACTATTTAAAGAAAACATGACCTGGATTTAGCATGGATTGATAGATAGGACACCAAAAGGGCCAGCAACAAAAGAAAAATACAAATACATTGGATGTCATCAAAAGTTAAATATTTTTGAATCAAAGGATACTATCAACAAAGTGAAAGAACAATCTACATAAAGGAAGAAAAGATTTACAAATCAGATATCTGATAAGCGTCTAGCATCTAGAGTATATAAAGAACTTTTTCTTCAACTTTTATTTGAGAATCAAGCAGTACATGTGCAGATTTGTCACATGGATATATTGTGTGATGCTGAGGTTTGGAGTAGTGACTGTAGTACCCAATAGTTTTTCAGCCCTTGCCCCCTCCCTCCTTTCCTCCCTCCTCTTGTTCCCCAGTGTCTATGGTTTTCATCTTTATGTCCATGTGGACTCAATGTTTAGCTCTCACCTATAAGTGAGAATATGTGGGATTTGGTTTTCTGCTTCTGCATTAGTTCTCTTAGGATAATGGCCTCCAGCTGCATATTGCCGCAAAAGATATTACTTCATTCTTTTTTATAGCTGTGTAGTATTCCATGGTGTGTATGTACCACATTTTCTTTATCCAATCCACCATTGATGGGCACCTGGGTTGATTCCACATCTGTGCTTCTGTGAATAGCACTGCAATGAACATATGGATGCATGTGTCTTTTTGGTAGATTGATTTATTTTCCTTTGGGTATATACCCAATAATGAGATTGCTGGGTCAAATAGTAGTTCAATTCTTAGCTCTTTGAGGAATCTCCAAACTGCTCTCCATGGTGGCTGAAATCATTTACACTCCCACCAACAGTGTACAACTGTTCCCTTTTCTCCCAAGCTTTGCCAGCATCTGATTTTTGGTTTGTTTTGTTTTGTGTTGTTTCATTTTTTATTTTTTATCAAAAGCCATTCTGACTGATATGAGATGGTATCTCATGGTGGTTTTGATTTACATTCCCCTAATAGTTAGTGATGTGGAGCATTTTTTCATATAGTTGTTGGCCATGTGCATGTCTTCTTTTGAGAAGTGTCTGTTCATATCCTTTACTCACTTCGTAATGAAGTTATTTGTTTTTTGCTTGTTGATTTAAGTTCCTTGTAGATTGCAGATATTAGACTTTTGTCAGATGCACAGTGTGTGAATATTTTCACCCATTTTGTAGGTTGAGTGTTGACTCCCTGATAGTTTCTCTTGCTGTGCAGAAGCTCTTCCGTTTAATTACGTCCCGCTTGTCAATTTTTGTTTTTGTAGCAATTGCTTGTGAGGATTTAGCCGTAATTCTTTTTTAACAAGGCTGATATCAAGAAGGTGATTTCCTAGGTCTTCTTCTAGGATTTTTATAGTTTGAGGTCTTACATTTCGGTCTTTAATCCATCTTGAATTAATGTTTGTATATGGTGATCTGGTTAGCGGCCCAGTTTTATTCTTCTGGATGTGGAACTCAGTAATAAAAAGACAAATAACCCAATTAAAAAGTGGGCAAAGAATCTTAATTAGACATTTTCTGAAGAAGATACCCAAATGACAACAAGCATATAAAAAGACTCTGAGCATCATGATTCAACAGGGAGATGCAAATTGAAATCACAATGAGATACCATTTCACAAACACTAGGATGAATATAATGTAAAAGGTCAGACATTAACAAGTATTGGGGCAGGGTGTGCTTGTACCTGTAATCCCAGTGACTCAGGAGGCTGGAAGGGAGGATCCCTTGGGGCCACGAGTTTGAGTCTAGTATGGGTATCATGGCAAGACCTTGTCTCTACAAAAAATTAAAAATTTAGCTGGGTGTGATGAGGCACAACTGTAGTCCCAGCTACTGGGGAGTTTGAGACAAGGATTGCTTGGGTCCAGGAGGTTGAGGCTGCAGTGAGCTATGATCATGACACTGCACTTCAGCTTTGTCAACACAGTAAAACCCTGTCTCTAAAAAATAAATAAATAAAAATAAAATAAAATAACAACTGTTGACAAGGATGCAGAAACACTGGAACCTCCATGCACTGCTGTGGGAATGTAAATTGCTCAGCCACTGTGGAAAACAGTCTGCAGTTCCTCAAAAACTTAAGCAGAGAGTTACCATAGGGCCCAGCAATTCTGCTCATAAGGATGTTCCCAAGGGAAATGAAAACACATTCCATGCAAAAACTGGCACACCCATGTTCACAGCAGCATTACTCACAACAGCCAAAAGGTGGAAACAGTCTAATGTCTGCCAACTGAGGAATGAATGGTGTATTCATACAAAGGAAGATTAGTGTAAATAATTTATCATAGTAATGAAGTTCTGTTTCAGGCTGCAACATGGATGAACCACAAAACATTACACTAAGTGAAAGAAGGAAATTATAAAAGACCACATATCATATAATTTCACAGGTATGAAATTTCAAGAATAGAAAAATAGAGAGAGACAAAAAGTAAATTAGTAGTAGCCTCTGGCTACTACTAATGTTACCCATTTATCAGACTCAGGTGAGACACTCACATATGTCACAGGAAGTGGGTATACCAGTTACAGACAGGCAGCAAGGGAGAACAGGAGCCTCGGATTCATTGGGAGCCCTCTAGCCTCAGCAAAGCTTCCCAGGTGAGCTGAGTCTTATCCATGTGTGCCCCACTCACACCACAGCTGAGGGATCCCAGAAAGCCGCCTGCCCTCGGTCTTATGTCCCAGGGCTACAGGATTCACTGCACTAAAGCACGAAAGAATATCCTGTTTCTAGGAACTGGGACAAAGCCCGACTCTTCTGGCCAGTCCCTCCCTAACTCAGGATGTTGCATTCCCAGCATATTCTACAGTTATTCTTTTTCTTTCTTTATTAATATTTTAATTGAAGCATGATCATTGTACATGTTTATGGGGACCAGTGAGATATCAACTTCTTTAGCTTGCACCTGTGAGTGAGATCATGCAGTTCATCTTTCTGTGCCTGGCTTATTTCATTTAGCATAATGTCCTCCAAGCTCACCTGTATTGTCACATAGGGCAGAATTTTGTTCTGCTCTAGGGTTAAATAGAATTCCATTGTGTGTATACACCATCTTTTCCTTTTCATTACTTTTCCATGTTTTCCATTCATCTGTTGACAAGCACTTAGGTGCTTTCATATCATGGCTATCGTGAGCAGTGCTGTGATAAACATGGGGTGCAGATATCTCTTCAACACACTGATTTCTTTTCCTTTGGATACACACCCCATAGTGGGATTGCTGGGTTAGCTCTATTTTTAGCTTTTTGAGGAATCTCCATACAGTTTTCCTTAGTGGTTGTACAACTTCCCACTAACAGCATACGAGTTCCCTTTCTTCACTTCCTCTGCAGGATTTATTTTTGCCTTTTTGATAATGGCCATTCTGTGGGATGAGAGGACACCTCATTGTGGTTTTGACTTGCGTGTCCCTGATGATGAATGATGCTGAGCATTCCTTCAAGCTCTTGTTGGTCATTTGTACGTCTTCTTTCAGAAATGTCGGTTCAGCTCCCTCTGCAGTCACGCCTGAGAACCACAAGTGAGACACGGGGAGAATTGCATTGGTCTGAAGCCGCCTGGAGAACCGTCCTGTGGGGTAGTGAGTGGGGGGTACTAAAGGGCATGAGGTTATGAAATTTTCTACAACTGATTATGGTGATAGGTACACGGCTCTGTGAATATACTAAAAGCATTGAATTGTATACCTTAAATGGGAGAATTGTGTGGTATATGAACGATATGTCAATAAAGCTGTTAACAAAACAAGAAGAGGTATCAGAGAGGTTGGGGATCAGTGAAGCCGTGGTTGTATCAATGCACCAAGAGTTCTGGTGGAATGAAAGCACTGGAGAAAGTGAGCTAGAAAGAGGAGGGTGGCTGGAAGCGGGTGCATGGGACACACCCCACTGGGGTGCCCTGTGAAGAACAAGGGCACAGATATCACCACAGGGGTGAGGGGTGGGGAAGGATCTTTTACTTGTGTAAATGATCCCCACAGGGGCACTGCTTAACTGAGCAGTGGGAAGGAGGACACCATCCTCCAGCCCCCAGAATGGTAGAGCAACTGACAGCTTGCATCTTGAGCATGGAGAAGCTGCAGGCACCCAACTCCAACCCATGAGAGCAGCTGCAGGGGGTGAACCCTGCAAAGTCACGAGGGTGGAGTTCCCCAAGGCCTTAGGAGTCCACCCCTCACTCCAGTGTACCCTGGATGTGGGACTGGGAGTCCAAGGACATTATTTTGGAGCTTTAAGATTTAATGGCTGCCCTGCTGGATTTCAGACATGCATGGGGTCCGTAGCCCCTTCCTTTGGGCTGACTTCTCCCTTTTGGAATGGGAATGTTTACCCAATGCTTCTACCCTCATTGCATCTTGTAAGTAAATAATGTATTTTGATTTTCACAGGTTCATAGGTAGAAGGAACTTGGACTTGGGACTTCAGACTTGATGTTGGAATGAGTCAAGACATTGAGAGGACTGTTGAGAAGAGATGATCCTATTTTGTGATGTAAGGACATGAGATTTGAGGGGTCAGGGGGATAATGACATAGTTGGGCTGTCCCCTCCAAATCTCTTGTCGAAATGTAATCCCCAGTGTTGAAGGAGGGGCCTGCAAGGAGGTGTTTAGGTCATGGGGGCGGATCCCTCATAACTGGCTTAGCGCCATCTCCTTGGCGATGAGTGTGTTCACTCAGATCTGGTTGTTCGCAAGTGTGTGGCCCCTCCTCACCCCTTGCTCCCATTCTCACCATGTGGCGTGCCTACTCCTGCTTCGCCTTCCACCATGAGGAAAACCTCCCTGAGGGCCTCCCCAGAAGCTGAGCAGAGGTGGGTGCCATGCTTGTGCAGCCTGCAGAACCATGAGCCATTCTAACCTCTTTCCTTTATAAATTACCCAGCCTCAAGTATTTCTTTAGAGCAATGCAAAGAATGGTCTAACACACCCAGAAAGCTGAGACTGGTATGAGTAAAATATAAAGACCATGGATAACTTTTGAAATCTGAAAATGTAAAATTAATATTACTGGGGGAGTTAACACAGGAAAGATGAGAGCATGTGGGCAGAGGCTGTTGCCCATTGGTCACATGTGGTCAGCAGAGAGCAGGTGACCAGCACCCTGGAGCTTTGCAAGAAGTACCAGACAGCCTGGAGTTGAGGTTTTAATTATAGGGGCCAAAACAAACGGGGAAAAAGACAAATTTAGCATACAAAGAAAGTAGATGCTCAACTGAGCCAGGAGGAAGTCACTAGCAAAAAGGAAAAAAACAGAGCTCTGGAAAAATAATGTAAACAGTCACAAGAAAGGGACCCTGTGTCCTGCCTGACATCTGGACAGGTATATAAAGAGCCCGGGCTCAGGGAGCTCCACACCTGCACCTCCCTCTCACCTGCTCCTCTACCTGATCCACCCTCAATCTACCAGAATCATGGGCTGCTGTGGCTGCTCCGGAGGCTGTGGCTCCGGCTGTGGGGGTTGTGGCTCCGGCTGTGGGGGCTGTGGCTCCGGCTGTGGGGGCTATGGCTCTGGCTGTGGGGGCTGTGGCTCCAGCTGCTGTGTGCCCGTCTGCTGCTGCAAGCCCGTGTGCTGCTGTGTGCCAGCCTGTTCCTGCTCCAGCTGTGGCTCCTGTGGGGGCTCCAAGGGGGACTGTGGCTCTTGTGGGGGCTCCAAAGGGGGCTGTGGTTCCTGTGGGGGCTCCAAGGGGGGCTGTGGCTCCTGTGGGGGCTCCAAGGGGGGCTGTGGTTCTTGTGGGGGCTCCAAGGGGGGCTGTGGCTCCTGTGGGGGCTCCAAAGGTGGCTGTGGTTCCTGTGGGGGCTCCAAGGGGGGCTGTGGTTCTTGTGGCTGCTCCCAGTGCAATTGCTGTAAGCCCTGCTGCTGCTCCTCAGGCTGTGGATCCTGCTGCCAGTCCAGCTGCTGCAATCCCTGCTGCTGCCAGTCCAGCTGCTGTGTCCCCGTGTGCTGCCAGTCTAGCTGCTGCAAGCCCTGCTGCTGTCAGTCCAGCTGCTGTGTCCCCGTGTGCTGCCAGTGTAAGATCTGAGGCTCTGAACCCAGACCTTCAGGTTTCACCTGTTTGGTGAAAGCATTTGTTATGATTTCCCTGAATTAATTCATCCCACGCATCCTCCCTGAGGCACCTGCCCCTTCTCCAGCTCATCATCCATGCACGCACCTCCTTCCATGGCTCAGCTCTCCACTGGGCCCTGCCTTCAGCCTCCTCACTCCGGAAATGCATGTTTCCTTGATGCAGGAGGTGGCCTTGCCTGGACGCGGGCACCCAGCCAACTGCCATGGTGTTCCCTGCACTTGGGTGTGGACCATCTTCTTCTTCTCCCTCGGCTGACTGAGATGCAAGGTCTGACCCCACAAGGCCAGGCCAATGTTGCTCAGTGATCACTAAGAACCAGCTTCTCAACCACCATTGGGACCCTGGATCCTCCAGGGCCGCTCGCTGCCTGTTCTCCAGTGGCCACCTGTGACCAGGAAGGTCTCCTTCCTTCCTGTTGTCTCCATCTATTTAAAAACAATAACAAAGTAATGAATGAATTTCCTTACAATAAAGCCTCTCATGTCTGTAAATCAGCTGCATGCTTGGTGCAATTCTGTCCAACCCCTTTCCTGTGCAGTGACTGATTCTGCGTTCTGATCTGTCAGCTAAGCTGGGAAACGCCTGCCAGCAGGCCTGGTACATTCACAAAAAAACCTGCCATTCCCTTCTGTCCTCCTCTCAGCCTCAAATATCTTCAGTCTCTGCTCGCAGGAGAAGAGGGCAAAGCCCGGGAGGATTCAGCATTCAATGCCCGCCCTAGAGGCGCAGAGGGGCAGGCAGGCCCTGAGTCCTGACGACCAGCCAAGCAGGGCTTTGCACAAGACCCATGGCTTCCAGCTTCCCGCTCTCCTCTGGGGCCTCGGAAGGACCCCAGGCAGGGCAAGGTCGGAGGAGGGAGGAGTGAAGCACCGCTGAGCTCCAACGCACTCTGATTCAAACATTCAATTAGCCTTTTACAATTATGAGGTCAACGGCTTTCCATAACTAAAGGTAACCAGGAAGTTACAGAATGGCCCAAGGTGTCCTCGGAGCTCAGTCTCCCGGCAGGAAAGGAGAGTTCCTGGGAAGTGACACATTTGGGGACCCTGAGCCAAGTCCATCTGTTTCATGGTGACATGCCACCACGCTGAGCCTGTTCTCTGACCAGTGTCACAGGCAAGGCTTTAGAAATCACGCACTGGGGAGGAGGAGACAAGAGTGATCTGAGGACAATCTCCAGCCAAGCGAACCCGGAGGGAAAAGGTGGAGGGAAGACAGCACACAGGGAGTGCTGGTGAGAAATGAGCTCCCACAGAACACTCACAGATCTAAGCGACTGCTGATACTGCCGGGGAAGAGCAGAGTGGGAATTTCCAAGACAAATTTCTGAGAGAAAAGAGATGCAATGTAAGGAAAAATGAAATAATCTAGAAATAAAGGCTTAGATTAATTCAGCCACATTTAGGAAAGGGAATAAAAGTGTGTCAAAGGTGCATCTTGCTAGGGGACATGGCTATCGTTAGTTTCACGACGTTAAAAGGAAATGCTGCTTAAGACAGTTCACTCAAAAATCCAAACTGGGAAACTCCAGAAGGTGACAGCAGACATGAACGCAGAGTTCATTACATATGGGCCCTGTACATTCCCACAACCCACAGGACACCGAGCAACTAGGTAACAAAACCGAAAATGCATGCTGGAGACATAACAAAACCAGGTAAGCTGGGCATGGTGGCTCACACCTGTAGCCTCAGCTACGTGGAAGGCTGAGGTGGGAGGATGGCTTGAGCCTGGGAGTTTGAGGCTGCAGTGAGCTGTGATCGCACCCCTGGGATCCAGCCTCAGCAACCTAAAGTGAGATAGTGTCTCAAGAAAAAAAACAAGTGAACCTCAAAGTCCAAGAAGGTGGGGATAAATTTACAAGAGCCACAGTCCCCCAGGGTTTCAGTGTCTGTGTAGGAGAAAGCAAAGAAACATCTAACAGAGCCGAATACAGGGGAACCTCAAAAGAGCCAACAGGTGTGTGCTGGAAAAGCACAGCATGAATTTTGAATTCAGCTCCTGAAATGGGGAAGGTTTTCCTCTCTCCAGTGGAGAGTGGGTGCAAGGGCCCTCAGTAAGTCCCTATAGGCAATAAAAGAAAGCTAGGAAGCCTGCTGTGAAACAGATCACAGTGGTAGCGTACTGTTTCCAAAGGAGCTAATGAACAATGAAAGGAAATGATACCAGACATAAAAGAGGCTGCATGTGGTGGCTCATGCCTGTCATCCCTGCAATTTGGGAGGCCAAGGCAGGAGGATCACTTGAGGCCAAGAGATCAAATCCAGCCTGGACAATAAGGAGAGATCTTATCTCTACAAAAAAAAAAAATTTAAGTACCTGGGCATGGTGACACCCACTTGTAGTCTTGTTTACTCAGGAGGATTACTTGAGACCAGGAGGTGGAGGCTGCAGTGACCTGTGACTGCGCCACTGCACTTCATACTGGGCAACATTCTCAGTGCAGTTGCTGCAAACTCTGCTGCTGCTCCTCAGGCTGTGAATCAACCTGCTCCCAGTCCAGCTGCTGCAAGCCCTGCTGCTCCCGGTCCAGCTGCTGCAAGTCCTGATGTTCCCGGTCCAGCTGCTGCAAGTCCTGCTGTTCCCGGTCCAGCTGCTGCAAGCCCTGCTGCTCCCAGTCCAGCTGCTGCAGGTCCTGCTGCTCCAAGTCCAGCTGCTGTGTCCCTATTTGCTGTCAGTACAAGATCTGATCTTTAACACACAGCCATATTGGCTCTCATCCACATGCTCCAGACAGAGACCAATGTATCAGCATAAAGCCGTGAATCACAGCCCTGGGGTGACTGTTTTCTAGAATGTTGGAGCAGCAGTATTTGGAACAGGAAGAGCCTACACAGGCCCTGTGCGGGGCACAACCCCTCACCACCCTCATCTCACCATGGGTGGCTGTCATGGTGCATGAGACCGCTCCTGCTTCCTCTCTTGCACCACCTCTCTCTACCCTGACATTCTAAACCCTCTCCTCCCAGGCATGGTCCCAAGGAAAGCTCCTGTTGCAATTTGTCTATTGGGCTCTGCAAATTCTGAGCCTTGACCTTGTGAGTCCTTTGAATAAGCGATCCCTTCCCCTCACGAGTCCTGTTTTCAGTGTGGCCCTTTTCCTGCTGTTCCTTTTGAATGAGCCTTTCAACCTCCCTCCTGGCCCTAAAGCACCCCCTTTCTTTGCGCTTCCTGATCACATCAGGCTGTTGGGTGATCCACTCCTTCATGCGGCACAGTTTGCTAAGCACCACTGCATGCACCAGGAGCGCGAGAAGAACGCAGCGTGGCGCCTGGCCTTGGGGTGCTTGGACGGGAGCTGGGGAGCCCCTACGATAGGGTGGAGGGGTAACTGAGGTCCTCCACAGCCAGGTGGCGAGAAGGCCGAGCGGGGCAGATGTGAGAGGGTCTGAGACGCAGCATGACAGGGAAGAGACCAGCCAACTCTAAAAATAGCTTTGGGAGTAGAATTTCAAGCATGGTGACTGCTTGGATGGACGAAGGGCTGGGAGAGGCATAGAGAGAAAGGAGGAGGGAAGGGGGGCTCCCTTGTTCCTGAGCCAGTGCAGAGTCCTCCAGGACCCACTTCTTTCTGTGTCCTGCCCACCCTGTGACCTGGCCAGCTGCACGTTTTCCCAGCAGGCTTGAAGCCACGCTGTGCTGTGAACATTCCCAGGCCCTGAACACTGAGAAAGGTGTTCACGTTGATGCCCAAAACAGTGAAATCTCAAACACGTGGCTAAACATGCAGAAGCTATCTCAGACCCTGAGGCTAACCCCTCACAGCCCCATGTGAGCTCCACGGCCTGGGCCCTCGCTGCAGACATGCCTGCGTGTCCCCCTTCTCTCAGTTGTGACTGTGGCTCAGATGTGCCTACATCTGCCCCCTCTGGCGTTGTGGCCTTGGCTGGCATCCTCTGAAAAAGATGAAGGGAGGGGAAGGGACACAGCCCTCCTGACCTCCCCTGACAAATGCTCTTGACTGACCCCCTCTCTGGAGGGGCTGGGGCTGTCCCTGCATTACTCCCCTGCCACAGCTTTTGGGGTGACTCCAGCAGCAGGACTGGCCAGACAGAACAGTAAGGGAATTGAGACCCACCTTATTGGTCTCAGAACTTTGTATAAATCCCACAGGATAATATTAGCATTGGTTTAAGTGGTTCACTGATTGTTTTAAAGGGATTTGTATTTTAAAGTCTTGATAAAACAAGCAGGGAAAATTCATGCTACCCCTTGATTCTGCCAAAAAACCACCTGCTTCTTGGAAGAGGCCAGACCCCGTTCAGAGCCGCCGTTTACTAATCAGAGGAGAGAGGCTCGCTCAGCAGAGATGCGTGTCTCCTCTTCAAGCTGTGAGAGTCTGAAGCCCTCGGACACCAAAGAAGTGTGTGGAGGGTGTATGGGGGGTTGTGTTTGAATGTGTGCATGTGAGTGCATGAGTGTGTGTGTCAAAGAATATGTGTATGAGTATGCGTATGACTGTGAGTGTGTGTGCAAATATGCATGAGGATTTGCATGAGTGTGTGAGTGCACATGAGTGTATGAGCAGGTACATGAGTGTGTCAGTGTGTGAGTGTGAGTGTGAGATTGAGTGTATAAGTGTGAGTGCATGTGAGCATATGAGTCGGTGTAGGGGTGTGTCAGTGTGTGTGTGTGAGTGAGTCTGAGAGTGTGTGTATGAGTGTGTGAATGCATGTGAGTGTACGAGTTGGTGTAGGGGTGTGAGTGTGTGTGAGAATGTGTGTATGAGTGTGTGAGTCCATGTGAGTGTACGAGTCAGTGTAGGGGTGTGTGTGTGTGAGTGTGAGAGTGTGTTTACGCGCTTGCAGAGAGCTGCTCCCATCACCAGCCCCCGTGGCTGGAACCCCCTGCGGTCATCACTGGAAGTCCTGACCAGAGCTGCCTGCCCTCCAGGCTCTGATGATCCTGCCAAGTCCTGCGGGTCCTCCATGAAGAGCGGCAGCCTGAAGCCCCGACCCCTGCAGACCCAAGGCTGTCTGGGGACGGGCCAGTGCACCGTGTCCTCCTGTCCAGGGCCAGGCGCAGCGAACATGCCCATTAAACACAGATGCCCCTCACCCGCCGCCGGGGCCTGGGGCACGGGCACATGCGCGTGGACTTTTCAGGAACAGGATTCACGGCTTCTATCACCAGGTTCTGGAACGGGTCGCCCACGCACGTTGACCTGGGCCTCACGTACTACAGCCTCCACGCGGGAAAGAAAAGTCCCGGTTCTGCAGGGTGACCAAGTCACATGAGGAGGACAGGCCAGGGATGGAGGAGCGGGGCAAACTAGGGGTATCGTTCACCCAAATTTGTCCGCAGCCCCATCCAGAGGGATTTCCTGCTCTGACCCCACCCTGCCCCTCATGCAGACGGAGGGGCGCAGGCGGCCGGCAGGGCGGGGAGAGTGCATCAGCCTCAGAGAAGCCATGGGGGGCTGGGGGCCGGGACCGCGGCGCTGACTGTCCCGAGAAATAGGAAAAGAGAAAGGCACAGAGCGGACACGATTCTCAACTCAGAACACAAGTGGAGAAGAGGAGCCTCTCGGGTCTAGGGGCTCACGGGACATCCCTGCCCCTCCTGCCAATTTTGCTGTGAACCTAAAACTGCTCTGAAAAATAAAGTCCATTAAAAACGCGCATGGGCTGATGCGGAGGGGACCATCCAGCCCTCAGCTGCTCACTGGCTATGAACGCACCCGGAGTCCTCAGAGTGGGCTTTGGCAGCAACGCCACACCCTAGCCTCATCCTGAGCTCAAAGTTCACTCAAATAACCCAGGTCTTTAAAAAAAAATTAGCCACTGTTAAACCAGGTCACCCATTCTAAGTTTTTGTGGTTGATTTTTTTAACATAAAAACAGGGTTTGGTGTATATGTTCTTGTCAAATATTTTCTTTACAATTCTGAAAAACAGTGGATTTGCATGTGGACGTGGGATATAAGAATTCGATGCTTTAGAGTGATGAGGTTCTGTGCAATTTTTCCTTATTTTCATAATTATTTTATTTATGGCTGCCAAGATGTTATTGTGTAAGAAATAAAAACTGGTAGAGGGAAAAAGTGAAATAAAAACCCCCAAACAGCCAAAAAGAGAGCACCCCGGGGTGTCGGCATCATTTCCTGTGGGCAGCCCCGGCTGGGGGTCATGCGGATGCCTGACTGTGGGGGCTGCAGAATCAGGGCAGCAATTAAAATGCACAGCCCTGCAATTAGGAGCTAGTAATAAGGTAAGAACACGACTTCGAGGGGCAGGCCTCTGCTGAAACTCTTGGGATGAAATCATCTGGGTAGATACAAGAGTCAAAAACTTGGAATCCTCAAATTTCCCTGAACTCTAAGCAGCCTGTCCTGGCCCACCCTGGTCACCCCCTCACACCCACCCACCCGCAGCTAAGATGGTCCCATCTCCCTTAGAAAGACCCCTTCCAATGACATCAGCTGAAGCAGTCGCCACTCAAGGACCCACCACCATCCCCAGACCCACAGGAGAGGTAGCCCCCAGAACAGCACAGGTGGAAGCGGGTGAGCCTGTGTGGGAAGGAGACAGCTACACACAGCGCAGGTGCAGGGTGCTGCCCATCTCATCGTCCAGAGCAGGGGAAGTTGGAACAGGAAAGGTTGAGAAATGAGGGAAAGTCAAGTCAAGCATGTCTATTCAGGTGCCCTCACCAGGGTTTGGGTTTTAAAGTGCTGGTCCAAACACGGGGACTGGCATTCACAGTCAGCTAGGTTGGCAACCAGGCCCGAACTGTACAAACCTGACCGACAGTCAGCAAGGTTGCATCGTGACCACGGGCCTGGAAAGCTTTCCCTGGGAAGATTAGAGAGTCACGTTGTAGGCTTTGTAAGTCATCAGGTCTCTGCCCCAGCTGCCCAGTTCTGCCGCTGTAGCACTAAGGCAGCTGTAGACAGAACTTTCTTTACAGAGGCGGGCGGTTCTCAAACTGTATACGTTACATCAGTGCAATTTTCTTTTGTATATTAGTGCTACCTACGTAAAGCTGTTAATAAATAAAAACAAAAACAAACCAAAGGGGTGGGGTGTGTTTGCCCATAGGCCATAGTTTGCCAAGCGCTTACTGTAAAGAAAAGAAAGCAAAAGTCCAGGAAGAGGAGAATGCTGATGTGGATTAATGAAGTGCAACGTATTCACCGTCCCCTAAACATATGACTCGATAGGGCTGGGAGAACACTCGTGTAATCAAGGGATGAAAACACACGTGAGTGAGGAGGGCCGAGGCATCCTTGGAAAGCTCTTAGGGGGTGGTCCTTGTCCTCTGGGGCCAGAGATGTCTACAGTGGGAGATGCCTCTCCCAACTGCAATGGGAATAGAGGAGCCCAGAGTGGGAAAGCCAGGTGATGGCACTGAGTTGTCAGAAACAAGTGTCCCAATCACCATCACCAGCTGCCGGGAATGGGTGGTGGTGAGACTCCACTGATACGTGGACATGCTCAGCAGTGGGTCACTGATGGGGGGACAGGCAGCCTATTACAATGCCCCCTCTGCTTCATCTACATCAGCAGCAACATTCCAGGTCTGGTGGGCAGAAACGTAGCTCCAATCACCATAGTAGGGGTTTCCTGAAACCTTAGCCAAATTGCAAATTCAGGGCCCATTGACTGGAGGGAAGCCAGATCCTCCTAAGCAAGGGCCCTGCATGATGTCACAGACGTCAGCCACAACTGTTCTAAGCCTCCCCTGAAGGAACCTGCTGCCACCACTTTCACTAGGAAAAGGGAGCCTAGATATTTCAGGGGATCATCAGAAATTAGCTTTCAATGGATGCTAATCCTTAGGGAAAGATCACACGAGAGGAGCCTATTCTCAGAGTGGGAGCCTTTGTAAGTTGGGAGGGGGATGGGGGCTTGGCTTTAGTCTTCCTTACGGTGGGTCCAGTGAGCCTGTGGGCCAATCCCATGGCTGCCTCCTCACAGGGAATAGGTAGTGGGAGGAGATACCTGAGTAGCTGAGATAATCTCCATATTAGGTCCCTGTAGAAGACCTATTGTAGTTAAAAAATAAACACACACAGACACACACACACACACACACACACACACACACACACACCCTCAGGGACATAGAGAGAATGGAAGTAATACTTCTTTCTCAGAGAACTTCAGAGATTATTGACAACTCTAATTCCTGCCACAGCCCCATTTAGCTCTCCTGTTTGACCAGCACAAAAGGCACATGGGTCTTGGAGAAACACTCTGAATTTTTTAAACAATTAGGTGGGAAAGCCAATTGCAGCTGCTCTCCTAGTTGGCACGTCCTTATTGAAGCAGCTCACACAGCCTCTGACACGTGATATGCAGCTATTGTTATAACAGATTTTCTTTTCAATTCCACCTAGCAAAGACGATCCAGGGGAGTTTGCATTCACCTGGCAGGAGCAGCAATATACTATCAACCCTGCTACTTCAGGGCCAGGTCAAGGCCTCTCTCTGTCACAGTAGAATCCAGAGTTATCTGTATCGTCTTGTTATCCAAGAACATTACACTAGATTGATACAATGTAGATCCACTACACCAGCCCTAGTAAGTAGGAATTTGAAGTACCCTAAGTACCTGGGTAAAACACACGCATACTCAAGGACAGGGGATAAACTTTGTGAAAATGCAGGTGTATTATAATTTCTATAGAACTTATGTTCTGAGAAGTGTCAGAATATTCCCACTAAAGTGAGGGCAAACTTGCTGCACCTTCCAAAATTCTCCCCTTGGTGGGCCTTTTAGGGTTTGCACGTGCACTACCTTTGGGTATGCAGCGACCAACCATTAACTAAATAACTTCCAGTTTTGAGCAGGGCTCAGACAAGAAAAGTTTGCAGTAGAATGAGGCTGTGTTGCAAGCTGCCCTGCCATTTGGGCCATATGACCCAGCAGACCCACTGCTACATGAAGTGTCTGTGCAGATAGGAATGCTATGTGGAGCCTCCAGCAACCCCCAATCAGAGAATCACCTGTAGGGCTTCCTAGTAAGCCCATATTCAATTTCACCAGCAGCTCTTCAGGGTTGGCTGTGGACTCCGATGAAGACGCTATGCCTGACCCTTGCACATGAAGTATGTATGCAGTCGTAACTGCTCATCGAGATCTGGGCATTTTCTCATCACCCAGATCATAAAGTTAGAGTTGAACATGCACAGCAGCATTTTCTTAGTAGCTGGAAACAATATGCTTGTCCAGGGCTGAGCGGCTCTGGAAGGCACGGATCCATTGCATAGGCAGGTAGCTGGCGTTCCCAGGGGGCTGCTCTTAGTGCCTCTCTAGGGTGCTGCAAAACCAAACTAAAGGAAGCTTCCTCCTCGGTACGAATGATCACTTCCCCTAAACCATCACTCACTCATCACCCACCTTCCTCCAGGGCCCAGCCAGCTACCATGCTCCCGAGCCTGCTCTCTACCGACCATTATGTTCCATCCTTTCTCTGTTGTTATTTTGTAGGTTCATGAACCCCCAAACCCTGTCTCTGATCCTGTGAGAAGATACAGAATGTTAGTGAATAGCAGGAGAACCCCTGCAAGAATGGCTAAGAAGAAATAAATCAAAGTTTAGCAAGTGGAAACATAAAGAAAAAATGAAGAGGGGGCTGGAGGTGTGGAGAGAGGATTGGATGGTTGCAGATCATTTCACTAGACAAAGAAGAGGGTGGGGCAGAGGGGATGCAGTGCAGACGGAGGCTGATTGGCGGCTGTAACATGTGACCACACACACAGATGCTGATCCAAATTTGCTAAATGTCCTAACTGCACATGATTTCCACCACTAAGCCTGTAGCCCCAACATAGGCTTTGTGTAAGGTGACATTTCTGGGGCCATATTCATTTAGGGCCATGACCATGGGGAGTGAGCATTGCGAAGTAAATTTCCAGCTACAGTTCAATAAATTCTTGTCCTCTAGAAGATGAATGACTTCCAGGAATACTCCCACCACTCACTGTGACAACTTGCCCAGGTAATGGCAACACAAAGATGAACAGCCAGAGATTGTGTCGTGACACCATGCATCCTCCAGGGACTGCATGTAGGCAGTGGAGGAGAAACATGGTTTGAAAGGTCCAGAGGCAGAGCTAGTTTTCAGAAATGTCTTCCAAATATTATAGCTTAATAGGAAAGCAATTTGATGATGTCACCCCAAATTTGACAATTCTAAAAATTAACATAGTTATTGATAGTGAGCTATGAGACAAAAAGCAATCTTTCTAAACTATTGATGATGTAATTTCTTAAAGAGAACAGTGCTAGAAGAAATAATGAATTCTCCCCACCATGCCCCCAACCATTAGCGGTCATAGAGACCTCCAGCTGATGCCAAGAAGAAAGGAAGCCCTTGGCTGCCCTAAAGCTTCTCTTGGCACATTCCTGTGGGAATGGCAGGTGGTGGGGAAGGGGCTGGAGAAATGCTCTGAGGGAGGGGCAGGGGCTGCTCCACCAGGGCATGGGGAACCCCCAAAGCCCAGGGGATTCACACATGGACTTGGGTCGGAAACGCAAAATTGGCAGGAGGGGCAGGGATGTCCCGTGAGCCCCTAGACCCGAGAGGCTCCTCTTCTCCACTTGTGTTCTGAGTTGAGAATCGGGTCCGCGTCTGTGTCTTTCTCTCTTCCTATTTCTCAGGACAGTCAGCGCCGCGGTCCCCGCCCCCAGCCCCCCATGGCTTCTCTGAGGCTGATGGACTCTCCCCGCCCTGCCGGCCGCCTGCGCCCCTCCGTCTGCATGAGGGGCAGGGTGGGGTCAGAGCAGGAAATCCCTCTGGATGGGGCTGCGGACAAATTTGGGTGAACGATACCCCTAGTTTGCCCCGCTCCTCCATCCCTGGCCTGTCCTCCTCATGTGACTTGGTCACCCTGCAGAACCGGGACTTTTCTTTCCCGCGTGGAGGCTGTAGTACTTGAGGCCCAGGTCAACGTGCGTGGGAGACCCGTTCCAGAACCTGGTGATAGAAGCCGTGAATCCTGTTCCTGAAAAGCCTACACGCACGTGCCCGTGCCCCAGGCCCCGGCGGCGGGTGAGGGGCATCTGTGTTTAATGGGCATGTTCGCTGCGCCTGGCCCTGGACAGGAGGACGCGGTGCACCACCCCGTCCCCAGACAGCCTTGGGTCTGCAGGGGTCGGGGCTTCAGGCTGCCGCTCTTCAAGGAGGACCCGCAGGACTTGGCAGGATCATCAGAGCCTGGAGGGCAGGCAGCTCTGGTCAGGACTTCCAGTGATGACCGCAGGGGGTTCCAGCTACCGGGGCTGGTGATGGGAGCCACTCTGTGCAAGCGCATACACACTCTCTCACACTCACACACTCACACACCCCTACACTGACTCGTACACTCACATGGATTCACACACTCATACACACATTCTCACACTCACACACTCATACACACATTCTCACACTCACACACACTCACACACCTCTACACTGACTCACATGCATTCACACACTCATATACACATTCTCGCACTCACTCACACACTCCTACACCAACTCGTACACTCACATGCATTCACACATTCATACACACTCTCATACTCACACACACACACTGACACACCCCTACACCGACTCATACGCTCACATGCACTCACACACTCATACACATACTCTCACACTCACACACACACTGACACACTCATGCACCTGCTCATACACTCATGTGCACTCACACACTCATGCAAATCCTCATGCATATTTGCACACACACACAGTCATATGCATACTCATACACGCATTCTCTCACACACACACTCATACACTCACATACACACATTCAAACAGAAACAACCCCCCATACACCCTCCACACACTCCTCTAGTGTCTGGGGGCTTCAGACTCTCACAGCTTGAAGAGGAGACACGCATCTCTGCTGAGCGAGCCTCTCTACTTCTCTGATTGGTAAACGGTGGCTCTGAACGGGGTCTGGCCTCTTCCAAGAAGCAGGTGGTTTTTTGGCAGAATCAAGGGGTCGCATGGATTTTCTCTGCTTGTTTTATTAAGACTTCAAAATACAAATCCCTTTAAAACAATCAGTGAACCACTTAAACCAATGCTAATATTATCCTGTGGGATTTATGCAAAATTATGTGACCAATAAGGTGGGTCTCTTTTGAATTCCCTTACTGTTCTGTCTGGCCAGTCCTGCTGCTGGAGTCACCCCAAAAGCTGTGGCAGGGGAGTCACTGCAGGGGCAGCTCCAGCCCCTCCAGAGAGGGGGTCAGTCAAGAGCATTTGTCAGGGGAGGTCAGGAGGGCTGTGTCCCTTTCCCTCCCTTCATCTTTTTCAGAGGATGCCAGCCAAGGCCACAACGCCAGAGGGGGCAGACGTAGGTAGGTCCAAGCCACAGTCACAACTGAGAGAAGGGGGACACGCAGGCATGTCTGCAGCGAGGGCCCAGGCCGTGGAGCTCACATGGGGCTGTGAGGGGTTAGCCTCAGGGTCTGAGATAGCTTCTGCATGTTTAGCCACGTGTTTGAGATTTCACTGTTTTGGGCATCAACGTGAACACCTTTCTCAGTGTTCAGGGCCTGGGAATGTTCACAGCACAGCGTGGCTTCAAGCCTGCTGGGAAAACGTGCAGCTGGCCAGGTCACAGGGTGGGCAGGACACAGAAAGAAGTGGGTCCTGGAGGACTCTGCACTGGCTCAGGAACAAGGGAGCCCCCCTTCCCTCCTCCTTTCTCTCTATGCCTCTCCCAGCCCTTCGTCCATCCAAGCAGTCACCATGCTTGAAATTCTACTCCCAAAGCTATTTTTAGAGTTGGCTGGTCTCTTCCCTGTCATGCTGCGTCTCAGACCCTCTCACATCTGCCCCGCTCGGCCTTCTCGCCACCTGGCTGTGGAGGACCTCAGTTACCCCTCCACCCTATCGTAGGGGCTCCCCAGCTCCCGTCCAAGCACCCCAAGGCCAGGCGCCACGCTGCGTTCTTCTCGCGCTCCTGGTGCATGCAGTGGTGCTTAGCAAACTGTGCCGCATGTAGGAGTGGATCACCCAACAGCCTGATGTGATCAGGAAGCGCAAAGAAAGGGGGTGCTTTAGGGCCAGGAGGGAGGTTGAAAGGCTCATTCAAAAGGAACAGCAGGAAAAGGGCCACACTGAAAACAGGACTCGTGAGGGGAAGCGATCGCTTATTCAAAGGAATCACAAGGTCAAGGCTCAGAATTTGCAGAGCCCAATAGACAAACGGCACCAGGAGCTTTCCTGGGACTGTGCCTGGGAGGAGAGGGTTTAGAACATCAGGGTAGAGAGAGGTGGTGCAGGAGAGGAAGAGGAGCGGTCTCATGCACCATGACAGCCGCGCATGGTGAGACGAGGGTGGTGAGGGGCTGTGCCCCGCACAGGGCCTGTGAAGGCTCTTCCTGTTCCAAATACTGCTGCTCCAGCATTCTAGAAAACAGTCACCCCAGGGCTGTGATTCACGGCTTTATGCTGATACATTGGTCTCTGTCTGGAGCATGTGGATGAGAGCCAATATGACTGTGTGTTAAAGATCAGATCTTGTACTGACAGCAAATAGGGACACAGCAGCTGGACTGGGAGCAGCAGGGCTTGCAGCAGCTGGACTGGGAGCAGGTTGATCCACAGCCTGAGGAGCAGCAGCAGAGTTTGCAGCAACTGCACTGAGACTGTTGCCCAGTATGAAGTGCAGTGGCGCAGTCACAGGTCACTGCAATCCCCATCCCGTGGTCTCAAGCAATCTGCCTGAATAAACAAGACTACAGGTGGGTGTCCCCATGCCCAGGTACTTAAAATAAATTTTTTTTAAGTTAAAGATAAGATCTCTCTTTATTGTCCAGGCTGGATTTGATCTCCTGGTCTCAAGTGATCCTCCTGCCTTGGCCTCCCAAATTGCAGGGATGACAGACATGAGCCACCACATGCAGCCTCTTTTATGTCTGGTATCATTTCCTTTCATTGTTCATTAGCTCCTTTGGGAACAGTACGCTACCACTGTGATCTGTTTCATGGCAGGCTTCCCAGCTTTCTTCCATTGCCTGTAGGGACTTACCAAGGGCCCTTGCACCCACTCACCACTAGAGGGAGGAAAACCTTCCCCATTTCAGGAGCCGAATTCAAAATTCACGCTGTGTTTTCCGGCACGCACCTGTTGGCTCTTTCGAGGTTCCCCTGTTTTCAGCTCTGTTAGATGTTTCTTTGCTTTCTCCTACACAGACACTGATACTCTGGGGAACTGTGGCTCTTGGAAACTTGTCCTGACAGTCTTGTGTTTTGAGGCTCACTTGTTCATTTTTTGTTTGGTGTTTTTTTGTTTGTTTTTGTTTTGTTGTTGTTGTTTGTTTTTTGTTTTTGGTTTATTGAGACAAAGTCTCATGTTATGTTGCCCAGGAGTTCAGAGGCATGATCAAAAGTCACTGCAGCCTCAAACTCCCAGGCTCAAGCCATCCTCTTGCCTCAGCCTCCTGAGTAGCTGGGGCTGCAGGTTTGCACCACCATGCCTGGCTTACCTGGTTTTGTTATAAATCTCCAGCATGCATTTTTGGTTTTGTTACCTAGTTGCTTGGTGTCCTGTGGGTTGTGGGAATGTACAGGGCTCAGATGTAATGAACTCTGCGTTCATGTCTGCTGCCACCTTCTGGAGTTTCCCAGTTTGGATTTTTGAGTGAACTGTCTTAAGCAGCATTTCCTTTTAGCGTTGTGAAACTATCAATAGCCATGTCCCCTAGCAAGATGCACCTTTGACACACTTTTATTCCCTCTCCTAAATGTGGTTGAAATAATCTAAGCCTTTATTTCTAGATTATTTCATTTTTCCTTACATTGCATCTCTTTTCTCTCAGAAATTTGTCTTGGAAATTCCCACTCTGCTCTTCCCCGGCAGTATCAGCAGTCGCTTAGATCTGTGAGTGTTCTGTGGGAGCTCATTTCTCACCAGCACTCCCTGTGTGTTGTCTTCCCTCCACCTTTTCCCTCCGGGTTCGCTTGGCTGGAAATCGTCCTCAGATCACTCTTGTCCCCTCCTCCCCAGTGCGTGATTTCTAAAGCCTTGCCTGTGACACTGGTCAGAGAACAGGCTCAGCGTGGTGGCGCATCACCATGAAACAGATGGACTTGGCTCAGGGTCCCCAAATGTGTCACTTCCCAGGAACTCTCCTTTCCTGCCGGGAGACTGAGCTCCGAGGACACCTTGGGCCATTCTGTAACTTCCTGGTTACCTTTAGTTATGGAAAGCCGTTGACCTCATAATTGTAAAAGGCTAATTGAGTGTTTGAATCAGAGTGCGTTGGAGCTCAGCGGTGCTTCACTCCTCCCTCCTCCGACCTTGCCCTGCCTGGGTCCTTCCAAGGCCCCAGAGGAGAGCGGGAAGCTGGAAGCCATGGGTCTTGTGCAAAGCCCTGCTTGGCTGGTCATCAGGACTCAGGGCCCGCCTGCCCCTCTGCGCCTCTAGGGTGGGCATTGAATACCGAATCCTCCCCAGGCTGAGCCCTCTTCTTCTGCAAGCAGAGAGAGTGAAGATATTTGAGGCCGCGTGGAAGGCAGAAGTGAACTTCGTGGTTCTTTTTGAATGCACCAAGCCTGCTGGCAGGCATTTCCCAGCTTAGCTGACAAATTAGAACACAGAATCAGTCACCACACAGGAAAGGGGTTAGACAGAATTGCACCAAGTGTACAGTTGGTTTACAGACATGAGAGGCTTTATTGCAAGGAAATTCATTCATTTTTTTTTTAAATAGATGGAGACAACAGGAAGGAAGGAGACCTTCTTGCTCACAGGTGGGTCACAGGAGAACAGGCAGCAGCCCAGGAGGACCCAGAATCCCAGTGGTGGTTGAGAAACTGGTTCTTAGTGATCACTCAGGAATGTCGGCCTGGCCTTGTGGGGTCAGACCTAGCATCTCAGTCAGCCCAGGGAGAAGAAGAAGATGGTCCACACCCAAGTGCAGGGAACACCATGGCGTCCAGGGAAGAACACCTCCTGCATCAAGGAAACACATGTTTCCGGAGTGAGGAAGCTGAAGGCAGGGCCTAGAGGAGAGCCGAGCCATGGAAAGAGGTGCATGCATGGATGATGAGCTAGAGCAGGTGCAGGTGCCTCAGGATGATGTGTGGGATGAACTGATTCAGAGAAACCATAAGAAATGCTTTCACCAAAGAGGAGAAACCTGAAGGTCTGGGTCCAGAGCCTCAGATCTTACACTGGCAGCACACGGGGACACAGCAGCTGGACTGGCAGCAGCAGGGCTTGAAGCAGCTAGACTGGCAGCAGCTGGATTGGCAGCAGCAGGGCTTGCAGCAGCTGGACTGGCAGCAGCTGGATTGGCAGCAGCAGGGTTTGGAGCAGCTGGACTGGCAGCAGAATGACCCACAGCCTGAGGAGGAGCAGCAGGGCTTACAGCAGTTGGACTGGGAGCAGCCACAAGAACCACACCCACCCTTGGAGCTCCCACAAGAGCCACAGCCCCCTTTGGAGCCCCCACAGGAGCCACAGCTGGAGCAGGAACAGGCTGGCACACAGCAGCACACAGGCTTGCAGCAGCAAATGGGCACACAGCAGCTGGAGCCACAGCCCCCACAGCCAGAGCCACAGCCCCCACTGCCGGAGCCACAGCCCCCACAGCCAGAGCCACAGCCTCCAGAACAGCCACAGCAGCCCATGATTCTGGCGGATTGAGAGTAGAGCAGGTAGAGGAGCAGGTGAGAGGGAGGTGCAGGTGTGGAGCCCCCTGAGCCTGGGCTCTTTATATACCTGTCCAGAGGTCAGGGAGGACGCAGGGTCCTTTCCTTGTGACTGTTTACACTATTTTTCCAGAGCTCTATTTTTTTCCTCTTTGCTAGTGACTTCCTCCTGGCTCAGTTGAGCATCTACTTTCTTTGTTTTCTAAATTTGTCTTCTTCCCCATTTGTTTTGGCCCCTACAATTAAAACCTCAGCTCCAGGCTGGTCTGGTGCTTCCCGCAAAGTTCCAGGGTGCTGGTCACCCGCTCTCTGCTGACCACATGTGACCAATGGGCAACAGCCTCTGCCCACATGCTCTCATCTTCCCTGTCTATCCCTCCAGATAATATTAATTTTATGTTTTTAGATTTCAAAATTCACCCATGGTCTTTATAGGAAACACAAGTAAAGAAGAAAACAAATTCTTTATTATCATGTATCCTGGAGATGGATTTGGTAGATTTCTGCAAGCATAATATTAATATAAATATTCATGCATATTATATTAAGTAATATTTTACTCATGCCAGTCTCAGTTTTCTGGGTGTGTTAGACCGTTCTTTGCATTGTGTAAAGAAATACTTGAGGCTGGGTAATTTATAAAGGAAAGAGGTTAGAATGGCCATGGTTCTGCAGGCTGCACAAGCATTGCACCCATCTCCGCTCGGCTTCTGGGCAAGCCCTCAGGGAGCTTTTCCTCATGGTGGAAGGTGAAGCAGGAGCAGGCACGCCACATGGTGAGAATGGGAGCAAGGGGTGAGGAGGGGCCACACACTTGTGAACAACCAGATCTGAGTGAACGCACTCATCACCAAGGGGATAGCGCTAAACCATTCATGAGGGATCCGCCCCCATAATTCAAACATCTCCTATCCCGCCCCACCAATGTGAGAGTTGGAGGGGACATCCAAATTGTATCAGTGGAGATCCTTTTTTTTTTTTTTTTTTTCTTTTTTTGAGACAAGGTCTTGCTCTGACACCCAGCCTGGAGTGCAGTGGCATGATCATAGCTCACTGCAGCCTCTAACTCCTGGGCTTAAAGAATTCTCCTTCCTTAGCCTCCTGAGTAGCTGGGACTATAGATGTGTGTCATCATACCCAGCTAATTTTTAAATTTTTTGTAGAGATGGGGTCTTGCCAAGTTGCCCTGGCTGGTCTCAAACTCCTTGTCTGCAGTGATCTTCCTGCCTTGGTCTTCCAAAGTGTTGGGATTACAGGCATAAGCCACCATGCTCAGCCAATTTTTTTTTCCTTTACGGTCCAAATAACAATAATATAATCTCATTTTGGTGTTTGCAGGGAATCTCTTCCTCTACTCAAGCATTTCTGAAAATCCCACAAATCTCTCTGCTGTTGTTTTCTCTCTTCCCCATTTACAGTGTTCACTCCTCTTAGGCTGCTTCTTCCAGTTGCCCACTTTTGTTCCCTGCTCAGTTTTACTCCAGGTGGGAAAGAGAGATTTCTCTATGCCATGGTCTGCATGTGTCCCCCAACATTCATGTGTTGGAAACATCATCCCCAATGCAAGAGTGTTGTGAGGTGGGTCCTAAAGGGAAGTGCTTGTAATGGATTAGTATACTATAAGGACTTGAGGGCAGGCCTCTTGCCCCCCTGGCTCTTAGGACCCCCATCGCAGGAGGGCAAGGCGCCCCCCGCGATGCGGGGAGTAAGAGCCAGCCCGCTTGCCTCCCTGGCTCTTAGGACCCCCATCACAGGGGGGCGAGGCGCCCCCCGCGATGCGGGGCATAAGAGCCAGCCCCGCCTGTCCCCCTGGCTCTTAGGACCCCCATCGCAGGGGGCGAGGTGCCCCCCGCGATGCGAGGCGTAAAAGCCAGCCCCTCTTGCCCCCCTGGCTCTTAGGACCCCCATCGCAGGGGGGCGAGGCGCCCCCCGCCATGCAAGGAGTAAGAGCCAGCCCCTCTTGCCTCCCTGGCTCTTAGGACCCCCATCGCAGGGGGGCGAGGCGCCCCCCGCCATGCAAGGAGTAAGAGCCAGCACCTCTTGCCCCCCTGGCTCTTAGGACCCCAATCGCAGGGGGCGAGGCGCCCCCCGCCATGCGGGCAGTAAGAGCCAGCCCCTCTTGCCCCCCTGGTTTTTAGGATCGGCGGTGGACTCACAGCCTGTTTATCATATTGTGAGTAATATCATCTCCCCCTCTGGAGATTATGAACCGTTTCACACACCGGTGTACACCGTTTGTGTACAGAGGTTGTACACCCGTCTGTATTGGGAGTCATATCATCCTCTTCCTCTCTGAATATTAGGAACAGTATCACAGGGGTGTTCCTACTCCCTGGGATATCAGGTGTCATGTCCTCCTCTCCCACGTTGCAATTAGAAACGATATCATTGCGGGCTTGTCCACCTTCTGTGATATTGAAAGTAATATTATCCTCTTCCCTCCAGGATCATGGGAACGATATCCTTGGCGGCGTCCACTTTCTACCATATATGTAGTCATATCACCTCCTCCGATTTGGAATATTTTTGAGGACCATCTCACACGGGGGTGTACACTTCCTGCGATGTTTGGAGTAATAGCATTCTCTTCTTCCATGAATATTAGGAGCAAAATCACCGGGTGGATGCACACCCAGTGCTATATTGGGAGTAACGTCATACTCCACCCCCTGGAGATTATATTCGGATCAATATCACTGGCTGGGTTTACACCTACTGCGATATTGAACGTAATATCATGCTCTCTCCCTCCCTGGACATTAGGAGCAATATCACAGGTGGGTGTACACCCACTGAGGTATTAGGGCATAATATTAGTATGAATTATTCCTCATTTATTATTAACATGAATATGAATGGCCGATATTAATACTAATATTAAGAAATAATTTCTAATAAAAAGTTTTCAGATTATTGTTAATATTAATTATTAGGAGCCAATATTACTGTTTTCTAATGAATAAGATCAATATCAGTTATTAATATCAGGCGTCATTAATCAATATTAATCATGCATTGTTATCATTAGTATAACTATTTAATATTAATTATCATTATCGGTATTGATTTTAAAAATTATATTATGGGTTATTAATATTGATAATTATTAGTGTCCATTAACAATTGAGATTATTAATTGCAGTAAGTCATTGCGCCATTCCACCCCTCCCTCGGCAGCTTGTTTATGACCCAAAATGGGGACACAAATGCCCCTGAGAGAGCAGCAGTATACTGGGATAGATGAGGATGGTCAAGTGCTGGAGAGGCGTGTTTTTGGCTACCAGTCCTTCACCTGCGTCGATCTTCTCAACTGGAAAAACAATACACCGCCCTATAGCGAAAAGCCACAAGCCCTAATTGATTTGCTCCAAGCTGTTATCCAGACCCACGACCCCACCTGGGCTGATTGGCACCAGTTGCTCATGTTCCTCTTTAACAGCGAAGAAAGGCGGAGAGTCCTCCAAGCAGTAACTAAGTGGCTAGAGGAACACGCACCAGCTGATTATCAAAACCTCCAAGAGTATGGAAGGACCCAGTTGCCAGGAACCGACCCCCAGTTGGACCCACATGAAAGAGAGGAGATGCAAAGGCTAAACCGAGACAGGGAAGCTCTCTTGGAAGGATTAATGAGGGGAGCTCAGGAAGCCACAAACGTTAACAAGCTCTCTGAGGTCATTCAGGGAAAAGAAGAAAGTCCAGCACAATTGTATGAGAGAGAATTGTGGGAGGCCTATCGTATGTATACTCCCTTTGATCCCGATAGCCCTGAAAATCAGCGCATGATTCACATGGCTTTAGTCAGTCAAAGCGCAGAAGACATGAGAAGAAAACTGCAGAAACAGGCTGGGCTTGCAGGGATGAATCCACCACAATTACTAGAAATAGCTAGCCAGGTGTTTGTAAACAGGGATGCAGTAAGCCCTAAGGAAAATGGCAAAGAGAATGGAAGTCAGGCCCGGTGACACGACGACCTGTTTGTCAGCTGCAGCAATCAGAGGGGCCCCCCCAAAGAGGCAAGGGAAGGGGGGCCCTGGGAAAGAAACTCAGCTTGGCTGTCAGAGTTTGCAGCATAACCAGTGTGCTTATTGTAAAGAAATAGGACAGTGGAAGAACAAATGCCCTCAGCTCAAAAGAAAACAAGGTGACTCAGAGCAGGAGGCCCCGGACAAGGAGGAAGGGGCCCTGCTAAACCTGGCAGAAGGGTTATTGGACTGAGGGAGACCCGGCTCAAGCGTTCCCAAAGAGCCTCTGGTCAGAATGACAGTCGGGGGTGGAGACATTGACTTTCTTGTAGATAGCGGTGCTGAACATTCGCTAGTAACCGCCCCGGTCGCCCCCTTATCCAAAAAGACTATTGATGTCATCGGAGCCACGGGGGTTTCAGCAAAGCAAGCTTTCTGCTTGTCTCAGACTTGTACTGTAGGAGGACATAAAGTCATTCATCAGTTTTGGTACATGCCTGACTGTCCCTTGACCTTTTCGGGAAGGGACTTGCTCAGCAAGCTGAGAGCCACTGTCTCTTTGACAGAGCACAGCTCTTTACTGCTAAAGTTACCCAGAACGGGAGTCATTATGACCCTTATGGTCCCCCGAGAGGAGGAATGGAGACTTTTCTGAACTGAGCTGGGCCAAGAGAGAAGACCAGCTCTGGCTAAGCGGTGGCCAAGAGTACGGGTAGAAGACAACCCTCCGGGATTGGCCAGTTAAGACTGGGGCCCAGCCGGTGAGGCAAAAATAGGACCTGGTCCCCAGAGAAGCCCTTCAAGGTATCCAGGTCCGTCTCAGGCACCTAAGAACTTTTGGAATTATTGTTCCTTGTCAGTCTCCATGGAACACTCCCCTCCTGCCTGTTCCCAAGCCACGGACCAAGGACTACCGGCCGGTACAGGATTTGCGCTTGCTTCATCAAGCTACACTGACTTTCCATCCAACAGTACCTAACCCGTCCATATTGTTGGGGTTGCCGCCAGCTGAGGACAGCTGGTTCACCTGCTTGGACCTGAAAGACGCTTTCTTTCCTATCAGATTAGCCCCTGAGAGGCAGAAGCTGTTTGCCTTTCAGTGGGAAGATCCGGAGTCAGGTGTCACTACTCAGTACACTTGGACCAGGCTTCCCCAAGGGTTCAAGAACTCCCCCACCATCTTCGGGGAGGCGTGGGCTCGCGACCTCCAGAAGTTTCCCAGCAGAGACCTAGGCTGTGTGTTGCTCCAGTAGGTTGATGACCTTCTGCTGGAACACCCCACGGCAGTCAGGTGTGCCAAGGGAACAGTTGTCCTACACTGGCACCTGGAGGACTGTGGGTATCAGTTGTCCAAGAAGAAAGCTCAGATCTGCCGACAGCAGGTAAGTTTCTGGGGATTGACTATCTGACAGGGGTCGGAACGCAGCCCGGGATCAGAAAGAAAGCAGGTCATTTGCAATCTAGCAGAGCCTAAGAGCAGAAGGCAGGTGAGAGAATTCTTAGGAGCTGTGGGGTTTTGTAGACTGTGGATCCCAAACTTTGCTGTATTAGCCAAGCCTTTGTATGAGGTCACCAAAGGGGCGGGGACTGGGAACCTTTGGAATGTGGATCCCAACAACAGTAAGTCTTTCATGAGTTAAAGGAAAAACTTCTGGCAGCGCCAGCCCTGGGGCTACCTGATCTGACAAAGCCTTTTCCATCGTATAATCAGAGAGAGAAAAGATGGCAGCTGGACTTTGAACCCAAACTGTGGGGCCCAGGCCTAGGCCGGGGTCCTACCTCTCTCAACAACTAGACTGGGTCTCTAAAGGATGGCCCCCCTGTTGGAGGGCCTTGGCAGCAACTGCCCTGCCAGTACAAGAAGCAAATAAGCTGACTCTTGGGCAAAACCTGAACATAAAGGCCTCCCATGCTGTGGTGACTTTAATGAATACTAAAGGACATCATTGGCTAACGATGCCAGACTCACCAAGTACCAAACTTTGCTCTGTGAAAATCCCCATATAACCACTGAAGTTTGTAACAGCCTACACCCCGCCACCTTGCTCCCGCTATCAGAGAGCCCTGTCGAGCCTGGTTGTGTAGAAGTGTTGGACACAATTGACTCTAGCAGACCTGACCTCCGGGGCCAGACTTGGGCATCAGTAGACTGGGAACTATACATGGATGGGAGCAGCTTCTTCAACCCCCAAGGAGAGAGAGGTGCAGGATATGCAGTGATAACCCTGGACACTGTTGTTGAAGCCAGATCGTTGCCCCAGGGCACTTCAGCCCAGAAAGCTGAACTCATTGCTTTCATTCGGGCCTTAGAACTCAGTGAGGGTCAGACTGTCAACATTTACACTGATTCTCAGTATGTCTTTTCAACCCTTCAAGTGCCTGGAGTGTGATAGAAAGAAAAGGGCCTATTGAACTCTGGGGAAAAAGACAGAAAATATCAACAAGAAATCTTGCAATGATTAGAAGCAGTATGGAAACTCCACAAGGTGGCAGTTATGCATTGCAGGGGACACCAGTGAGCTTCCACCTTGCTGGGTTTGGGGAATTCCCGCGCTGACTCAGACGCTCGAAAAGCAGCATCTGCCCCCTTCTGGGCATCAGTGCTCCCTCAAGCACCTGATCTTGGACCTACTTCTAAAGAAGAAAAGGACTTTCTCCAGGTAGAGGGAAGGACAAGTGATGGAGGAAGGATGGATTCGGTTAGCAGATGGGAGAGTAGCTGTGCCACAGCTGCTAGGAGCTGCAGTTGTACTGGCTGTGCAAGAAACCACCCATCGAGGTCAGGAGTCACTGGAAAAGTTGTTAGGCTGGTATTTCTACATCTCACCTTTGTCAGCCCTTGCCAAAACTGTGAGGCAGCGGTGTGTTACCTGCCGACAGCATGATGCGAGGCAATGTCCAGCCGTTCCGCACGGCATATGAGCTTATGGAGCAGCCCTCTTTGAAGGTCTCCAGGTGGACTTCACAGAGATGCCAAAGTGTGGAGGTAACAAGTATTTACTAGTTGTTATGTGTACCTACTCTGGGTGGGTGGAGGCTTATCCAACACTAACTGAGAAAGCTCGTGAAGTAACCCCTGTGCTTCTTTGAGATCTGATTCCTAGATTTCGACCGCCCTTATGGATCGGCTCAGACTACGGGCCTGCGTTTTTGGCTGCCTTGGTACAGAAGACGGCAAAGGTATTGGGGATCACACGGAAACTGCATGCCGCCTCCCGGCCTCAGCATTCCGGAAAGGTGGAGCGGATGAATCGGACTATCAAAAATAGTACTATTGTCTTCCCCACTGGATATGTAAAACAACACCACAAGCGGCGTCAAATGACCTGCTAAATTTGAGGGAATGTTATCCTCTCCCCCACTCCCCCGGCCCCAGATATTAGAGACAATAACAAAGGGGTGATGTACACCCACTGCTTTATTGGGAGTAATATCATCCTCTCCCTTCCTGGATATTAGGAACAATATCACACTGTGCGTGTACGCCTGTCGCGAAATTCAATGGAATGTCATCCTGCGCCTCCCTGGATATGACGAACAATATCACGGAGGATGTACAACTTCTGAGATTTTGGGAGTGATATCATCCTCTTCCCTCTGGAAGTTAGGGACAATATCACAGGGGTAGTGTACACCCTCTGGGATGTTCGGACTAATATCATCCTCCCGCCCACTGGATATTAAAAACCATATCACAAGGGGCGTGTACACACACTTCGATATTGGTATGAATACCAACCTCTCCCTCTTTGCATATTCGGTGCCATATTTCAGGTGGGGTTTACACCACCTGCAATATTGGAAGTAACATGATTTTCTCCCCCCCGGATATCAGAAACAATATCACAGGGGGTTGTGAACAACCCCTGCGATATTTGGAGTAATATCATTGACTCCCCTCACGATTATTAAGAACAATATCGTAGTGGTGGGGGATGTACACCCCCTTTCATATTTGATATCATCCTCTTTCCCCCTGGACATTAGGAGCAATATCAGGAAGGGATGCACAGACCCTGCGACCTTTGCTGTCATAGCATTGTCTCTCCCCTAGATATTAGGAAAAAATGTCACTAGCGATGTGAACAGCCCTGCGATATTGAGAGTAGTTCCATATTGGGAACAACATCACAGGTGGGGTGTACTGCCTCTGTGATATTGGGAGTGAAATTTTCCTCTCTTCCCCTGCACATTAGGAAGGGTATCAGAGGGGGAGGGTGTACATTCCCTGCGATATTCAATGTAACCTTATCCTCTCCCTCCCAGGGTATTCAGAACAATATTACAGGAGGGGTGCACACCCTCTGTGATATTGAGAGTCATATCATCCTCTTTCGCTCTGGATATTAGGAACAATATCACAGGGTTGTGTACACCCCCTGCGATATTGGGAGTCGTATCATCCTTTCTCCCTGTGGATATTAGGAAGAGGATCACAGGGCTATGGAAACCCCCTGCGGTCCTGGGAGTAATATCATCCTCTCTCCCTCTGAAAATAGGAAGATTTTCACAGGGGTGTGTACACCCCCTGCGATATTGGGAGTAAGATCATCCTCTCCACCCAGGAAATGACTAACAAGGTCACGAGGGGGTGTACTCCCCCTGCGATATTGGGAGTAATGTCGTCCTCCCCAAACCTGGATGTTAGCAACGAGCTCACAAAGGGGGTGTACACACCCTGCGACATTGGAAGTAATATGATCCTCTCCCCACCTGGACACTGGGAAAGATACCACAGCGCGGGTATACGTTTCCTACGCTGTTGGGAGTAATATCATTCTTTTCCTTTCTGGATATTAGGGAGAATATCACAGGGGTGCTGTACAATTACTTCGACATTGGGAGTAACATCATCCTCTAGTTTCCTGGATATTGGGCACAAAAACACAAAAGGGTGTACAACCCCTGCGATATTGGAAGGAATAGAATACTCTCCTTCCCTGGATGTTAGAAAACAATATCACCATGGCTGAACACCCCCCACCATAATGGGAGTCATGTTTACTCTTTCGCAGGCCATTTGGAACAATATCACAGGGGGTGTTTACAAACGGGGTGGTGTACACCCCCTGTGATATTGGGAGTAACATCATTCTCTCCACCTCCGGATATTAAGAACAATATCCTGGCGGGAGGTGGTACACCCCCAGTGATATTGGGAATAATGTCATCCTCTCCTTCCCTGGATATTAGGAACAAAATCACAGGGGGGTGTACACCTTCTGTGATATTGGAAGCAATATCATCCTCTCCCGCGCTGGATATTAGAAAAAAATATCACTCACGGTGTACACCCACTGTGATATGAGGAGTAATATCTTCCTAGGGTATTACGAATAATTTCACAGTCTGTACACACATGGTGTACACTCACTGTGATATTAGGAGTAATATCTACCTAGTAGATAACAAATAACATCGCAGGGGGTACACCCACTTTGATATTAGCTGTAATATTTTTCTAAGTTGTTACAAATAAGATCACAGAGTGTACAAACATGGTGTACACTCACTGTGATATCAGGAGTCATATCTCTGTAATACATTATGAATAATATCACAGGGTGTACACCCACTGTATTATTAGGAGTAATGTCTCTGTAGGATATTACAATTAAGATCACAGGGTGTAGAGCAACCATGATATTAGGAGCAATATCTTTCTAGGATATTACAAATAATATCACAGGGTGTACACCCACTCTGCTGTCAGGAGCAATATCTCCCTAGGATATCAAAAATCCTATCACAGGGTGTCCAATCTCTGCCTTCTAGGTTCTAAGGGATTCTCCTGCTTCAGCCTCCCGAGTAGTTAGGGTTATCCGCCACCAGTCCCGGCTAATTTTTTTTTTTTTAATTTTCACTGGAGACGGGGTTTCACCACGTTGGCCAGGCTGGTCTGGAACTCCTGACCTCAGGTGATCCATCAGCCTCGGCCACCCAAAGTGATGGGATTACAGGTGTGAGCCATGGTGCTGGGCCAAGAGTTATAGATTCAATTCATTTGGAAACACAGCTCCCATCTTTGAGTGTGCATGTACCTTTATGAAGAAATGATGTCAGAAAACCGAAGGATGATGATAAATATGAAAAGTAACAGGCATGGGAAAAGGTCTTCCGATTGAGAACTATAACGTTTGATTTCGTTTTCAGATAATGGGGTCCTAGCTCTTGTGTCGTCCTTTTACATATTCTACATCAATGGAAGTTGTAGCACGGTGTCAGAATAAAGTACAGTGTATTTCACGGCTTCTTAATTTCTTTCAATTAGACTGAGATCTTTTTCTTAAAGAGAGAAGGACATTGTCATTGCATTGTATTTTTTTCTGAAAAGGGTAGGCCGTATTTTACTGAGATCAAGGATTTGTTATAAGACGTTTTGGTCTTCTAATATTCTTCAGTGGATTTTCTCTAAAGTAGTATGTACAGAAAGCCTTGTATAGCAAAAAAGTAAATCACGTAATAATTCTGAGATTTTTTTGGAATTGTCACAACTGAGAAACATTGCTGGTGGTGTATGGTCCGCAAGTGTGAAAATGTTCCTTCTGAATTACTTGCATCAAGCATTAAGAGCTGGTTTTTATCTTTTATTTTTCCAATCCTCTTTCCTTCTCAAGGTGTCCAAGACACACAGAGCCACGGAATCTCACAGGTGTCTGAGAATTCCTCCTCCTTGGACTCCCAGAGGATCCAGAACTGCAGCCGGTTCTCGCTTTGCTCTCCCTGTCCCTGTCCATGTATCTGGTCACGGTGCTGAGGAACCTGCTCATCATCCTGGCTGTCAGCTCTGTCTCTCCCCTCCACACCCCCATGTACTTCTTCCTCTCCAACCTGTGCTGGGCTGACATCGGTTTCACCTCGGCCACGGTTCCCAAGATGATTGTGGACATGCAGTCGCATAGCAGAGCCATCTCTCATGCGGGCTGTCTGACGCAGATGTCTTTCTTGTTCCTTTTTGCATGTATAGAAGGCATGCTCCTGACTGTGATGGCCTATGACTGCTTTGTAGCCATCTGTCGCCCTCTGCACTACCCAGTCATCGTGAATCCTCACTTCTGTGTCTTCTTCGTTTTGGTGTCCTTTTTCCTTAGCCTGTTGGATTCCCAGCTGCACAGTTGGATTGTGTTACAATTCACCATCTTCAAGAATGTGGAAATCTCTAATTTTGTCTGTGACCCCTCTCAACTTCTCAAACTTGCCTGTTCTGACGGCGTCATCAATAGCATATTCATATATTTTGATAGTACTATGTTTGGTTTCCTTCCCATTTCAGGGATCCTATGGTCTTACTATAAAATCGTCCCCTCCATTCTAAGGATTTCATCGTCAGATGGGAAGTATAAAGCCTTCTCCACCTGTGGCTCTCACCAGGCAGTTGTTTGCTGATTTTATAGAACAGGCATTGGCATGTACCTGACTTCAGCTGTGTCACCACCCCCCAGGAATGGTGTGGTGGCATCATTGATATACGCTGTTGTCACTCCCATGCTGAACCTTTTCATCTACAGCCTGAGAAACAGGGACATACAAAGTGCCCTGCGGAGGCTGCTCAGCAGAACAGTCGAATCTCATGATCTGTTCCATCCTTTTTCTTGGTGGGTGAGAAAGGGCAACCACATTAAATCCCTACATCTGCAAATCCTGCCCCTTAGTCACATTCTTTTTGTGGCTTGATGGCTTTTATTCCTTTCCGCATTTCCTTTGTGAATATTGCTTTCTTCGTTATGCCTTTCACTGGAATGGATGAGGATTCTGGGATCCTTTGTTTAGCAGAAACCTCATGACAGAATCCTCTATACCTAGGCGGCCTCTTTTAGTTTCTGAGCAATAACCCTGTCATCCAGGTGGAATCACAACCATCTTTTTATATACTCGAAGTCCTCACTTCGTTTTGGAATTCCCTGAAAACTGACTTTATGGAAACAATGTACAGGAGGTCCTCCAACACCATTGGTTGTTCAAAGTTGTGTAGTTATACTGTTGATGAAAAATAAGTGGTTTCACTATACATAATTTGCTTCAAGGTGAAGTTTCCAACAGACTTTCAAAGATGTTAAGTGAGGACATACTGTACATCAAATTCATATCCTCTTCCACAGTCCATGTGGAATTTCTTTATAAACTGCTTCTAGAGAATCTATTTAGGCAGGTTCTGTGTAGAGATCCATGTCGCCGTTCCTCAATCTTGGCTTTGAGTCAACTCACCTGGGGAGCTTACAAATGATGAGGCCTGGGTCTCAATACCTGAGATTCTGATTTCCTTGCACCTGTGTGAGTATGTGGATTTTTTTTTTTTTTCTTTTAAAGCACCAGAGGTGGTTCCAATGACGAAGTTTTTAGGGGCATCAAGCTCCAATGAATAAGAACAGAAATTAATTGTAATATGATTTCTTCAAATATTATCTTTAAATGCATTGTCCATCAACACCATACAAACGTTTATTATGCTGTTTTTTCTTAACATTTCGCATTTTCTGTTTCTTTCTTTTCCTTATTTTTTGAGGCAGAGTTTCACTCTTGTTGCCCAGGCTGGAGTTCAATGGCACGGTCTCGGATCACTGCAACCTCTGCCTCCCCTATTCAAGCAATTCTCCTGTCTCAGCCTTCCAAGTAGCTGGGATTACAGGCATGCGCTACCATGCCTGGCTAATTTTTTTTTTTTTTTTTTTGTATTGTTAATAGAGACAGTGTTTCTCCATTTTGGTCAGGCTGGTCTTGAACTCCCGACCTCAGGTGAACTGCCCGCTTCCGCCTCCCAAAGTGCTGGGATTACAGGCATGAGCGACTGCGCCCAGCCACCACTTATCATTTACCTTTTACATTTCTTGAAGTTACAGATTTATACACACATTGGTTGCTGCTTTGTTATACACTTGCATATACATAAGATGGGAAATAGAAAACAATAAAATGGGCACAGTATCCCTGAAGTTTCACATTCCGAGACATTTTAAAAATATTTGCTCTTCAGAAATTTGTTTCAATGAAGAAACTGTGGTATACACAACCAGTGAAGTATTATTCAGCCTAAAAAGGAAGAAAATCCTCTCCGCTGCAGACAAAATGGATGAGATTGCAGGTCTGTATATTAAATGAAATAAGCCAGGCACAGAATAACAAATATTTCATGTCCTCACTTCTGTGTTTGAAGAAAAAAGGAAACCTTGGCCAGGTGTGGTGGCTCAGGCCTGTAATCCCAGCACTCTCGGAGGCCCAGTCACACGGATCACTTGAGTCCAGGAGTTCGAGACCCGCCTGGACAACATGGTGAATCCCCGTCTCTACGGAAAACACAAACAATGAGCCGAGCGTGGTGACGCGTGCCTGTAGTCTCAGCTACTCAGAGGGCTGAGGCCCAAGAACCGCTTGAACTCGGGAGGCGGAGCTTGCAGTGAGCCCGGATTGTGTCTGCGTACTCCAACCTGGGCAACAGAAAGAGACTCCATCACACACCTATACACAAAAGGAATCTCAGGAAGGTGGAAAGTATGAAGGTTGTTAGCAGACGCTAGGAAGGAAAGGGATGGGATAGGGAATGAAGACAAGTGGATAATTGGGTCCCAAAATACAGAAAGATGGAATAAGTGAGTTCTAGTGTTTGATAGTACAGTATGAAAATTTTAGTTCACAAGAATTGTTGTATATTTCCAGATGCTTTGGTAAGAAGCTTCCTAACTTTCTCATTATGCTGATTTTTAAGCTCTTCTCTTTCTGCTCTTGAAATCATGCTGGGTTTTTTTGTTTGTTTGTTTTGAGATGGAGTTTTGCTCTTGTTGCCCAGGCTGGAGTGTCATGGTGCAATCTTGGCTCACCGCAACCTCTGCCTCCTGGGTTCTAGTGATTCTCCTGCCTCCACCTCCCGATTAGCTGGGATTACAGGCATGAGCCAGCACGCCCAGCTAATGTTGTATTTCTAGTAGAAACGGGGGTTTCTCCCTGTCGGTCAGGCTGGTCTTCAACTCCTGACCTCAGGTGATCCATCCGCCTCGGCCTCCCAAAGTGCTGGGATTACAGGTGTGAGCGACCGCGCCCGGCCCATGCTGTATCCTTATCTGTTGTCTGTTGTTGTTTGTCTGTTTTGGAGCCCAGAAATAACTTCTCACTATATGTTCAAATGATTTTTCACATGAGTGCTAAGAAAGTTCATTGGTGGAAAAGCAGCCTTTTCAAGAAATGGTGTTGGAGAAACTTGATTTCCACATGCAGAAGAATGAAGGTGGACCCTATGTCACACCAGGTGCAAAAATTAACACAAACTGGATCAAAGACCTCACCCCAAGCACTAATAGTATCATATGCCTAAAAGAAAACATTGGCCACGCTTTCATGACATCAGATTGGGCAATGTTCTCTGGGATATGACACCAAAAGCATAGGCAACAAAAGAAAATTAGATTCCTTGGATTACATCTAAATGACAGACACTTTTGTGCAGCAAAAAACACTGCGAACTGAGTGAAAAGATAACCCACGGATTAGGAAAAACATTTTTAAAGCGTATATCTGAAAAGAGGCTGATATCCATCACATATAAAGAACAGCTAGAACTAAACAAAGAGAAACCCAAAGTATTCAATCAACAATGGTCAGAAGACTCGAGTAGACGTGTGTCTAAAGAAGATATAGCAATGGCCAATAAGCATCTAAAATGATGTTCAAAATCACTCATCATAGGGAAGCGCAAATCAAACCAAGAACGTGATACCACACATTAGGATGGATATGATAAACAAACAGGCATTGGTGAGACTAAAGGGAAGTAGGAATGCTCGAATCTGATCGCAGGGAATGTAAAACCGTGAAGGAACGGGGAAAATAGTATGGCGTGTACTGGAAAAATTAGAAACAGAATGATCAGATGTTCCCGCAGTTTCATTTGTGGGTACCTACCAAAAAGATTTAGAAGCCAGGAGTGGAAGACAGATTTGTGTACACCCATATTCATAGCAGCATTATTCACAACAGCCAAAATGTGGAAGCAACCCAAGGGTTCGTGGACAGATGAATGAAAAAGCACACTGCAGTTCCTTCATACAATGGAAGACTATTCAGCCTTCAAAAGGCAGGCACTTCTGGCTGGTGCGGTGGCTCATGCCTGTAATCGCAGCGTCTTGGAAGACCGAGGTGAGCGGATCACCTGAGATCAGGAATTCAAGACCAGCCTGGCCATCTTGGTGAAACCCTGTCTCTACTGAAAATGCAAAAAAATGAGACGATCGTGGTGGCGTGTGCCTATAGTCCCAAGTACTCGGGAGGCTGAGGCACAAGAATGGCTGGAACCCGGGAGGCGGAGGTTGCAGTGAGCCCAGATTGTGCCACTGCACTCCAGCCTGTGCGACAGAGTGAGACTCCATGGAAACACAAAACAAAACAAAGTCAAACGAACAAACAAAAAACAAAACAAAACAAAACACAGACAGGCACTTCTGACGCAGGCCACAACATGGAAGAACCTTGAAAACATTATCGTCAGTGAAATAAATGAATACCAAAAGGATAAACATGCCCAGGCTCAGTGGCTCTCCCCTGTAACCCCAGCACTTTGGGAGGCTGAGCCAGGTGGATCACTTCAGGTCAGGAGTTCGAGACCAGCCTGGCCAATATGGTCTCTATTAAAAATACAAAAATTAGCTGGGCGTGGTGGCACACGCCTGTAATCCCAGCTACTCTGGAGACTGTGACACAAGAATCGCTTGAACCCACGATATGGAGGTTGCAGTGAGGCGACATCACGCCACTGCACTCCAGCCGGGGTGACAGAGAAAGACTCTGTTTCCAAAACAAAAAAATTAAATACGGTATGATTCCACTTATCTATTAAGTGTCTAGAGTAGTTAAACTCATAGAGTTGCAAACTAGAAAGGTGGCCCCCAGGGGTGGGCGAGAGAGAGGAGTGGAGAGCTTGGTGAATGGGTGCAATTTCCATTTTGAAAGATAAAACTGTTCCGGAGAGGATGGCGGTGATGGTTGCTAAACAATGTGAAAGTACTTAATGTCATGAAACTGCAAACTGAAAAAGCGTGGAAACTGTAAATGTTTATACTGGCCAATCTATATGAACTAATATATATTTATAATTTTTCATATTTATACGTGGTATATTTTCCCATAATAAAAGATGAAAACTAAAGCAGTTGGATGTTTAAAAAGAAAAGAAAGAAGCGAAGAATACACACCAGCTTTCTCCTGATTCGAGGAAGAGCCCCAAAGCTTCTATGGACACTCACTTTTCTCTTCTTCTTCTTGCATTATTATAAGGAAATCCTTAGAGGTTGGGGAACTTGGGTGACTTTGGCTAATAAGGAGCTCTGTGCCTTGAGCCCCCCAGGCCACAGAATAGTAAATAGTCAGTCTGTGCCTCCAGCCCTGCAGTGTGAGGTTCCAGTCCTGTGGGCTCCACTCCCGTCACCTGTATCAGGAGGCTCATGTCTCATCCTGTCTTCTTGCCAGCCTTGAGGATGGAGTCTGAGCCTCCATGGTGCACCACACAGGGAGGACAGTGGACCTGTTCTCCGTGGTCATGGCCCAGCAGAGGGGAAGGGCAGTTCAATGAGTGCAGGCAAAAGAAAGAACAATCAGACTGTTACTGTGTCTATGTAGAAAGGAAAGACATAAGAGACTCCATTTGGAGAAAGACCTGTACATTCAACAATTGCTTTGCTGAGATGTTGTTAATGTGTAGCTTTGCCTCAGCCACTTTGACCCAACCTGAAGCTCACAAAAACATGTGTTGTATGAAATCGAGGTTTGAGGGATCTAGGGCTGTTCAGGACGTTCCTTGTTAACAAGATGTTTCCAAGCAATATACTTGGTAAAAGTCATCACCATTCTCTAGTCTCAATAAACCAGGGGCACAATGCACTGTGGAAAGCCGCAGGGAGCCCTGCCCTTGAAAGCGGCGTATTGTCCAAGGTTTCTCCCCATGTGATAGTCTGAAAAGTGGCCTCATGGGAGGAGAAAGACCTGACCATCCCCAAGCCCGACACCAGTAAAGGGTCTGGCTGAGGTGGATTAGTCAAAGAGGAAAGCCTCTTGCAGTTGAGAGAGAGGAAGGCCACTGTCTCCTGCCTGCCCCTGGGAACTGAATGTCTCGGTATAAAACCCTATTGTACATTTGTTCAATTCTGAGATGGGGGTAAAACCGCCCTATGGTGGGAGGTGAGACATGTTTGCAGCAATGCTGCCTTGTTATTCTTTACTCCACTGAGATGTTTGGGTGGAGAGAAACATCAATCTGGCTTACGTACGCATCCAGTCATAGTACCTTCCCGTGAACTTCATTATGACATAGATTCTATTGCTCACCTCTTCGTTGCTGACCTTCTCCTTATTATCACCCTGCCCTCCTACTACATTCGTTTTTGCTAAAATAATAAAAATAATAATCAATAAAAACTGAGGGAACTCAGAGGCCTGTGCCAGTGCAGATCCTTGGTATGCTGAGCGCCGGTCCCCTGGGCTCACTGTTGTTTCTCCATACTTTGTCTCTGTGTCTTATTTCTTTTCTCAGTCTCTCATCCCACCCGACTAGAAATACCCCCAGGTGTGGAGGGATGGGCCACCCCTTCAAGTGAGTGCTGAGGGACGGTAGGGAGCCTTGTTTTGTTTCCTCCTCAGGACAAACAGGAGAGTGAGCTGGGCAGATGGGAGGAGACCAATGTGCAAACTATCCGCTCAGCAGAGTGTGGAGTTTCTGTTCTTGGTTGTGCTGGGGGTCTCAGAAATCTACTTCAAAATTTTGCTACCCTCCCCAACTGGTTGTCCTTTTCATAGACATCTCACCCACGATAGCAGGGAATGAGTCCCTCTAAACTATTCCTTCAGGAATAGTAAGAGCCAGCCCCTCTTCCTACCCTGGATTTTAGGACCCCCATCGCTGGGGGGTGAGGCACCCCCCGCGATGCGGGGAGTAAGAGCCAGCCCCTCTTCCCCCCCTGGTTTTTAGGATCCGCAGTGGACTCACAGCCTGTTTACCACATTGTGAGTAATATCATCTCCCCTCTGGAAATAATGAACTATTTCACAGACGGGTGTACACCCGTCTGTATTGGGAGTAATATCATCCTCGTCCTCCCTGAATATTAAGAACAGTATCACAGCGGTGTTTCTACTCCCTGCGATATTGGGTATCATATCCTCCTCTCCCACGTTGCAATTAGAGACAATATCAGTGGGGGCGTGTCCACCTTCTGTGATATTTAAAGTAATATCATCCTCTTCCCTCCAGGATCATGGGAACAATATCCCTGGGGGGTGTACACTTTCTGCGATATATGTAGTCATATCACCCCCTCTGCCTTGGAATATTACGAAGGACCATCTCACACGGGGGTGTACACTTCCTGCGATATTGGGAGTAATATCAACCTCTCGGCCTCTTAATATGAGGAAGAATATCACAGGGTGGGTGTACACCTCCTGCTCTATTATGGGGAGTCATATCTATCTATTATGGGGAGTAATATCATCCTCTCCCTTTCAGGATATTAATAACAATATCACAGGCTGGGTGAACACAGCCTACGATGCTGGAATTATTGTCACCCTCTCCCCCTCGGGATACTAGGAACAATATCACAGAAGAGGTGTACACTCCCTGCGATATTGGGAGTAATATACTCTTCTTCCGTGAATATTAGGAGCAATATCACCGGGTGGCTGTGCATTGATTGCTGTGTTGGCAGTCATGTCATACTCCACCCACTGGATATTAGGATCAGTGTCACAGGGTGAGTGTACACCTACTGCGATATGAAAACTAATATCATGCTCTCCATCCCTGGATATTAAGAACAATATCACAGGTAGGTGTACACCCCCTGCGGTATTAGGAATAACAATATTATGAATTATTAAACATCAGTCTCATTAATGATTATCAATGGTAATATTAATTAATAGTATAACGTTATTAGTCATTAATGATTATTTTAAAGATATGATTATGCATGATTAAAATAATTCTTACTATTAATGCCATTTTAAAAAATATTAGTTATTAATATTAATATTAATCATTGTTTTATTACCAACATCACTTATGATGGATTTAAGTAACATTAATTACTGATATTATTATTTTATTATTAATATTGATGTTGCTATTATTAATTGTAATCATTAATATTTTTAATCCACATTAAGTTTTACTGTCTCCACTGTAGTTATTAATATCGATGATTACTATTAATTGTTATTATACTTATTAATATTAATAATTAATAAAACTGTTCCCGATATCCGTGGGGGAGAAGATATGTCTCCCAATATCGCAGAAAGTGTACACCCCTCTATGATGTTACTCCTAATAGCCAGGGGGTAGAGGATGACATTATGGAAAATAGCGCAGTGGGTGTACATCCCTTCGGTCATGTTGTTCCGAATATCCTGTGTGGGAGCGGATGTTACGACTCCCAAAATCGCAGTGGGCGGAGACCTCCCCCGTGATACTGTTCCGAACATCCAAAGGTGGAGAGGATGATATTTCTTCCAATTTCGCCGGGGGTGCACACCACCCCTGTGATATTGATCCTAATATCCAGGGGGCGAGAGGATGATATTAGTCTGAATATTGCAGGAGGTGTACACTCCCTAGGGATATTGTTCCTAATATCCAGGGACAGAGAGGATGATATCACTCCCAATATAGCAGGGGGTGTACACCCCTTGTGTGACATTGTTCCTAATAGGCAGCGGGGGAGAGGAAGATATCACCCCCAATATCGCAGAGGGTGTGCACACCCTTGTGACATTGTTCCTTCTATCCTGGGAGGGAGAGGAAGATACTAGCGGCAATGTCGCAGGGGCTGTACACACCCACTGTGATATTGTTCCGAATATCTGGAGGGGGAGAAAATGATGTTACTTCCAATATCGCAGGGGGCGTACATGCTCCTGAGATATTGTTTCTTAGGTTCAGGGGAAGAGGATGATATTACTGCCAATATCGCAGGGGTTGTACATACCTCCCGCGATGCGGGGAGTAAGAGCCAGCCCCTCTTCCCCTCCTGGCTCTTAGGACCCCCATCGCAGGGGGCTGAGGCACCCTCCGCGATGCGGGGAGTAAGAGCCAGCCCCTCTTCCCTCCCTGGCTCTTAGGAACCCCATCGCAGGGGGTTGAGGCACCCCCCGCCATGCGGGGAGTAAGAGCCAGTCCCTCTTCCCCCACTGGCTCTTAGGACCCCCATCGCAGGGGGGTGAGGCACCCCCGCGATGCGGGGAGTACAAGCCAGCCCCTCTCCCCCCATGGCTCTTAGGACCCCCATCGCAGGGGGGTGAGGCACCCCCCGCGATGCGGGGAGTACAAGCCAGCCCCTCTCCCCCCATGGCTCTTAGGACACCCATCGCAGGGGGGTGAGGCACCCCCCGCGATGCGGGGAGGGCTGAGACTGGGGTCTGGGCTGTTCTGGACTTCAACACTCACCCCTTGTCCCCACGCAGGGCTATGGCGTGTGCTCGGTGGGGCTGGAGCGGCTTGCTTACCTCCTCATGGCTTACAGCCTGGGCGCCTCAGTCGCCTCACTCCTGGGCCTGCTGGGCTTGTGGCTGCCACGCCCGGTGCCCCTCGTGGCTGGAGCAGGGGTGCACCTGCTGCTCACCTTCATCCCCTTTTTCTGGGCCCCTGTGCCTCGGGTCCTTCAACACAGCTGGATCCTCTGTGTGGCAGCCACCCTTTGGGGTGTGGGCAGCACCCTGAACAAGACTGGACTCAGCAGTGAGTATAGCTGTGGGCACTGGGGGGGGCGGGGCAGGGGGCTTTATGGCTATCTGTGGGTGGTTGGCTAGACATAGACATCCCAGGGACACATATTGGGTCCCATGGTCACATAGGGTCCTGTGGACATGGCAGAGGCCGGTGGGGCTTCCTGTGGACACTGCAGGGGTGGAAGGGAAGTCTCATGGACACACTGGGGGCAGATGGGTAGGTCGTGGACACCCTGGAGACAGGTGTGGGGGTTCCACGCCATGGACATTCCATTAATACCCCAGGGCAGGCACAGGGCCCCATCAACACTGGAGGGTCAGTGTGAAATCTCGTGGCTACACGGGGCAGGTGTGGGGTTCTGTGGACACCCCTTAGGGACAGTGTGAAAAACACATCAGGGATTCTCCCTTTTCATACCAGGGGACAGGGCTTACCCTGGCATTGTTTTCGTGACACTTGGAGCAGATGTTTTGGTCTCTGCCTCATGGAGCATGTGGTAGGAGCAAGTGGCCTGTTGTACATCCACGGCATAGATACAGACATGGGCCTTTGTATAGAGAGGAGCAGGCCTGCAGCCCCAACCCAGTCTGCTCAGTACCAGAGTCCAGGCCTCAGTTCTGGGCTGCTGGGGAACAGGGCCCTCTTTGCAGAAGGCAGCGGGTGGGCCCATGTTCAGCTCCAGGATGTTCCCTGCCCACAGATGGGCACACGCAGTGACACACAGCTAGCACACACGGGCACAGTCCTGCGGGGCATCCATGTCAGTGTCTGTTCTGATGGGCCGAAGCTATGAACAGTTTTGAACGTCATCCTTGGGGGTGTGGGGTGGCAGAGGTCATACCTGCTGCTGGCAGGGCAGAGGCTGACTGGGTGTCTCTGCCTGTAGCAGGGGCTGGAGCCTCATACTGCACCACAGTCTCTTGGCCGTTTTGCTCAATGATAGCCAATTCTGGGCAGAGTCCAACCTGGGTATCTTGGACCCATGTTGTGCCCTGTCTGGTCATGGCATCCCCTCTGCCCAGCTCCATATCCCATCTCCACAGGTGAACCCTGGGGGATCCTTGTCTCTTCATAGCAGCACTGTGGGGGTAAAGTCACCCTGCAAGGCCCCAAGACAGGAGTGTTCATGTCCTGAGTGCCTGGTGAAGGTGTTTATAGTGGCCCCTATGATCTGGCAGGTGCCATGCCCTCTTTCTCACTTTAGAACTTCAGAACACAGCACACAATAGGCATAAGCTCATCTCACCATTGGGAAAAGCAGCTCTGGGGAGTTAAGTACCCAAATCACCCACGGAGCCAACATTACAGTCCTGAGAATGAGTGTGCATCTTCTGACTCCCAATCCATTACTCTTGCTGCCCACCCTGGGAGGACTCACTGGAAAGGAAGCCCCCCTCTCCATGCTTAGCTTCAGGTTTGATTTGCAGAGTTGGCAGCTGCAAACAGTTCGATCTCTCTAGTCCCGGCTGAGGAGGAGAAACAGCGCCTGCAAGCTTGGCACTGTACACCTGGGGTTGGGGACAGGACATGACTAAGCACAGAGCTTTCTTCTTTTGAGGCCACGCATGTGGTGCGGAGCGGGACCACCTGCATCCACACAGCCCGGCGCACCTGCTCCTACTTCTGCTTAGCGTGTGAGCAGTGTGGTGACCAGGGTCTCCACCAGGGGGCAGGCCAGGACCGCCTCACAGCACTTTCTAGGCGCTCTCTGGTCCCGGGCTGGGACACATACAGGGCTTAGTAAAGTTCGTAGATGGTAGCTCGGCAGCCCCAGGCCCCAGGTGACACCTCTCCCCTGCCTGCCCTGTACTGCCTGCCTGCAGCACTCCTGGGAGTCTTGTACGAAGACAAGGAGAGACAGGACTTCATCTTCACCATCTACCACTGGTGGCAGGCTGTGGCCATCTTCACTGTGTACCTGGGCTCGAGCCTGCACATGAAGGTGAGACTGGGCAGGGTTGGGGGCCCCATGCCGAATGACAGATACTTCCTTAGCCCCTGCCCTGGCTTCACAGCTTCCTAAACGCCACCCCTTCCCAAGCCAGTCTCTGGGCCAAGGCCCCATTCCTGCAGCCCACTGGGTGGCCCCCAACTCAGCACCTCACTTACTGGCCCACCTCCAGCCAGTCTCAGTTTGCCCATCTCTGAGGGGATTTGTGGGTGCATCACAGCCATCCTGTGGGCTGTTTGGTACCCTGTTCTCCAGATGTTGGGTCTGTCTCCCTTCATGGCCTGAACGGGAGCAGGCTTCTCATGCTCTGCTCCCAAAAGATGGTGGCTCGGTCTAGCAAGTCCCAGTTGCTAAACATTTTTTAAAAATAGAACTAAAGGCTGGGCGCAGTGGCTCACGCCTGTAATCCCAGCACTTTGGGAGGCCGAGGCGAGTGGATTGCCTGAGGTAGGGAGTTTGAGACCAGCCTGGCCGACATGGTGAATCCTTGTCTCTACTAAAAATACAAAAATTAGCCGGGCGTGGTGGCAGGTGCCTGTAATCACAGCTACTTGGGAGGCAGAGGCAGGAGAATCGCTTGAACTGGGAGGCAGAGGTTGCAGTTAGCCGAGACGGGGTCTTGGCACTCCAACCAGCCTAAGCAACAAGAGAGAAACTCCGTCTCAAAATAAAAATAAAAATAGAACTAAAAATAGCAGGGAGTGGGCCGGGAGCAGTGGCTCATGCCTGTAATCGCAGCATTTTGAGACGCTGAGGTGGGTGTATCACCTGAGATCTGGAGTTCGAGACCAGCCTGGGTAACAGGCTATGAAACCCTGTCTCTACTAAAAACACAAAAATTAGCTGGGCATGGTGGCACGTCCCTGTGATCCCAGCTACTCTGGAGGCTGAGGCACAAGAATGGCTTGAACCTGGGAGATGGAGGTTGCAGTGAGCCCAGATCGCACCACCGCACTTCAGCCTGGAGAACAGAGCGAGACTCTGTCTCCCAAAAAAAAAAAAAGAAAAAAAAGAAAAAAGAAAAGCAGTGAGTGGGCTGGGCATGGTGGCTCACGCCTGTAATCCCAACACTTTGGGAGGCTGAGGCAGGAGGATTGCTTGAGGCCAGGAGTTCAAGACCAGCCTGGGCAACATAGGAGACCCTGTCTCTACAAAAAATTTAAAAATTAGCTGGGCGTGGTGGCGCATGCCTGTAGTTCCAGCTACTTGGGAAACAGAGGTGGGAGGATAGCTTGAGCCTGGAAGATTGAGGCTGAAGTGAGCGTGCCACTGGCGCTCCAGCAGTGGGTGGGGGAAGGGAGGGAGGGGGCGCGGTGGGGAAATGGAGCGACTGTGTCTGGAAAAAAGAAAAGAGCAGGAAGTATGCATACAGATATGTGTGTATGTCCTGAGCTATGGTGTAAAATCATTCCTGACTGCGGATTATAGTCAAAACCCCATGAAGAGCATCACTACAGCCCACGGGTGTGTCAGGGACACAGTGTTGTGAGCCCTGGGAAGGCAGGGCCTGTGTCCAGCACTTTATCAACACTGGCGCATGCACCCTATGAGGCGAAGGGATTTGTATTGTTCCCTTACAGCGTGGGACACTGAGGTCGCCAGGGGCATGACGACTGTAAGGGACAGTGCTGGATGTGAGCCTCGCCTGCAGGAGGCGGTCCAGGAAGCGTGGGTGGAGGGGCTGGAGAAGTTGAGGGCCGCGTGGCCCGGGAGGCTCCCGGAGGAGGGAAGGGCCTATCTCAGCGAGGGGCATAGGCGGGGAAGGTGCGGGGCGAGGCGGCCGCGGCTCCCTGGCATCCCTCTCCTTACCCCCAGGCTAAGCTGGCGGTGCTGCTGGTGACGCTGGTGGCGGCCGCGGTCTCCTACCTGCGGATGGAGCAGAAGCTGCGGCGGGGCGTGCGCCAGCCCCGCATCCCGTGGCCCCAGCACAAGGTGCGCAGTTACCGCTACTTGGAGGAGGACAACTCGGACGAGAGCGACGCGGAGGGCGAGCATGGGGACGGCGCGGAGGAGGAGGCGCCGCCCGCGGGGACCAGGCCTGGTCCCGAGCAGGCTGGACTCGGCCGCCGGCCCTGCCCGTAGGAACAGGCGCAGGGGGGCGACTGGCCAGAGGAGCAGTGAGGGGCCGCCTGGTCCACGGACTCAGCCTCCCTCCTCGCCGGCCTTAGTTTACCACTTCTTAGGTCGGGGGGACCCCCTCCGAGTCCCGCGCTGTCTTCAAAGGCCCCTGTCTCCCGTCCCCCACGTTGGGGACGCCCCTCCCAGAGCCCAGGTCACCTCCGGGCTTCCGCAGCCCCCTCCAAGGCGGAGTGGAGCTTTGGGAACCCCTCGGCCAAGCACAGCGGTTCGAAAATACAGCTGAAACCCAGCGGGCCCTTAGCACGCGCCCCAGCGCCGGAGCAGGGTCAGGGTCTTCTTGCGACCCGGCTCCGCTCCAGATCCCCCCAGCTCTCGGCGGCGGACCCGGGCCGCGTGTGAGCGCGCTTTGCACCTCCTATCCCCAGGGTCCGCCGAGAGCCACGATTTTTTACAGAAAATGAGCAATAAAGAGATTTTGTACTGTCCTGACTGGGGAGTCCCAGGCCGCGGGGGACGGAGCGCCCCTGGGATGCACGCCCGGCTGGCCCGGCCTCTGGGCGCGGTGGTGACAGGCCCTGACCTAGGGGGACCGCAGGGTGTGGGGAGTGCGGCGCCCTACTGGGGGCGGGGCGAGGTGTCCGTAGGCCCCGCCCACCAGCCCTTCCTCCCTCCTGAGGCCCCGCCCCCCCATACCTGCCTGCCTTTGCCAGCCCCAGCCAGGAGAAGGGAGCGGCGGAGCGGCTGGCAGAGACAGAGGAGGGTGTGACGGCGTTGCTGGTCCCCCATGGGTCCAGAGGGCGAGACAGACTCCCGAGGCACACCCTCCAGGGGCCCTCGGCCCTCCAGCGACCATCCCCGAGTCGGACAGGGTCCACTTCCGAGCCACGGTGGGGTCACCCTGTGCCCAGTAGGGGCCTTGGAAGTGGTGGTTGGAGGCCAGGTACGCTCGGTTACTACCCTTTCCCTGCTACAGCCTCAGCTGCGATGCCCACGAGAAACAGGCTGGTGGAGGGGCAGACCCCCTACAAGGCCTGAAGGTGCCGTTCCTCCACCCGCTCCTCTTGTGGCCAGAAGAGAGGGACACCCCCGCCATGAAGAGCTCTGAACGGTTGGGTGAGGACAAGTGGGGGCCGTGGGAGGGCCATGGAGCCCCCAGCTGCACCCCAGCAGGCCCGGGGCTGGTCCACACCATTCCTCACTCTCCACAGCCTCTCTACCCCTGACTTTGGCGAGACCCTCGTCCGTACCTCCAGGCTCCATGCCTGCCTCAGCATCGCTCTATGGATTCTCCCAGCCCTAAACTGGCCCCATCTCTCCTCTCTGCCCTCATGTGAGTTTGGTTCTTGAAGCCTCTAGTGGTCCCTGGGGCCAGACTCTGTGGCCTTGGACAGGGAGTCTCCCATCTGAGCCACAGGTTCCTTCTCTGTTGAGTGTGTGAGGGAACATGTTGGAGCCCTTAGTGTGGCGGCTAAGAGCCAGGGGAGGATAGGGTCTGGTTTTTACTCCCCGTACCCCGGGTGGGGTCTCACCCCCCTGCGATGGGGCTCCTAAGAGCCAGGGGGGAGAGGGGCTGGCTCTTACTCCCCGTATCACAGGAGGTGTGTACAACCCCTGCGATATTGGGAGTAATGTCATCCTCTCCCCCTGAATATAAGAAACAATATCACAGGAGGATGTACACCCCCCGCGATATTGGAAGTAACATCATTTTCTCCCCCTCCGGATATTCGGAACAATATCACAGTGGGTGTGTACAGCCCCTGCGACATTGCCGCTAGTATCTTCCTCTCCCTCCCAGGATAGAAGGAAGAATGTCACAAGGGGGTGTACACCCCCTGCGATATTGGCTGTAATATCTTCCTCTCCCCCGCTGCCCTTTAGGAGCAATGTCACACAAGGGGTGTACACTCCCGGCTATATTGGGAGTGATATCATCCTCTCCGTCCCTCTATATTAGGAACAATATCCCTAGGGAGTGTACACATCCTGCAATATTCAGACTAATATCATCCTTTCGCCCCCCTGGATATTAGGATCAATATCACAAGGGTGGTGTGCACCCCCGGCGAAATTGGAAGAAATATCATCATCTCCACTTTTGGATGTTAGGGACAGTATCTCGTGGGAGGTGTCCGCCTGCTGCGATATTGGGAGTCATATCATCCGCTCCCACCCAGGATATTAGGAACAAGATGACCGAAGGGATGTACACCCACTGTGCTATTTTCAATAATGTCATCCTCTACCCCCCGGCTATTAGGAGTAACATCATAGAGGGGTGTACACTTTCTGCGATATAGGGAGTCTTATCTTCTCTCCCACGGATATCGGGAACAGTTTTATTAATTATTAATATTAATAAATAATAAAAAATTAATAGTAATCATCAATATTAATAATTACAGTAGAGACAGTAAAACAGTACAGATGAAAAATACTAACAGGTGAGGCCCCCGCGATGCGGGCAGTCATATCACCCCCCTCTGGATATGATGATTCACGTCGCAGGGGGGCGGGCGCCCCTGCGATGCGGGGAGTCATATCACTCCCCCTCTCCCACCCTGGATATGACGATCCACGGTGGTCACACAGCGTGTTCACGTTATTGTCAGTAATATCTTCCCCGCCTCTGGAAATTACCAACTATGTCACAGATGGGTGCACATCCTCTGCGCTCTTTGGAGTAATAGCATCCTCTTTCCCCTTGATATTAAGAACAATATCACAGGAGTGTTTTTACCCCTAGGGGCATTCCGTGTAGTATCATCCTCTCCCAAGTTGAAATTAGGAACAATATCACTGGGGGCGTGTCCACCCTGTGCGATATTGAAAGTAACATCATCCTCTTCTCTCCTGGATCATGGGAACCATATCACTGGGGTTGTGTACACTTTCTGCGGTATTGGGAGTAAGATCATCCTCTCCGCCTTGGAATATTAAGGACCATATCACAGTGGGGCTGTACACACCCTGTGCTATGAAGACGAGTATTATCCTCCCCTGCCCTGCACATTGGAAAAAATATCACAGAGTGGGTGTACACCTCCTGCGATGGGGGGGTGATATCATCTTCTCTTCTTCTGGATAATAGCAACAATAATACACGGGTTTGTACACTTTCTGTGATATTGGGAGTAATATCAACCTCTCCACCTTTGAATATTAAGAACAATATCACAGACTGGATGTACACCCCCTGCGATATTGGGAGTCATATCAGCCTCTCCTCTCCGTGGATATTAGGAATAATATCTCAGGATGGGTGTACACCTCCTGCTGTATGGGGAGTCATATCGTCCTCTCCCTTCCTGGCTGCTAGGAACAATATCAGAGGGTGGGTGTACACAGCCTTCGACATTGCGAGTAATATCACCCTCTCCCCCTCCAGATATTAGGAACTATGTCACAGAAGGGATGTACACTTCCTGAGATACTGGGAGTAATAGCATTCTCTTCTTCCGGGAATATTAGGAGGAATATCACCGGGTGGATGCACACCCACTGCTATCTTGGGAGTAACGTCATACGCCACCCCCTGGAGATGATATTCAGATCAATATCACCGGGTGGGTGTACACCTACTGCAATATTGAACGTCATATCATGCTCTCTCCCTCCCTGGACATTAGGAACAATATCACAGGTGGGTGCACACCCACTGAGGTATTAGGGATAATATTCATATTAATTCTTCCTCATTTATTAACATGAATATGTATTACCAATATTAATATTAAGAAATCATTGCTAAAAATAGTGTTCATATTATTAATATTAATGTTAATTATTAGGAGCTAATATGACAGTTTTCTAATGAATAAGATCAATATCACTCTTTAAGACCAGGCGTCATTAATCATTAATATTAATGATTTATTGTTATCGTGAGTATAACTCTTTAATACGAATTATCATTATTATCGGTATTGATTTTAAGAATTATATGATCAGTTATTAATATTGATAATTATCAGTATCAATTAATAATTGAGATTATTAATTGCGGTAAGTAACATTGCGCCATTGCACCCCTCCCTCGGCAGCTTGTTTACGACCCAAAACGGGGATCCAAATGCCCCTGAGAGCAGCGGCATACTCGGAGAGAGGAGGATGGTCACGTGGTGGAGAGGCGTGTTTTTGTGTACCAGCCCTTCACCTCTGCCGACCTTCTCAACTGGGAAAACAATACCCAGTCCTAGAGCGAAAAGCCGCAAGCCCTAATTGATTTTCTCCAAACTGTTATCCAGACCCACAACCCCACCTGGGCTGATCGCCACCGGTTGCTCATGTTCCTCTTTAAGAGAGATGAAAGGCGAAAGGCGGAGAGGGCTCCACGCAGCAACTAAGTGGCTAGAGGAACATGCACCAGCTGATTACCAAAACCCCCAAGAGTATGGAAGGACCCAGTTACCAGGAACCCACCCCTAGTTGGACCCACATGAAAGAGAGGATATGCAAAGGCTAAACCGAGACAGGGAAGCTCTCTTGGAAGGATTCAAGAGGGGAGCTCAGAAGGCCACAAACGTTAACAGGGTCTCTGAGGTCATTCAGGGAAAAGAAGAAAGTCCAGCACAATTCTACCAGAGACTGTGTGAGGCCTATGGTATGTATACTCCCCTTGATCCCGATAACCCTGAAAATCAGCGCATGAGTCACATGGCTTTAGTCCGTCAAAACGCGGAAGACGTTAGAAGACTGCAGAAGCAGGCTGGGCTTGCAGGGATGAATACATCACATTGATGAGAAATAGCTAAGCAGGTGTTTGTAAACAGGGATGCAGTAAGCCGCGAGGGAAAGCGCAAAGAGAATGAAGGTCTGGCCCCGTGAAACGCCGACCTGTTTGTTAGCTGCAGCAATCAGAGCTGTCCCCCCAAAGAAGCAAGGGAAGGGGGGCCCTGGAAAAGAAACTCAGCTTGGCTGTCAGAGTTTGCAGCATAACCAGTGTGCTTATTGTAAAGAAATAGGACAGTGGAAGAACAAATGCCCTCAGCTCAAAAGAAAACAAGGTGACTCAGAGCAGGAGGCCCCGGACAAGGAGGAAAGGGCCCTGCTCATCCTGGTAGAAGGGTTATTGGACTGAGGGAGACCGGGCTCAAGTGTCCCCAAAGAGCCTCTGGTCAGAATGACAGTCGAGGGTAAAGACATTGATTTTCTTATAGATACCGGTGCTGAACATTCGCTAGTAACCGCCCCGGTCGCCCCCTTATCCAGAAAGACTATAGACGTCACCGGAGCCACGGGGGCTTCAGCAAAGCAAGCTTTCTGCTTGCCTGGGACTTGCACTATAGGAGGACATCAAGTGATTCATCAGTTTTTGTACATGCCTGACTGTCCCTTGCCCTTGTTGGGAAGGGACTTGCTTAGCAAGCTGAGAGCTGCTCTCTCTTTGACAGAACACAGCTCTTTGCTGCTAAAGTTACCCGCCACGGGAGTCATTATGACCCTTACGGTCCCCCGAGAGGAGGAATGGAGAGTTTTCTGAACTGAGGCGGGCCAAGAGAGAAGACCAGCTCTGGCTAAGCGGTGGCCAAGAGTACGGGCAGAAGACAACCCACCAGGGTTGGCCAGTTAAGACTGGGTCCCAGCCGCTTAGGCAAAAACAGGACCCGGTCCCCAGAGAAGCTCTTCAAGGTATCCAGGTCCATCTTAAGCACCTAAGAACTTTTGGTATGATAGTTCCTTGTAAGTCTCCACGGAATACTACCCTCCTACCTATTCCCAAACCATGTACCAAGGACAGGATTCGCACTTGCTTAGTCAAGCTACTCTGACTTTCCATCCAACAGTACCTAGCCCGTCCACATTGTTGGGGTTGCTGCCAGCTGAGGACGGCTGGTTCACCTGCTTGGACCTGAGAGACGCTTTCTTTCCTATCAGATTAGCCCTGAGATCCAGAAGCTGTTTGCCTTTCAGTGGGAAGATCCGGAGTCAGGTGTCACTACTCAGTACACTTGGACCGGGCTTCCCCAAGGGTTCAAGGACTCCCCCACCATCTTCGGGGGGGCGTTGGCTCGAGACCTCCAGAAGTTTCCCAGCAGAGACCTAGGCTGCGCTTTGCTCCGCTAGGTTGATGAGCTTTTGCTGGGACACCCCACGGCAGTCGGGTGTGCCAAGGGAACGGATTGCCCTACGCCGACACCTGGAGGACTGTGGGTATAAGGTGTCCAAGAAGAAAGCTCAGATCTGCCGACAGCAGGTACGTTCCTTGGGATTTACTATCAGACAGGGGGAACGCAGCCCGGGATCAGAAAGAAAGCAGGTCATTTGCAATCTAGCAGAGCCTAAGAGCAGAAGGCAGGTGAGAGAATTCTTAGGAGCTGTGGGGTTTTGTAGACTGTGGATCCCAAACTTTGCAGTATTAGCCAAGCCTTTGTATGAGGTCACCAAGGGGGCGGGGACCGGGAACTTTTTGAATGGGGATCCCAACAACAGCAAGTCTTTCATGAGTTAAAGGAGAAACTTATGTCAGCCCCAGCCCTGGGGCTACCCGATCTGACAAAGCCTTTTTCATCCTATGTGCCAGAGAGAGAGAAAAGATGGCAGCCGGACTTTGAACCCAAACTGTGGGGCCCTGGCCGAGGCCGGTGGCCTACCTCTCTAAACAACTAGACTGGGTCTCTAAAGGATGGCCCCTGTGTTTGGGGGCCTTGGCAGCAACTGCACTGCTAGTACAAGAAGCAAAGAAGCTGACTCTTGGGCAAAACCTGAACAGAAAGGCCCCCCATACTGTGGTGACTTTAATGAATACTAAAGGACATCATTGGCTAACGAATGCCAGACTCACCAAGTACCAGACTTTGCTCTGTGAAAATCCCCGTATAACCATTGAAGTTTGTAACACCCTGCCACCTTGCTCCCGCTGTCAGAGAGCCCTGTCGAGCATGATTGTGTAGAAGTGTTGGACTCAGTTGACTCTAGCAGACCTGACATCCGGGACCAAGCTTGGGCATCAGTACACTGGGAACTATACGTGCATGGGAGCAGCTTCATCAACACCTAAGGAGAGAGAGGTGCAGGGTATGCGTGATAACCTGGACACTGTTGTTGAAGCCAGATCGATGCCCCAGGGCACTTCAGCCCAGAAAGCTGAACTCATTGCTTTCATTCGGGCCTTAGAACTCAGTGAGGGTGAGACTGTCAACATTTACACTGATTCTCGGTACGTCTTTTTAACCCTTCACGTGCATGGAGCGTGATAGAAAGAAAAGGGCCTATTGGACTCTGGGGGAAAAGGCACAAAATATCAACCAGAAATCTTCCATGTATTAGAAGCAGTATGGAAACCCCACAAGGTGGCAGTTATGCATTGCAGGGGACACCAGCGAGCTTCCACCTTGGTGGGCTTGGGGAATTCCCGCGCTGACTCAGAGGCTCAAAAGCAGCATCTGCCCCTTTCCAGGCATCAGTCACAGCTCCTCTGCTCCCTCAAGCACCTGATCTTGGACCTGCTTATTCTAAAGAAGAAAAGGACTTTCTCCAGGTAGAGGGAAGGACAAGCGATGGAGGAAGGATGGATTCGGTTACCGGATGGGAGAGTAGCTGTGCCACAGCTGCTAGGAGCTGCAGTTGTACTTGCTGTGCAAGAAACCACCCATCTAGGTCAGGAGTCACTGCAAAAAGTTGTTAGGCCGGTAGTTCTACATCTCGCCTTTCTTAGCCCTTGCCAAAACGGTGAGGCAGCGATGTGTCAGCTGCCGACAGCATCATGCGAGGCAAGGTCCAGCCGTTCCACCCGGCATACAAGCTTATGGAGCAGCCCCCTTTGAAGATCTCCAGGTAGACTTCACAGAGATGCCAAAGTGTGGAGGTAACAAGTATTTACTAGTTCTTGGGCGTACCTAATCTGTGTGGGTGGAGGCTTATCTAACATGAACTGAGAAAGCTCGTGAAGTAAGCCGTGTGCTTCTTCGAGATCTGATTCGTAGATTGGGACTGCCCTTCCGGATCGGCTCAGATAACGGGCCTGCGTTTGTGGCTGACTTGCTACAGAAGACGGCAAAGGTATTGGGGATCACACGGAAACTGCATGCCGCCTCCCGGTCTCAGAGTTCCGGAAAGGTGGAGTGGATGAATCGGACTATCAAAAATAATATTATTGTCTTTCCCGCTGGATATGTAAAACAACACCACGAGGGGCGTCAAACCACCTGCTACATTTAAGGGAATGTTATCCTCTCCCCCCCTCCACCCTTCCCGGATATTAGAGGCAAAAACACAAGGGTAATGTACACCCACTCCTTTATTGGCAGTAATGTCATCCTCTGCATTCTTGGATATTAGGAACAATATCACAGTGTGCGTGGAAGCCTGTCGTGAAATTCAATGGAATGTCATCCTGTGCCTCCCTGGATACGACGAACAATATCACGGGGCATGTAAAACTTCTGAGATATTGGGAGTGATCTCATCCTCTCCCCTCTAGAAGTTAGGGACAATATCACAGGGGTAGTGTACACCTTCTGGGACTTTGGGACTAATATCATCCTCCCACCCCCTGGATATTAAAAACCATGTCACAAGGGGCGTGTACACACACTTCGATATTGGTATGAATACCATCCTCTCCCTCTTTGGATATTCGGTGCCATATTTCAGGTGGGGTTTACACCACCCGCAATATTGGAAGTCATGTTATTTTCTCCCCCCCCAGATATTAGAAAGAATATCACAGGGGGGTGTGAACAACCCTTGCGATATTTGGAGTCATATCATCGTCTCCCCTCAAGAATATTAAGAACAATATCGTAGGGGCGGGGGTTGTATACCCCCTTTCATATTCGATATCATCCTCTTTCCCCCTGGATATTAGGAACAATATCAGGAAGGGATGTACAGACCCTGCGACATTTGCTGTCATGTAATTGTCTCTCCCCTAGATATTAGGAAAATTGTCACTGGGGATGTGAACACCCCTGCGATATTGGGAGTAGTATCATCCTCTCCCCCCTCGCATATTGGGAACAATATCACAGGTGGGGTGTACTGCCTCTGTGATATTGGGAGTACAATTATTCTCTCTTCCCCTGGATACTAGGAAGGGTATCAGAGGGGGAGGGTGTACATTCCCTGCGATACTCAACGTAACCTTATCCTCTCTCTCCCAGGGTATTCAGAACAATATCACAGGAGGGGTGTACACCCACTGCGAAATTGAGAGTCATATCATCCTCTTTCGCTCTGGATATTAGGAACAATATCACAGGGTTTTGTACACACCCTGCGATATTGGGAGTCATATCATCCTCTCTCCCTGTGGATATTAGGAAGAGTATCACAGGGCTGTCGAAACCCCCAGCGGTACTGGGAGTAATATCATCCTCTCGCCCTCTGGATATGAGGAAGATTTTCACAGGGCTGTGTACACCCCCTGCGATATTGGGAGTAATATCATCCTCTCCACCCAGGAAATGACTAACAAGGTCACGGGGGGGTGAACTCCCCCTGCGATATTGGGAGTAATGTCGTCCTCCCCAAACCTGGATGTTAGCAACAAGATCACAGAGGGGGTGTACACACCCTGAGATATTGGAAGTAATATGATCCTCTCCCCACCTGGATATGGGGAAGATATCACAGCGCGGATTTACGTTTCCTACGCTGTTGGGAGTAATATCATTCTCTTCCTTTCGGGATATTAGGAAGAATATCACAGGGGTGCTGTACAATTATTTCGATATTGGGAGTACTATCATCCTCTATTTTCCTGGATATTGGGCCCAATAACACAAAAAGCTGTACAACCCCTGCGATATTGGGAGTAATAGCATACTCTCCTTCCCTGGATGTTAGAAAACAATATCATCAGGGCTGAACACCCCCCGCGATAATGGGAGTAATATTGACTCTTTCACAGGCCATTTGGAACAATATCACAGGGGGTGTTTACAAACAGGGGTGGTGTACAACCCCTGTGATATTGGGAGTAACATCATTCTCTCCACCTACTGATATTAAGAACAATATCCCGGTGGGAGGTGGTACACCCCCAGTGATATTGGGAATAATGTCATCCTCTCCTTCCCTGGATATTAGGAACAATATCACAAGGGGATGTACACCTTCCGTGATATTGGAATCAATATCATCCTCTCCCTCGCTGGATATTAGAAAAAAATATCACTCACGGTGTCCACCCACTGTGATATTAGGAAGAATATTACAGGGTGTACACCCACTCTGACTTTAGGAGAAATAGCTCCCTCAAATGTCACAAATAATACCACAGGGTATACAGTGACATCTCCCTAGGATATTGCAAATACTATCACAAGGTGTACACCCACTGTGATAACAGGAGTAATACGTCCCAAGGATACTACCAAGAATATCACAAAGCTGTACACCCTCTATGACATAAGAAGTGATACCTCCCTAGGGTGTTACGAATAACATCACAGAATGTACACCTATGGTGTGCACCCACAGTGATATTAGGTGTAATATCAACCCAGGACATAACCAATAAGACCACAGGGAGTACATATGTGATGTACACCCACGGTGATGTTATGAGAACTATCTCCCTAGGATAATACGAATAACATCACAGAGTGGATACACATGGTATACACCCACTGTGGCACTAGGACTAATAACTTTCTAAGATATTACCAATAGCATCACAGAATAGAAACACATGGTGTACACCCACTGTAACATTAGGTGTAATTTCTCCCTAGGATATTACAAGTAACATCTCAGTGCGTACACACATGGTGTACACCCACTGTGACATTAAGGGTAATATCCCCCTAGGATATTACCAATAACATCACAGGGTGTCCACCCATGGTGTACACGCACTGTGATGTTAGGGATAATATCTCCCTGGGATATGATGAATAATACCACAGGGTGTACAGAAACTGTGATATTAGAGGTAATATCTCTAATATCACAGGGTGTACACCCACTGTGATACTGGGAGCAATATCTCTCTAGGATAGTACAAATAATATCACAGAGTGTACACACACTGTGATATTAGGAGAAATATCTCTCTGGGATATCACGAATTATATCACAGAGTGTACCCACATGATGTACATCCACTTTGATATTAGGAGTAATATCGTCCTAGGACATTACAAATAACCTCACAGAGTGTACACCCACTGTAATACTAGGAATAGTATCACCCTACGGGATCACCAATAATATCACAGGGTGTACACCCACTGTGGTATGAGGAGTAATATCTTCCTAGGGTATTACGAATAATTTCACAGTCTGTACACACATGGTGTACACTCACTGTGATATTAGGAGTAACATCTACCTAGTGGATGACAAATAACATCGCAGGGTGTACATCCACTTTGAAATTAGCTGTAATATTTTTCTAAGTTGTTACAAATAAGATCACAGGGTGTACAAACATGGTGTACACTCACTGTGATATCAGGAGTCATATCTCCGTAATATATTATGAATAATATCACAGGGTGTACACCCACTATATTATTAGGAGTAATATCTCTGTAGGATATTACAATTAAGATCACAGGGTGTACAGCCACTGTGATATTAGGAGCAATATCTTTCTAGGATATTACAAATAATATCACAGGGTGTACGCCCACTCTGCTGTCAGGAGCAACATCTCCCCAGGATATCAAAAATCCTATCACAGGGTGTCCAATCTCTGCCTTCCAGGTTCTAAGGGATTCTCCTGCTTCAGCCTCCCGAGTAGCTAGGGTTACCCGCCACCATGCCCGTCTAATTTTTATTTTCACTGGAGACGGGGTTTCACCACGTTGGCCAGGCTGGTCTGGAACTCCTGACCTCAGGTGATCCATCAGCCTCGGCCGCCCAAAGTGCTGGGATTACAGGTGTGAGCCATGGCGCTCGGCCAAGAGTTATATATTCAATTCATTTGGAAACACAGCTCCCATATTTGAGTGTGCATGTACTTTTTTGAAGAAATGATGTCAGAAAACCTAAGGATGATAATAAATATTAAAAGTAACAGGCATGTGAAAAGATCTTCCGATTAAGAACTCTAAGTTGCGATTTCGTTTTTAGATAATGCGGTCCTAGCTCTTGTATCGTCCTTTTACATATTCTACATCAAAGGAATTTGTAGCACGGTGTCAGAATAAAATAGAGTGTATTTCACGGCTTCTTAATTTCTTTCAATTAGACTGAGATCTTTTTCTTCAAGAGAGAAGAACATTTTCATTGCATTCTATTTATTTCTGAAAAGAGTAGGCCGTATTTTACTGAGATCACGGATTTCTTATATATGACGTTTTGGTCTTCTAACATTCTTCAGTGGATTTTCTCTGAAGTAGTATGTACAGAAAGCCTTGTATAGCAAAAAAGTAAATCATGTCATAATTCTGAGATTTTTGGATTTGTCACAACTGAGAAACATTGCTGACGGTGTATGGTCCGCAAGTGTGAAAATGTTCCTTGTGAATTGCTTGCATCCAAAATATACACACAGTATTAAGGGCTGGTTTTTATCTTTTATTTTTCCAATCCTCTTTTCTTCCCAAGGTGTCCAAGTCACACAGAGCCACAGAATCTCACAGGTGTCTGAGAATTCCTCCTCCTGGGACTCTCAGAGGATCCAGAACTGCAGCCCATCCTGGCTGGTCTGTCCCTGTCCATGTATCTGGTCACGGTGCTGAGGAACCTGCTCATCATCCTGGCTGTCAGCTCTGACCCCCACCTCCACACCCCCATGTGCTTCTTCCTCTCCAACCTGTGCTGGGCTGACATCGGTTTCACCTTGGCCACGGTTCCTAAGATGATTGTGGACATGCAGTCTCATACCAGAGTCATCTCTTATGAGGGCTGCCTGACACGGATATCTTTCTTGGTCCTTTTTGCATGTATAGAAGACATGCTCCTGACTGTGATGGCCTATGACTGCTTTGTAGCCATCTGTCGCCCTCTGCACTACCCAGTCATCGTGAATCCTCACCTCTGTGTCTTCTTCCTTTTGGTATACTTTTTCCTTAGCTTGTTGGATTCCCAGCTGCACAGTTGGATTGTGTTACAATTCACCATCATCAAGAATGTGGAAATCTCTAATTTTGTCTGTGACCCCTCTCAACTTCTCAAACTTGCCTGTTCTGACAGCGTCATCAATAGCATATTCATGTATTTCCATAGTACTATGTTTGGTTTTCTTCCCATTTCAGGGATCCTTTTGTCTTACTATAAAATCGTCCCCTCCATTCTAAGGATTTCATCATCAGATGGGAAGTATAAAGCCTTCTCCACCTGTGGCTCTCACTTGGCAGTTGTTTGCTGATTTTATGGAACAGGCATTGGCGTGTACCTGACTTCAGCTGTGTCACCACCCCCCAGGAATGGTGTGGTAGCGTCAGTGATGTACGCTGTGGTCACCCCCATGCTGAACCTTTTCATCTACAGCCTGAGAAACAGGGACATACAAAGTGCCCTGCGGAGGCTGCTCAGCAGAACAGTCGAATCTCATGATCTGTTCCATCCTTTTTCTTGTGTGGCTGAGACAGGGCAACCACATTAAATCTCTACATCTGCAAATCCTGCCCCTTAGTCACATTCTTTTTGTGGCTTGATGGCTTTTATTCCTTTCCGCATTTCCTTTGTGAATATTGCTTTCTTCGTTATGCCTTTAACTGGAATGGGTGAGGATTCTGGGACCCTTTGTTTAGCAGAAACCTCATGACAGAATCTTCTATACCTAGGCGGCCTCTTTTAGTTTCTGAGCAATAACCCTGTCATCCAGGTGGAATCACAACTATCTTTTTATATATACGAAGTCCTCACTTCGTTTTGGAATTCCCTGAAAACTGACTTTATGGAAACAATGTACAGGAGGTCCTCCAACACCATTGGTTGTTCAAAGTTGTGTAGTTATACTGTTGATGAAAAATAAGTGGTTCCACTATACATAATTTTGCTTCAAGGTGAAGTTTCCAACAGACTTTCAAAGATGTTAAGTGAGGACATACTGTACATCAAATTCATATTCTCTTCCACAGTTCATGTGGAATTTCTTTATAAACTGCTTCTATAGAATCTGTTTAGGCAGGTTATGTGGAGAGATCCACGTAGCCGTTCCTCAATCTTGGCTTTGAATCTAATCACCTGGGGAGCTTACAAATGATGAGGCCTGGGTCTCAATACCTGAGATTCTGATTTCCTTGCACCTGTGTGAGTGTGTGGATTTTTTTTTTTTTTTTTCTTTTAAAGCACCAGAGGTGGTTCCAATGACGAAGTTTTTAGAGGCATCAAGCTCCAATGAGTAAGAACAGAAATTAATTGTAATATGAGTTCTTCAAATATTATCTTCAAATGCATTGTCCATCAACACCATACAAATGTTTATTATGCTGTTTTTTCTTACCATTTCACATTTTCTATTTCTTTCTTTTCCTTTTTTTTTGAATCAGAGTTTTACTCTTGTTGCCCAGGCTGGAGTTCAATGGCACAGTCTCGTCTCACTGCAACCTCTGCCTCCCATATTCAAGCTATTCTCCTGTCTCAGCCTTCCAAGTAGCTGGGATTACAGGCATGCGCTACCATGCCTGGCTATTTTTTTTTTTTTTTTGTATTGTTAATAGAGACAGTGTTTCTCCATTTTGGTCAGGCTGGTCTTGAACTCCCGACCTCAGGTGAACGGCCCGCTTCCGCCTCCCAAAGTGCTGGGATTACAGGCATGAGGGACCGTGCCCAGCCACCACTTAGCATTTACATTTTACATTTGTTGAAGTTGTAGATTTATACACACATTGATTGCTGCTTTGTTATACACTTGCGTATACATAAGATGGGAAATAGAAAAGAATAAAATGGGCACAGTATCCCTGAAGTTTCACATTCCGAGACATTTTAAAAATATTTGCTCTTCAGAAATTTGTTTCAATGAAGAAACTGTGGTGTACACACCCAGTGAAGTATTATTCAGCCTAAAAAGGAAGAAACTCCTCTCCGCTGCAGACAAAATGGATGAGATTGCAGGTCTGTATATTAAATGAAAGAAGCCAGGCACAGAATGACAAATATTTCATGTCCTCACTTCTATGTAGGAAGAAAAAAGGAAACCTTGGCCAGGTGTGGTGGCTCAGGCCTGGAATCCCAGCACTCTCGGAGGCCGAGTCGCACGGATCACTTGAGTCCAGGAGTTTGAGACCCGCCTGGCCAACATGGTGAATCCCCGTCTCTACGGAAAACACAAACAATGAGCCAGGCGTGGTGACGCGTGTCTGTAGTCTCAGCTACTCTGAGGGCTGAGGCCCAAGAAGCACTTGAACTCGGGAGGCGGATCTTGCAGAGAGCCCGGATTGTGCCTGTATACTCCAACCTGGGCAACAGAAAGAGACTCCATGCCACACACACCTACACACAAAAGGAATCTCAGGAAGGTGGAGAGTATAAAGGTGGTTAGCAGACGCTAGGAAGAAAAGGGGTAGGATACAGAATGAAGACAAGTGGATAATTGGGTCTCAAAATACAGAAAGATGGAATAAGTGAGTTCTAGTGTTTGATAGTACAGTATGAAAATTTTAGTTCACAAAAATTGCTTGCATATTTCCAGATGCTTTGGTAAGTAGCTTCCTAACTTTCTCATTATGCTGGTTTTTAAGCTCTTCTCTTTCTGCTCTTGAAATCATGCTGGTTTTTTGTTTTTTGTTTTTTGCTTTGAGATGGAGTTTCGCTCTTGTTGCCCAGGCTGGAGTGTCATGGTGTAATCTTGGCTCACCGCAACCTCTGCCTCCTGGGTTCAAGCGATTCTCCTGCCTCCACCTCCCAAGTAGCTGGAATTACAGGCATGCGCCAGCACGTCCAATGTTATATTTCTATTAGAGACGGGAGTTTCTCCATGTCAGTCAGGCTGGTCTTCAACTCCTGACCTCAGGTGATCCATCCGCCTCGGCCTCCCAAAGTGCTGGGATTACAAGCCTGAGCGACCGCGCCCGGCCCATGCTCTATCCTTATCTGTTGTCTGTTGTTGTTTGTTTGTTTTGGAGCCCAGAAATAACTTCTCACCTATATGTTCAAATGATTTTTCACAAGAGTGCTAAGAAAGCTCATTGGTGGAACAGCAGCCTTTTCAAGAAATGGTTTTGGAGAAACTTGATTTCCACATGCAGAAGAATGAAGGTGAACCCTATGTCACACCAGGTGCAAAAATTAACACAAACTGGATCAGAGACCTCACCCCAAGCGCTAAAAGTATCATACGCCTAAAAGAAAACATTGGCCACGCTTTCATGACATCAGATTGGGCAATGTTCTCTGGGATATGACACCAAAAACATAGGCAACAAAAGAAAATTAGATTCCTTGGATTACATTTAAGTGACAGACACTTTTGTGCAGCAACAAACACTGCAAACTGAGTGAAAAGATAACCCATGGATTAGGAAAAAGATTTGCAAAGCATATGTCTGAAAAGAAGTTGATATCCATCATATATAAAGAACAGCTAGAACTAAACAACAAGAAACCCAAATCCTCCCATCAACAATGGTCATAAGACTCAAGTAGACGTGTCCCTAAAGAAGATATGGCAATGGCCAATAAGCATCTAAAATGATGTTCAAAATCACTCATCATAGGGAAGCGCAAATCAAACCAAGAATGTGACACCACACATTAGGATGGATATGATAAACAAACAGGCATTGGTGAGACTAGAGGGAAGTAGGAATGCTCGAATCTGATCGCAGGGAATGTAAAATCGTGAAGGAATGGGGAAAATAGTATGGCGTGTACTGGAAAAATTAGAAACAGAATGATCAGATGTTCCCGCAGTTTCATTTGTGGGTACCTACCAAAAAGATTTAGAAGCCAGGAGTGGAAGACAGATTTGTGTACACCGATAATCATAGCAGCATTATTCACAACAGCCAAAATGTGGAAGCAACCCAAGGGTTCGTGGACAGATGAATGAAAAACACCCTGCAGTTCCTTCATACAATGGAAGACTATTCAGCCTTAAAAAGGCAGGCACTTCTGGCAGGTGCGGTGGCTCACACCTGTAATCTCAGCGTCTTGGAAGACCGAGGTGGGCGGATGACCTGAGATCAGGAATTCAAGACCAGCCTGGCCATCTTGGTGAAACCCTGTCTCTACTGAAAATGAAAAAAATTAGGTGAGCGTGGTAGCTTGTGCCTACATTCCCAGCTACTCAAGAGGCTGAGGCACAAGAATCGCTTGAACCCGGGAAGCGGAGGTTGCAGTGAGCCCAGATTGTGCCACTGCACTCCAGCCTGTGAGACAGAGTGAGACTCCATGGAAACACAAAACAAAACATAGTCAAACGAACAAACAAAAAACAAACAAAAAAAAAACAGACAGGCACTTCCGACGCAGGCCGCAACATGGATGAATCTTGAAGACATTATCGTCAGTGAAATAAATAAATCCCAAAAGGATAAACAGGCCCAGGCTCAGTGGCTCACACCTGTAACCCCAGCCCTTTGGGAGGCTGAGCCAGGCGGATCACTTAAAGTCAGGAGTTCGAGACCAGCCTGGCCAATATGGTGAAAGCTCGTCTCTATTAAAAATACAAAAATTAGCTGGGCGTGGTAGCACACGCCTGTAATCCCAGCTTCTCGGGAGACTGAGACACAAGAATCGCTTGAACCCACTATGTGGAGGTTGCAGTCAGCCCAGACCACGCCACTGCACTCCATCCTGGGTGACAGGGAAAGACTCTGTCTCCAAAACAAAAAAATTAAACACGGTATGATTCCACTTATCTATCAAGTGTCTAGAGTAGTTAAATTCATAGCGTTACTAACTAGAAAGGTGGCCCCCAGGGGTGGGCGAGAGAGAGGAATGGAGAGCGGGTGAATGGGTGGAATTTCCATTTTGAAAGATAAAACTGTTCCGGAGACGATGGCGTTGATGGTTGCTAAACAATGTGAACGTACTTAATGTCGTTAAACTGTAAACTGAAAAAGAGTGGAAATTTTAAATGTTTATACTGGCCATTCTCTATGAACTAATATGTATTTATAATTTTTAATATTTATACGTGGTATATTTTCCCATAATAAAAGAAGGAAATTGAAGCAGTTAGATGTTTAAAAAGAAAAGAAAGAAGCGAAGAATACACACCAGCTTTCTCCTGATTAGAGGAAGAGCCCCAAAGCTTCTATAGACACTCACTTTTCTCTTCTTCTTGCAATATTATGAGGAAACCCTTAGAGGTTGGGCAACTTGGGTGACTTTGGCTAATAAGGAGCTCTGTGCCTTGAGCCACCCAGGCCACAGAATAGTAAATAGTCAGTCTGTGCCTCCAGCCCTGCAGTGTGAGATTCCAGTCCTGTGGGCTCCACTCCCGTCACCTTTATCAGGGGGCTGATGTCTCACCCTGTCTTCTTGCCAGCCTTGAGGACGGAGTCTGAGCCTCTATGGTGCACCACGCAGGGAGGACAGTGGACCTGTTCTCTGTGGTCATGGCCCAGCAGAGGGGAAGGGCAGTTCAGTGAATGTAGGCAAAAGAAAGTGAGATCAGACACTTACTGTGTCTATGTAGAAGGGAAAGACATAAGAGACTCCATTTTGAAAAAGACCTGTACTTTCAACAATTGCTTCGCTGAGATGTTGTTAATCTGTAGCTTTGCCCCAGTCACTTTGACCCAACCACTTTGACCCAACCTGAAGCTCACAAAGGCATGTGTTGTATGAAATCAAGGTTTAAGGGATCTAGGGCTGTGCAGGACGTGCCTCGTTAACAAGATGTTTCCAAGCAGTATACTTGGTAAAAGTCATCGCCATTCTCTAGTCTCAATAAACCAGGGGCAAGATACACTGTGGAAAGTCGCAGAGAACTCTGCCCTTGAAAGAGGCGTATTGTCCAAGGTTTCTCCCCATGTGATAGTCTGATAAGTGGCCTCATGGGATGAGAAAGCCCTGACCGTCCCCCAGCCTGACCCCCGTAAAGGGTCTGTGCTGAGGTGGATTAGTCAAAGAGGAAAGCCTCTTGCAGTTGAGAGAGAGGAAGGCCGCTCTCTCCTGCCTGCCGCTGGGAACTGAATGTCTTGATATAAAACCCGATTGTACATTTGTTCAATTCTGAGTTGGGAGAAAAACCGCCCTATGGTGAGAGGCGAGACATGTTTGCAGCAATGCTGCCTTGTTATTCTTTACTCCGCTGAGATGTTTGGGTGGAGAGAAACATAAATCTGGCTTACGCACACGTCCAGTCATAGTACCTTCCCGTGAACTTCATTATGACATAGATTCTATTGCTCACATCTTCGTTGCTGACCTTCTCCTTATTGTCACCCTGCCCTCCTACTACATTCCTTTTTGCTAAAATAATAAAAATAATAATCAATAAAAACTGAGGGAACTCAGAGGCCGGTGCCGGTGCAGGTCCTTGGTATGCTGAGCGCCAGTCCCCTGGGCTCACTGTTGTTTCTCTATACTTTGTCTCTGTGTCTTATTTCTTTTCTCAGTCTCTCGTCCCACATGACTAGAAATACCCACAGGTGTGGAGGGGCAGGCCACCCCTTCAAGTGAGTGCTGAGGGACGGTCGGGAGCCTTGTTTGTTTCCTCATCCTAAGGACAAACAGGGGAGTGCGGTGGGCAGATGGGAGGAGACCAATATGCAACTCTCTGCTCAGCAGACTGTGGAGTTCCTGTTCTTGGTTGTGCTGGGGGTCTCAGAAATCTTATTCAAAATTTTGCTTTCCTCCCCCACTGGTTGTCCTTTTCATAGACATCTCACCCATGATAGCAGGGAATCAGTCCCTCTAAACTATTCCCTAAGAACAACAAAGAGATTATGAAGGTGATGATGAGGATAAAGAGGATGACGACAGACACCATGACATCATGAACCCTTACTGAGGGCTTCCTAAAGGCCAGGCTCTGAGCTCTGTTCTCTATGCAGCTTGTTTCATTTCATCTGCGTAGTCTCCATGTTATTAGTGCACATTTCAGGATGATTTTACAGACTAGAAAAGGCGCAACGGATTTTCATGTAGCTTGTACCAGATCACGAAGTCAAAAAGGGCGAAGTCCAATTTGAACCAGGCAGTCTAAGTCCAGACACATGGCATTTGGCCAGTCCTCTCCCTGCATCCAACCTGTCCTCTCAAATCCTTGTCACTCAGGCCGATGGCCCTGCTCACTCTGCCCTTCCCTTTGGGGGTTCCTTGGAGACCACAGATAGACCAGTGGGTTCCACAATCACTGTGTCATGTATAGAAAGGGCAGCTGAGATCACATCAAGGATTCCAGAAAGAATTGGCACAGGATCATTCGGGACGCATCTCTCCCTTGCCCCTGTTCCTGGCTTTCTTTACAGCTCTTGACTTCCTCAAAGGAGTCATCAATTCGGAGTTTGGCTTCCATTCCTATTGAGGAAGCTGGAAAGTGTTTCAAAAATGCTCCTCCGTTGTGCCTGTGGCTAAGACCTCTGAGCTCTGCTTAAAACTTTATGAAGCTGGGCGCGGTGGCTCACTCCTGTAATCCCAGCCCTTTGGGAGGCTGAGGCAGGCGAATCACAAGGTCAGGAGTTCGAGACCAGCCTGGCCAACATGGTGAAACCCTGTCTTTACTAAAAATACAAAAAAAAAAAAAAAATTGCCAAGCATGGTGGCATATGCCTGTAATCCCAGCTACTGGGGAGGCTGAGGCAGGAGACTCCTTTGAAGCCGGAGACAGAGGTTGCAGTGAACCGAGATCACGTCACTGCACTCCAGCCTGGGCAACAGAGCAAGACTCTGTCTCAAATAAATAAATAAATGAAAATTACGAAAAAAAGTGCTTGGATGGGCTTGACAAACTTTAGCCATTAGCTCACGTACTACTTTGGAAGGGCATACCTTCAGTCACTTCACCCTTTAATCCCTTTGCTCAAGACTAAAGTTCTGAGAGGAAGTCTAATCGGCTGAGTTGTGTCCATGTGGGCAGTGCAGGAAAGGATGAAGCGGGAGGCGGCTCCAGGGACGTCTTTGGCTTCTATCATGGGGGGAGCAGGCGCCTGGATTATCCACCTTAACAAATCTGGACAAAGGAAAACGAGGTTCTCTGAGGAAGGAGACATAGAGCCCAAGGAGCTAACCAAGAGACAAATAGTCATCCTGTCTTGTCATTTTCTTTCACACTTGTGTGTACATTATCTTACACTTATCATTTTGTTTTCTTTCTCTCCTTTAATTGCACCTTGCTGCCAAAAGTTAAAATAAAATGAAAGTATTGAGATAGCTCAGTAACTGACTTTTGGTCAATTGCCTTTTCCTATAGTGAACAGCTGCCCAAACGATTGTCTCTGTCACTGCAAATTTGCAAGCGTTTGCATGATCACTCCCAATCCCCCAACACAGGGCTGTGTTACAGCACAATTTAGTTCAGTGTTTTGCTCTCTGCAACAGGGAGGTTCTCATCCATTACAGGTTGCAGTAAAAACAGGGGTACCATAAGCAACCACCTCTTTCCTCAACGATGTGATGAAAGCAAAAGCCAAGTAGCTCCATGTATCCAACTTAAAAATATAAAAATTACGCCCGTGGGCTGCAGTTGGACCTATGGCGGCGGCAGCTGTCACTGGGCCTAGCCCAGGATGTGGACCTGGGGACTCCCCAGAAGGGCAGGAGCGGGAGGCTCACGGAGCGTCGGCGGAAGGCACACAGGATGCTAAAGCTTTACAAAGGCCTCTCGGAAGGGGAGGCGTTGGGACTCCCTGCGGGGCCCGACCCCCTGGACCCCACTGATCTGAACGGGGCGCACTTCGACCCGGAAGTTTACCTGGACAAGCTGCCTAGAGAGTGCCCTCTGGCCCAGCTGATCGACAGTGAGACGGACATGGTGCAGCAGATCCGGGCTCTAGACAGCGACATGCAAACCCTGGTCTATGAGAACTACGATAAGTTCATCCCAGCCACCGAAATTGACAAACAGCATAAAACTGTATGAGGAATTGCAGGAAACCCAGAATTTCCCATATAACCTTGTAAAAGAAGAACAAAGTTGGAAGACTCACAAAAAAATGTATATACATATATATATATATACATATATATATATAAAGTTGTATTTTCGTTCTGTTGTAAATGTTTAGTAATTTCTATTGTGATTTTTCATTTAACTCATGAAAGGATATTTTTAATTTTCCAAATGTGTGCTTGTGTTTAGCTATCTTCTTGCTGTTGACTTCTAATTTTGTTGCATTATGGTCAGGAAAATGTGGTCTGGACAATGTCAATCGTATAGTGGATCTTGTTGAGACTTCTTTATGGCCTAATATGTGGCCAGTTTTTTTTTTTTCTTTGCAAATTTGCCACGTGGTTAAAAGGAATGTGGATTATTTGTTTTTTTTAGGAGAGTTTTTATTTTTAAATAGATAAGGTTCTCAGTGTAATTGAAATCTAGCTTCAATTAACAATATGCTAGATCTCTCAAACCTTAGGATGTTAGTCAGTGTAACAGTAGACTGCTGCTGAGATGAATAAACCCTGAATTCTCAGTGGGTTGGCACCCATAACATAGTCTGGTGTAGGGCAGGGGTTCTCCTTGGGGGCCCTTGTCCAACAGTGATTCAGAGATTCTGGAGGTTTCCATCTTTTAATTCTGCCATCTCAGAGTTTTTCACTTGTAGCCATATGGATAGGGAGAGAGGGAATATAGCTCACACTTGCCTTTGATAACCTTGGCCTGAAGGGATTTCTTACATTCCTATTGGTGGAAATGCAGTCACATGGTTCCAAACTAACTGCAAGTGAGGCTGGGAAACGTAGTCCTTCTGCATGTCCAGGAAGAGGAATGGTGTGAACATAGCATTGTCTTTGACACACTAAGCATGTGCTGAAGAGTTCTTACTCTTATAGGAGGTGTGTCTGTCCTGTGTAACTTTCTCAGTTTTTGCTTAGATAGTTTCAGGCAATGTTGTTTGGTGCATTCAGCTTGATGATTATTATGTCCTCTTGGCAAAGTAGTCAAGATTCCCATCAGTTTGAATGAAAGTGTTTTACAGATAGGTCAGGAAATGTTAATACTTTAAAAGGCCCTTCTATTCCTCCACTCTACAGATAAGAAGAACAGAGTCCTAGAGAGAGGAGGTCATGGGTCTCACTCATGAGTGGCAGAATTGAAACCAACATGGCAGTAACTTTGCCTTTCCCCCATCATGTTCTCCCTCTATCTTCACTCTGCTGATTTCTTCACTTGCTCCATACAGACCTCCCAGTGCCAAGTGTATAAGTGTGTCCAGAATTGGTGGGTTCTTGGTCTCACTGACTTCAAGAATGAAGCCGCGGACCCTCCTGGTGAGTGTTACAGTTCTTAAAAGTGGTGTGTCTGGAGTTTGTTCCTTCTGATGTTCAGATGTGTTTGAAGCTTCTTCCTTCTGGTGGGGTTCGTGGTCTCGCTGGCTCAGGAGTGAAGCTGCAGACCTTCACGGTGAGTGTTACAGCTCTTAAGGCTGCAGGTCTGGAGTTGTTCATTTCTCCCAGTGGGTTCATGGTCTCGCTGGCTTCAGGAGTGAAGCTGCAGACCTTCTCAGTGAGTGTTACAGCTCATAAAGGCAGTGTGGACCCAAACAGTGAGCAGCAACAAGATTTATTGCAAAGAGCAAAAGAACAAAGCTTCCACAGTGTGGAAGGGGACCCCAGTGGGTTGCCACTGCTGGCTCGGGCAGCCTGCTTTTATTTTCTTACCTGGCCCCACCCACATCCTGCTGATTGGTCCATTTTACAGAGAGCCTGAGTGGTCTGTTTTGACAGGGCACTGATTGGTGCGTTTACAATCCCTGAGCTAGACACAAAGGCTCCCCACATCCCCACTAGATTAGCTAGATACAGAGTGTCCACACAAAGGTTCTCCAAGTCCCCACCATAGTAGCTAGATACAGAGTGTCGATTGGTACATTCACAAACCCTGAGCTAGACACAGGGTGCTGAATAGTGTGTTTACAAACCTTGAGCTACATACATAGTGCCGACTGGTGTATTTACAATCCCTTAGCTAGACATAAAGGTTCTAGAAGTCCCCTCCAGACTCAGGAACCCAGTTGGCTTCACCCAGTGGATCCCGCACAGGAGCTGCAAGTGGAGCTGCCTGCCAGTCCCTCTCCGTGCGCCCACACTCCTCAGCCCTTGGGTGGTCGATGGGACTAGGTGCCGTGGAGCAGGGGGCGGTGCTTGTCGGAGAGGCTCGGGCCACGCAGGAGCCCATGGAGTGGGGAGGCTAAGGAATGGTGGGCTGCAGGTCCGGAGCCCTGCCCCACAGAGAGGCAGCTAAGGCCCGGCGAGAAGTCGAGCACAGCAACTGCTGGCCCAGGTGTTAAGCCCTTCACTGCCCGGACCAGCAAGGCCGGCTGGCAGCTCCTAGTGCGGGGCCACCAAGCCCACGCCCACCCAGAACTCCAGCCGGCAGGCAAGCAGCATGCGTAGCCCTGGTTTCAGCTCATGCCTCTCCCTCCACACCTCCCTGCAAGCTGAGGGAGCCAGCTCTGACCTTGGCCAGCCCAGAAAGGGGGTCCCACCATGCAGCTGCGTGCTGAAGGGCTCCTCAAGTGCCTCCAAAGTGGGAGCCCAGGCAAAGGAGGTGCCGAGAGCGAGCGAGGGCTGTGAGAGCTGCCAGCATGCTGTCACCTCTCATAAGGAGTGATTAATCTGAGCTTCTCCAGAAAGTCCATTCCTGGTAGGCACTGGGAATAAGAAATCTCAGAGTATAAAAAACATCAAGTGGTAGCACTTTTGTGAATGGCTCTCAAATTAGATCCTTTACCTTTTTTTTCATGAAGCACAGTTGCACAAATCACGCTTAGCCTGAGATGAAACACATATTAGAGAAAGGTTCTCTCTATAACATTACGTGTTACTCAAATGAGCATTAAAAAGAGGAGACGGGACATGCTCTCTCTAGCTATTATTACCTCCACTATACAGTTGACATACACAAGCTCACTATTGCATTATGTTTTATTCAACAAAATAACTTTAATGTTGAAGCTTAAATTGAATTCGTTAAAACATCTTTGTCTCCAGCATAATGTGCCTCAAGTGTCTTCTTGGTGCCTGAATTTTCTCCAGAATTATAGTGCTGAAGCTATGGAAATGGTGAAATTATATGCAATCTGCAAAACAATGTGGCTATAACGTGGTAATTGGCCTTCCACATAATTAAAGGAACATTTCCTCATCAGAGCTGTTCCATCAGAGACCCAAAGGCTATCGTTGTACAAATCACCCACTTAGGAAAACCTTTATTCCCAGTAGCCTATAAAAATCTGGTTATGCAAACAGATTTGCTTACTCAGTAACATTAATGGCTTCTCATATTTAAAAAGTCATCAATGTGATTGACCTATAATCTGTTTCCTCTGTGACCAAGTGTCATTTTTATTTTGACAGTTAGGAGCCTTTTGACTCTTTCACAGCTGGCATGAAGGCACAGGGAGGGAAATCTCAAAAACCAACAACCTGTGTATTCCCAGCCTATTAATCAATAGAATATCACTTCAACTGGATTAGGGTCTTTTACCTGGAAGAAAGGCTCTTATGGACATTGGAATTGGATTTTTACACTTGATATGACACCTCCTTGAGTCAGATCAGATACGTGTTTGATAGACTCTTGCCGAAAAATTGCTCCAGGGTCTGTGCAGCAGCTAAAACCTTTTTGTTGTTGTTGTTGTTGTTTTAAAAGCAGCATTAAATGTTTTCATGAAGACCTTCCCAGAAGTGATTTTATTGGGAACATGGTCTTTAGCTCTGGTCCTGAATAACTCACACTGAGGAAACCTCTAACAAGTGTTGTATTGGAAGATGTCTGATGGATGGTTGGTTTTAATAACAAATCTCTTCCCTTTTTCTGTCCCCTGTGTTCTATTCTCCTTTCTCTACACATTATTCTGGGAGGATTCACTTATTCCCAACGTCGTTTCCTCTTTATTTCAATTCCAGAGCTCTCTGTATAACTCCAGGCTGATGAATCCAACTGCCCAGTTGTTATCTCCACTTGGCTGTCTGTCTTGCATTGACCTCATCTTACCTTTCCTCTCCTGATTTCCTCTTCTGCCTGGGGTCACCACGTCAGATTCACACCACCATCCACCCAGCTTCCAAAACACCTGGGCCTCCTCCTTCATTCCTCCCTCTGTCTCAGTGAAGTTAGTCTACTGTCTCCTCTCCATCCTCACTGCCACAGCCTTGGTCCAGCCAACCATCTTGTCTCACTTGGTGTATTGCAACATCCTACCTGATCTACTCACCTCCCACTCTCCTCCAGCCAGACTGCTCTTTTTATAGCACAAAGTGGATCATTACTCCCCTGCCTAAAAACATCTACTGTCTCCCTTTGTCTACAGGATAAACATGACAAAGAGCCTTTAAGATTTGGCTCCAACTTACCTCTACATTAGTCACTTTTTACAATTATATGAACATCTCTCAGCTTCTCACCCTCTCATGTCTCGACTTTTGCACATGCTCTTCCCTCTGCTGGGAATGATCTTCCACACCTCTCCTATCAACCTGGCTAATTCCTACCATATTCTAGTCTTCAACTGAGGAGTCCTGTGGTGGAGAAGGATTTCTGACCACCTGATAGAGATTGCATGCCCACCTATCTCCTGGCTTTTTTTTTTTTTTGACGGAGTCTCGCTCTGGCAATCCAGGCTGGAGTGCAGTGGCGCGATCTTGGCTCACTGCAATCTCCGCCTCCCGGGTTCAAGCAATTCTCCCACCTCAGCCTTCTGAGTATCTGGAATTACAGGTGCCCACCACCACAACCGGCTAATGTTTTTGTATTTTTAGTAAAGACAGAATTTCACCATGTTGGCCAGGCTGTTTTCGAACTCCTGGCCTCAAGTGATCCACCCACCTTGGCCTCCCAAAGTGCTGGGATTACAGGCATGAACAACTGCACCTGGCCGATTGGGTGCCCCTTCTTTGTGCTCCCATTGCCCCAGGCATACTGTCACCATAACTCTTACCATTCTGAGTTGAAAATGATTTTTTTTTTTTGCTTTTTATTTCTCTCATTAAATGCAAAGCTCATTGAAAAGAGGATGGTGGTTGTTCACTGTTGTACTCCTAACCTTTGACTCAGTGTCCTGAGGTCGGCTCTAGAGCTGTGCACACATGTTCAGACATTGGAGCCAATCTTGTCTAGCGCCTCTTTTGAGGTGGCTTGGAGAAAAGTCAGTAGGTACTTCTCCAAGGATGAAACAGAAGTTTCACCTAAATCAGGAGTTCTTCAACTTCAGCCTGCATTACAATCCTCTGAGAGCTTGTTAAAAATACTGTCTCCTAGAGCCCATTCTTCAAGAGTCAGTGAGTTGCTTCATCATCAAGATATATACAGAATCCAGCCGGTCTTCAGCGCCAGCCTGGTCTGAGCCACTGTGGACTCCCACCTGCAGAATCTCACTGCTGGTCTCCTTTCTTCTGCTCTTACCTTCTTATCATCCATTCAAGTAGCCAGGGTGATCCTTTTTAAAAATTTTTTTAAAATTTTTTGAGATGAAGTCTCACTCTATTGCCCAGGCTGGAGTGCAGTGGTGCTATCTTGGTTCACTGCAGCCTCTACCTCCTGGGCTCAAGCCATCCTCCCACCTCAGCCTCCTGGGTAGATGGGACCACAGGCATACACCACCACACCTGGCTGATTTTTGTATTTTTTGTAAAGACAGGGTCTTGCTATGTTGCCCAGGCTAGTCTTGAACTTCTGTGTGCGCCCACCTCAGCCTCCTGCATTTTTAGGAAGCCCCTCTTGTAGGGATTTTGATGCAGAGGCCTGGGTGTCTCATATCTCCTCCCATCTCTTTCTATGTTTCTATCTCTGTCTCTGTCTCGGTCTACCTCTCTCTCTTTCTCTTTGCCTTATAGCTGCCCTGGGGACTAGACTCTGCCTTAGGCATCCCTCTGACTCCTGTTTGTTTTTACACTGAGGCTGCTTTAAGTCGCACCTTGATCTGATGCCTTGGGCTTCTGTTCCTATTGCTTGCTTTTGTTGGAAGGGCCGTGCAGCTTCTTGACAAATTGCAAAGGTGCCCACGAGTTTCCAAGTCCTCAAAAACAAAACCAGATGACAAACAAGGATGCAGCCCACAGCTGGGGAGACAGATTTCATGTCCACACAGAGGTTCAAAGATGCTGAACTGAAATCCACCCCGAAACCTGTTTTCTCTCTCATTTAAGTTCAATGTCAGCTGGGGGATTGCAGGGCAGGGCTGGTGACCATTCACAGGGCAAAGATGCTTTGAAATGTCAACTGAGAATGGTGTGGTGGTTGACAGATGGCACGTCAGGGCATAGATTAACATGGAAAGAGAAACTCACCCCTTAGGGGGAGAGTGTGAGGCTGGCAGCCACACAGAGGGCTTTTCCTGCGAGCTCTCGCACAGATGCAAACAGCCAGGAGGTTTTGCTTTCTGAGCCTGAGTGGAAGCATGTTCCTCCCTGAACATTGCCGCTCAGCAGCAAATGTTTATTCCTGTTGTATTGATTAAAAGTGCTTACCAGGCCGGGCGCGGTGGCTCAAGCTTGTAATCCCAGCACTTTGGGAGGCCAAGGCGGGCAGATCACAAAGTCAGGAAATTGAGACCATCCTGGCTAACACGGTGAAACCCCGTCTCTACTAAAAATACAAAAAATTAGCCGGGCATGGTGGCGGGCGCTTGTAGTCCCAGCTACTTGGGAGGCTGAGGCAGGAGAACGGCATGAACCTGGGAGGCAGAGCTTGCAGTGAGCCAAGATTGCGCCACTGCACTCCAGCCTGGATGACAGAGCAAGACTCCGTCTCGAGCAAGACTCCGTCTCAAAAAAAAAAAAAAATAATAAAGAATATGCTTACTGAAAGGGTTTGAGGGGAGTGGTGACAGTGTGAGTTATGGCTCTGCCGGCTGCCAGTGGAGCCAGCCGCTCTGCACAGCTGTGCAAGGGTGTTTTGAAAAGTGGTTCAGCCAGCCAGGAGTGACTGGGTGTAAGTGTTGCTGCCACAACATCTTGTAGCCTGATTGGGGCCGTATTTGCAGAACCCCTAAACCATTACACTTGTTCAGGCTTAAAAATAAGCTTGCTTTTTTGTTTGTTTGTTTTGGTTTGTTTTATGAGACGGAGTCTCGTTCTGTTGCCGGGTTGGAATGCAGTGGCATGATCTCGGCCCACTGCAACCTCTGCCTCCTGGGTTCAAGTGATTCTCCTGCCTCAGGCTCCCGAGTAGCTGGACTACAGGCGTGTGCCATCATGGCCCGCTCATTTTTGAATTTTTAGTAGACACGGGGCTTCACCATGTTGGCCAGGATGGTCCGATCTCTTGACCTCGTGATCTGCCCACCTCGGCCTCCCAAAGTCCTGGGATTACAGGTGTGAGTCACCGTGCCTGGCCAAACATAAACTTACTTTCTTACCTCTTCTGCTGAACTCTATTTGCTTCTTTTCCCAAACGTCTTTATCCAAAAGAGCTTTTAGAAACAAAGTTACCCAATGCCCTTCCCTAGTCTGTCCTTGCAACTGGCTCTCAGCAGGGCGTAGGAGGAAATCCTTGACAGAACCAATTTACGTGACTGTTTGGAGGACTCTGGCTAGCCCCAGGAGATGTTTGCATTTTTAAATTGGTTACTAGTGTCAGAATGTTTCATGAGTAAGAGCACAGCCTCCATGTTGGATGCCCTGAATTTTAATCTCAGCAAGGCCACTTTGTATATAACCAGAGGATGGATTTGGGGACCCAATGGATCTACCATGACATGAAGTTGCACCAACATTCACCGGACCTCCAAAATGCCTATTCTGACTGGTAGACCCTAGTCTTGCCCTAGTGCCAGTTCAGAGCCTGTGTCCAGTGATCCTGCACAGATCTCATTAGTTCCTTTTCCCCTGTTCAGTCATCCTGGTAAAAGGCTGTGTATTCCTTCGGGGGCAGGCTGGGAGAAAAATTGACAGTATAAATTTTTGGCAGTGGAGTAGAGTCCTTTCTGGAGGGGACCTGGCTTCCCATTTCAGACAAGGGACTCCGGGTCTGTGAACTGGCTTATGTCTGGGAATTGACTGGGGACTGTGACTCTGTTTTTATGATTCAGATTAGACTTCTACTCACCTGACCTAGAAATCTTCTGCAAACACAGATCAAGTAAAAATGTGGCAGGCTTCTGACCTATTTCACTTCTAGGAATGCCACGATCAGCTGGCACCATAGGTCTCTGCGAGTCAGGCTATTCTGGTTGCAGCTTTGCCTCTGCTGTCTTTTATGGTAACTGTGTCCACCTTGCCTTTGGGGATTGAGTGCTGCGATCACTTGGCCCCGGCCCCTGTAGTGTGCCTATGTCACTTACCCTCTTTATACTTCAGTCTCCTCCTCTGTAAAATGGACATCCTAATAGCACCCACCCCCAGGGCTGTTGTGAGGTATAGATGGATTAGCATATGGAAAGTAATAGAAGAGGGTCTCAAAGCCCATGTGTCGTTATCAGAATTATTTCATGACAGGGGAGAGCTGGAGGAGAGAGGAAGGTGCTGAGCAGACCCATGTGCTCTCCCACCAGTGTTTCCTGAGCACCTACTATGTGCTGCCCACTGTGAGAGCTGTTAGGGTTGAAATAGGGAGCACAGCAGGGTAGGGTCTGCCATCAGGAGCTTAGTGGAGAGACCATTGTGCAACATGGTTCCAGCGCTTGGGGTGGAGAAGCTCAGGGAGTTCAGGGGCCTAGGATCCCGGGCAGAATCATGGAAAGGACACAGCCTCCCCAGCCTCTCCTGCCTCCACTGCCTCCCTGGCCTCCTCTGCTTCCCTGGCCTCTCCTGCCTTCCTGGCTTCCCCTTCCTCCCCGGCCTCCCCAGTCTCCCCTGTCTCTCCTGCTTTTGAGGTAGGCCAGGAGCTGCTGGTGCTCACTTAGCCTGTCCTGGACTCTTGGTGTAGCACCTCGATGTCCAGAAAATACCCCCGGGTTCAGCTGATCACACAGCCAAAGAAGGAGCTCCACACTGACACTAAGAGTGCATCCTGGGCTCATTCATCAGGTCATGCCTCCAAAATATTTCTCCACATCTCCTCTCTTTGCCCACCTGCATTATCTCTGTGCCTGAGCCCTGGCTGGGGGCCTGCAAGGATCCCCTATCTCCTCTGTCCCTGCACGGCTGGGTCCCAGGCAATCTGTCTGCCCACCACACCTCTCTCCCCTCGCCCTCCATGCTCCAGCCCCACAGTCCTCTTTCTGCTTCTTTCCCAGCCTCTGGGCTTTTGCACACGCTGTTCCCTCTGCCCAAACATGATCCACTGGGCTGAGAACAACTCTCTGAGACGTCTCTCAGCTGTTGCTTCCTTTGGAACAGCCGCTGCTGCTGTCCCTCTCCCAGCTCCAAGACCTGCTGAGCCTCCTGTCTTTTTCAGTTCCCATGCCCCCAGCACTTCTCCTTGGCCTCCCTTTGCCCAATTGACAATGTCCGTTCTCAATGCCTTCTCACCCAGGGCTGAGCCCTACTGTGTGAAGGCCATGCCTGTCATGTTCACCAAAATATCCCCTCCCCCATCACCACGCGTGGGCCACAGAGATGCTCAAAAAAGATCTGTTGGTAGGCAACGCGAAGGTGCATTCATGTCATCTTGCAGGAGGAATTCTCCACGAGTTTTGAGCAGCCTCGGTTTTCCCACCACCTCCAAATCATGCAAGACACAGGGTAAGAGCAAAGACAAGGTGGCTGTGGCCGATGTCCACCCTCTCGGGGCGTCCCTTCTCTTCTCTCCTCCTTGGGCAGGGAGACCATCGGGGTGCAACCTGGCTGGGGCGGGGAGGAGGTGCAGAGCCTGGCCGGAGCTGGCCTGGCCAAGAGCAGGGGACAGCGACCGCCTAGGCCAGGGCAGGTGAGCGCGGCGCAGGCCCCGGCCCGGCGTGTCCGCGGTGCGTGCGAGCGGCCAGCAGAGGGCGCTAGAGAGCCAGGAGCGGCCCGCGGAGGAGCCCGCGCCGGCCCCGATGCCCAGCTCCGAGCCGCGCGGACCCACCGAGCCCGCGCTCAGACGCCCCAGCTCCGCCGAGAGGCCGCTCGCGCCGGGTCCTTCCTCTTCCCCAAGTGCAGGCAGAGCCCCCGGAGCCATGGCCAGCCCTTCCGGCAGCTCCGAAGCCACTGGCAAGCCCCGAGGCAAGGATGGCCGGCCCAGGAGGGAGGAGGACGACGTCCCTCCCGAGGAGAAGAGGCTGCGGCTGGTTGCTGGAGCGGGGAAGCGCACAGCCCGAGGACTGCGAGGACGGGGAGGACGCTCCGCGGCCAGGCAGGGAGGAGACCTGCACCCAGACAGGTGGCGACGGCAGAGGAGTAAGTGACGCGGGCGCGGGGGTCCGGGGGTGCCGGGGGCGCGGGGGTGCCGGGGACGCGGGGTAGGGACGGCGGGAGGCTCCGTGGCCGGCCCCGGGTTGAAGTTGGTAACTGAGCGGCAACTCCGGCGGGCGCGGAGTGACAGCTCGTGACGGCCTCCGAGACGCCAGCTGCCCCTTCTCGGCTGTGTGGCTTAGACTTCCTGATTCTCCCACGACGTCCCTGGACTAGAGACCCACTGGACTCTGCGGCTAGTCAAAAGAGGAGGGGGAGCCCCGCGTCCTGGGGGCCCTCAGCAGGGGAAGGGGCGGGGGTTGCCCCGGGCATCCTGTCTGGGGCATCTGTCTGGGACTCTGCCGGTGCCTCTCACCTGGCGAGGGGCTTGTGGTGGGGGCAGGGGGGAAGTACCTGGAGCCAGGCTTGGCCAAGCCCTGCTCTGCTGGGCTGCGGGCTGGCGGCGCTCACCCAGCTCCTCACCTATCCCGCATCTTCCTGTTTTTCTTCCCTTTCTGGTTGGGCAGCGAGAGTTGAGAGGAGGCAGATGGCTTCCATCCCAGAAATCGCTCTCCTCTTTCCATCCCTACAGAGAGGGACAGAGAGGGAAAGTTCCTTGCATCCCCCGGGGCGCTGTCCCTGTGAGCTCCCGGTGTCCTGCACACGTGGAACCCTGAGTCACCGGGCCTGTGTGTGTGCGATGGGGCTCCGTGGCCAGCCTGGCCTCCTGGGGTTCACTTTCTGCTTTCCTACCCCAACTCTTCCTGTGTGGCTTTGCTGGCCTTCCACTGGGGAGGCACGTGGGTTTGGAGGGCAGATGAGGGCCCGCTGAGGAGCTGTACCCCTCAGTGAGGGCCGCCACCTTGATGGTTTTTGATGGATAATGGGGTTGACCTCTTTGCTCCTTCCACATGTTTTTATGTTTGACCATTTGCTCAGCTGAGCGTGTCTTAATCATTTGTTTCGTGGTGAATGAGCCCCACATGGGAGAGAGGGCGCCTTCATTCTGAACCCATTTAGGCAGCACGGGCAGCCCTCCTCGCCGTGGGCTGCATCAGAGCCCCCACTGCCCAGTCTTGGGGTTGCTCCTGGATGCTGTCTGGGAGGCTTGTTCATGGTGACATCCTCATCTCCCCGTGCACTTTACTGCATTCAGAGCTTGGGTCACCTGGACACTGAACTCAGATGAATTTTCTCTGAGATCCCGGGAGAAGGAGGACAGTTCTCTGGAAGGTTTTCCAGGGCCGATCACGGAAAGGATGAGAAGGGAAAGGTCCTGGTCGGGGACACAATGACGGTGGCAGTGTAACGCCGGGAAACTTGATTGCGTGAGGTCCCTCTCACTCCCTCTACCTCCCTCTTTTACGTAGACTCTGCCAAAGACCAGGATACCAGAATGCAATGGAGTGACCAAGTGTAGTGGGACCTTGGGAACGTGAGTCTGGAGCCAGGTGGCTGGGGTTTGCATCCTGGTTCTGCCCCTCCTTAGCTGGCTGACATGGCACAAGCCACTTACCCTCTCTGAGCCTTACTGTCTTCAGTGGCAAATGGATCGGTCAACAGGCCCCATTGCCTGGGGTTGTTACTGCTGAGATTAAGGGAAGCTCGTCCATAGAAGCACTTAGCATTGTGCCTGGCACATAGTGTATGGTGGATAAATGGGAATTAGGACTGAAACTCATGCCTTGGTGTGTTTTTGCAGTGATGTTTTGTTCTGGGGTGCATCACAAGGTTCTTGGCCGGGCGTGGTGGCTCAAGCTAATAATCCCAGCACTTTGAAAGGCCGAAGGGGGAGGATTGCTTGAGCCCAGGAGTTTAAGACCAGCCTGGGCAACGTGGTGAAGCCTCATATCTACCAAAAAAAAAAAAAAAAAAAAAGCCAGGTATGGTGGTGCGTGCATGTAGTCCCAAGTACTTGGGAAGCTGAGGTGGGAGGATTGCTAGAGCCTGGAAGGTCTGGCTGCAGTGGGCTGTGATCATGCCACTGCACTCCAGCCTAGGTGACAAAGTGAGACCCTGTTTCAAGGAAAAGAGAGAGAGAGAGACAGACCCACAAGTGTCTTAAGCCAGAATCTCCATGTTAAAATGCTTTCTGGAGGCTAGAAGGATGATATATTGATAATGAAATATTTAAAAGGCAGAAACCCCACTGAATTTCTTGGTCCACAGAGGGAAATGGGAATCGCATGACCTGAAGGATGATGCAGGAACTGAACAGAAACCATCCTTGTTTCCTGAATCTGAATATGGCACCCTCTTTTCACGGTGTCTGTATCTGCTCAGTCTGGCGGCCCCTCGAAAAGAGGGAATCTTGATTTTCAAACTTAAAATTTGGCCCAAAACCCACTGCTGCCCACAATGCCCGCCAGACACATTCCTCTTCCCTTTTAGTTTCTATGGGAATACTCTCTTTGAAGAACCCATGAAGCAGTGTCAGGCTGGTGTGAGGATCAGCAGCAATTTCTTTGAGGAGGAGAGCCCGTTTCTTCACTCACAGGCCATGTCTGAGTGGATCAAGAAGAACAGAGTGCACTTTTATGAGATTTTGTCTGCGTAGACCATTAGCTTGGTAAAAATGTCAAAACCATCCTCGTTCTTTAATAGCAGATTATTTTGGACTTTTCTCTGCAAGAAGCAGCATGGGCATTCAGATGTTTTTAAGGATAAAATGTTCTTTCTCATCACCAGGCCTGGTGCTCTGGATGGCTGAGGTTTTAATGTGACTGGATGTCCCTTGGAGTGGCTCCCAGGCTGTGCTTCTGTGGTTGGGTGGCAAGGGGTTGCTTTATTTGGTGGTGGCTAGAGGATGTTTTAGCAGGTTAATCGGGCCCCCAGGAGCCCCTGAGTGGCAAGTCCTGCTGCAGGGCATGTGTTTATGGTGGGGAGGTGGGGGGGGGGGTGGAGGGTGGAGCGTGGGGGGCGTTGATTTCCTGCCAATATCAGAGGTTTCACAGGCTTCTTGTGTATCCACAAACACCCACCCCATTGAGAAGGCCTAGAAAACCTGGCCCTCCCCAAACCTTTATTGACCGCTTGTGAATGATCCCAGGGTGTGTCTGACCCACAGCTCCTCCTGGAGGGAAAGAAAAGTCTCTCCTTAGGTATTTGGTTATCAACCTCAACCACTTGCTGAGCCTTCCTCAAGACCAGGCACCTCGGCAGAGATTTCAGGGTTGTCAGGCGGAACCAAGCATTCAAGGGTAATAACTCGTTGGGGTCCCTGAAATCCCTGATGAACACACCAGGTGAAAGCATCCAGGGTTGAAACCAGATGAGGAATGTTATTGTCAGCCTGGGGCTCCTGCAGAGGTGCATCCGTGTTGCAGGTATTTTCCTTCTTGCTGAGGAGAAACCTGGGTGTCTCAGCTTTGGCACAGTCACAACATTTGGGGTGAGACCATTCGTGGTGCTGGTGGTGGGGCCGTCCTGTGTACTGTAGGATGGTTAGCAGCATCTCTGGTCTCCATCCTCTAGGTGCCACTCTACCCTCCCAGCTATGGCTACCCCAGATGTCTCCAGACGGTTTCAAATATCATGGAGCAAGGGAGTGGTATGTGAGCAAAACCACCCCAGTTGAGAGCCATTGGTCTACACTTGTGGAAATGTTTGAGGGTGAGAGTGTCGAGCTTGGGTCTCTGCTGTACCCTTTATGAGCAATGCGGTCTTGGAAAATTAATACTACTCCAGGGGCCTCAGTTTTCTCATCTATAAAATGGAGATAAATGAGATACACTTTCATAGGAAGGTTATATGGGATTTACTGAGATAATAAGACAGTACATGGAAAATGCTGGGCATAGCATTTATTTATTTTTATGTTTTTTAAAGATGGAGTCTTACTCTGTTGCCCAGGCTGGAGTGCAGTGGCATGATCTCTGCTCACTGCAACCTCCACTTCCTGGGCTCAAGTGATTCTCCTGCCTCAGCCTCCCGAGTAGGTGGGATTACAGGTGCCCACCACCACACCTGGCTAATTTTTGTATTTTTAGTAGAGATGGGGTTTCACCATGTTGGCCAGGCTGGTCTCAAACTCCTGACCTAAGGTAATCCGCCTGCCTCGGCCTCCCAAGGTGCTGAGATCACAGGTGTGAGCCACCACGCTGGGCTGGGCATAGCATTGTAACACAGACAAAGCACAAAATACTTGGGCAATATCTTTTTACGTTTGGTTTGTCTAGACTCCATCCTCCATCCCCTCATGCACTGGTGCGGTGCAGACCAGAATATCACCCACCTAGACTGCAGAGTGGATTTGGGTTGCATCTAGGCTTTCTGCACAAGACTTGCCTGTTCCCCACCACATCCCCCTGGTTCTCAGGGTCCAGGATTCCAGGAAGCAGGGATGTGGGCAGGCAGGGTAGGTTGCCCACCCAGTTCACTCCCACGCTGGGGATCTGCAGAGCTGGCTGTCCGAGACAGGGTGTTTGGACCAACATCTGGGTTTCTGGATTTCCATTTGAGCACAGCTGGACTACACAGGCTGAAGCTCTCTCTGCCGAGATATAGATATTTCCCTGGTGACGATCTTTCAAGCTGACATGAAGACAGGGCCACCCACAGGAACGTCGTGTGTCTGCCATGGCGCTCTTGTAATTTGTGAGGCAGGCTCCTGAGGAATGCAGTGCATAAGTGGGAAATGGTGGGAAGTTCTCGGATCCCCCCCGGCCGAAAGTGCTGCCTGTGCAGGTTGGTGGATGGTCCTTTGAGCAGGAAGAAGACATGAAGCACATTCCTGTTAGCTACGACAGAGAGGGGCAGGGTACACACTGGACATTTCAAGCCCCTCCAGAGAAGCAAGTCTTACTGTGCTGGGAGTACTTGTGGAGTGCGGGCTGTGTTGCCCTGGGCTTTAATTATTTCAGGAACATTTAACCGCAGGGTTGGCAGGCCGGATCTTGATATGTGTTTCTCAGTTGGAAAGACTTTGGACCATAGGGAAATGTCTTCTCAATTCTTTTAATTTCATTAAGGTTGTCATTTTTCTTCTTGTGGCCTCTGGAATGTGACACAGAACTCAAAGGACAGGAAGGAGATGAGTTGGAGGCTGGGACAGGGGTCCCTGCCAGGGATGCTGGTGACTCACATGACGGTGTTGATGTGTGGAGTCCGGTGCCTGGTTTGGGGAATGTTCGTGGGATATGTTCCAAAGGACTGACGGACCAATCAGGTACTGGAGGTGAATGGTCAAGTCTGATCTCAGGGCTGACAGTGTCAGGCAAGGACAGGAAGTTGACGTTGGACTCATTGGCTGAGGTTGCTTGGGACCCAGGGGGCAACGTGTGCCAGGACAGATGGGTCTGGAGCTAGGAAGGCAGGTTTGGGCTGGAGACTCGGGCTTGGGAGGCATCCCAGGTAGACAGTGGTTGAGGCTGTGGAAATGACCGTGATTGCCTGGGATGAGAGTGGAGACGGACAAGATGGGGGTTTTGCTCTAAGCCTGGGGAACCCACTTCCCAGGTTCAAGGGATTCTCCTGCCTCAGCCTCCCAAGTAGCTGGGAATGCAGGGGCGCGCCACCATGCCCGACTAACTTTTGTATTTTTAGTGGAGATGAGGTTTGGCCAGGCTGCTTTCAAACTCCTGACCTCAAGTGATCGGCCCACCTTGGCCTCCCAAAGTGCTGGGATTACAGGCATGAGCCACCATGCCTGACTATTTTTAAATATTAATTTTTATGAAATATTTTCAAACACATTTTACTGTACATTGGAAAAGTCAATCATGATTTGAAAACTTTATCAAAATCCAATCAAATGTCAATTAACCATTTAATTGTGGATGACTAAGGAGACTATTTTGACCAAAACATGTTAGAACAATTACCACTTATAGAAATAATCTGTTTTAATGTTTTAGTTGAATTAAACAATCTTTTATATTCTGTCCAGGCGCAGTGGCTCACACCTGTAATCCCAGCACTTTGGCAGGTCGAGGCTGGTGGATCACCTAAGGTCAGGAGTTCGAGACCAGCCTGGACAACATGGCGGAACTATCTCTACTGAAAATACAGAAATTAGCCAGGTGTGATGGCACACACCTGTAATCCCATCTGCTTGGGAGGCTGAGGCAGGAGAATCATTTGAACCTGAGAGACAGAGGTTGCAGTCAGCCGAGATCGCACCACTGCACTTCAGCCAGCCTGGGTGACAGAGCGAGACTCTATTTCAAAAATAAATAAATTAATTAAATAGAATTTTGAATTTTATTTTTAATAATTATTTTGTAAAAATGTCTTGTTTTTTGGAGTTGTTGAATTTATTGAATTGACAAAAAATATGTACAAGAGGGTACAACATGATGTGACTGAAGTATGTATACATTACAAAATGGCTAAATCAAGCTAAATAACATATCACCTCCCAGACTTATTTTTTTTATGGTGAGAACACTTAAAAAATCTACTCTCTTAGTGATTTCCAAGTGTATGATATGTTGTTATTAACTATAGGTACCATGTTGTCCCATGGATATCCTGAACTTATTCTTCCTCTCTAAAAATGACATTCTGTGTCCTTTGGCATCTGCCCACTTCCCCACCCTGGCAACCATCATTCTACTCTGCTTCTGTGAATTCAACTTTTTTCTTTTCTTTTTCATTCGTTTTTTTTGAGACACTCTCATTTTGTTGCCCAGGCTGTAGTGCAGGGGTGTGATCTTGGCTCACTCCAGCCTTGACTTCCCAAGCTCAATCAATCCTCCCACCTCGGCCTCCTGAGTATCTGGGAGTACAGGCATGCACCACCACACTCCACTAATTTTTGTATTTTTTTGTAGAGATGAGGTCTTGCTGTGTTATGTAGGCTGGTCTCGAACTCCTGGGCTCAAGCAATCTGCCGGCCTCAGCCTCCCAAAGTGCTGGGATTACAGGCATGAGCCACCATGCCTGACTGAGTTCAACTTTTTTAGATTTCACATATAAGTGAGATCATGTGGTATTTGTCGTTTTGTGCCTGGCTTATTTCACTTAACATAATATCCTCCAGGCTCATCCATGTTGTCTCAAATGGCAGGATTTTCTTCTTTTTGAAGGCTGAATAGTATTCCATTGTGTACGTACACTACATTGTTGCTGGAAGTGTAATGGAGGCCAGTTGGAGGAGGAGGGGGAAAAGATTCACTCTAAGTCTAGATGCTCCAGCACCTACCCAGGATGTGTGCAAGGAAGTGCAGGATGCCCTTGGTATTGCAAACTGTGGTTTGTGGGACTCCAAAGTCCCTATTCTTCCACAGTGCTTTCTGTCCTGTTATCACATTTCCTTGGAGGAGAACCCAGCCTTGGTAGAGAGCGCTGCTCTGGCTTTGTCCCTCGGCATGAGATGGCAAAGGATGGTGCTGCTGGGAGACCCTCAAGTCTGCGCACTGGGGGCTGCTTGCCTTCTCCATTCCTCCTTCAAGTATCTGAGCAGCTCCTGTGTGCCAGCTGCTGGTCTACGAGATGGATGGGTCCTTGGAGATCACGCTGTAGCAGAGGAGGCAGGCTGTAGCCCACACACCACAACGAGCCCCCTGTCTTCACACAAATAAAGTTTTATTGGAACACAGTCACACCCATTTCAGTGCATATTGTCTGTGGCTGCTTTCCTGCTACAATGGAGAGTTGAATAGTTGGGACAGAGACCTATGGCCTGCAAAGCTGAACTATTTACCATCTGGCTCTCAAGAAAAGGGAAAAAAAAAATGCTTATCTTAGTACCCCGACAGTCTTAGATTAAGAGGACTTTGTACCACCCTGACGTCCCAGGCGGCCATGAGTCCAGCCACCCCTGAAATGTACAGAAGTCTGGGCTAGGGTTGCAGCAGGTGAGTCCCAGTTTTGCAGGTCTTTGGCATCAGGGGCACAACCCAGGATTTTGAGTGGGGTTTCCTCACCACTGTGGCTGGGCACTGGGCTAGTGTGCTTTCTGATTTTTGTATGGGGAAGAGAAAGGAGGGAGGAAATGGCAACTTGTTGCCCTGTTCTAACATTTTCCTAAGATGGGTCTCCAGGCAAGGGCTTGGGATCTCACCTTGCACAGCTTACAAAACCCAGTGAAGCCAGCTGTCTTGGCGCTGCCACTCTGAGGGATGGAGCCCCCAAATTACTAGGAAGGGAGATAAAAGAATGGTTTTTGCAAGCACAAGTGGCGTTATTGAAATTAACATTTCCCCCAAGTTTTATAATGTCTAGGCATGCATTTTTAAGTGTCTGTCTAAAAAGCTCTTGCTAATAACCAGATGGCGCATTTAATTTCCTTTTTTTGTTCTCTGAGCAACATGCAGCTTCCTGCACAGCCCTTCTTGCAGGCAACTGCTCTAAGGTGACAGTCCTCCTGACTGCCAGCACAGATCCCCAGGGCCTCTGAGGGCCCTGTATTCTGGGGGCAGCCTTTCCCTCTTCTATTTGGCCCCAGCTGGAAGGGGGCAGGTTACCCACAGCCCAGCACAGGGCTCCTGCCTTAACTTCTCTAGGGAGTCTGGCTCCCTCTGACCCTCTAGACCTCACCAGCTGAGGATCAGAGCCCTGGGGCAGGAGCCAGGGCCGGGAGCATTGGGGGGTGGTTTGAGAGTGCAGCTCTGGAGGGGGGCAGGGTGGGCCCAGGAAAAGCTGCTCAGGGGAGACTGCAAAGAGATGGCAGAGTTAGGACAAGAGGTCCAGGCATGGTGGCTCACACCTGTAATCCCAGCACTTTGAGACGCCGAGGTGGGCGGATCGCCTGAGGCCAGGAGTTTGAGAGTAGCCCGGCCAACATGGTGAAAACCTGTCTCTACTAAAAATACAATAATTAGCCGGATATGGTGACACCTATAATACCAGCTACTCGGGAAGCTGAGCCACGAGAATTGCTTGAACCCAGAAGGTGGTGGTTGCAGTGAGCTGAGATTGTGCCACTGTACTCCAGCCTGGGCAACAGAGCAAGATTCCATCTCAAAAAAAAAAAAAAAAAGGACAGGAGGAGGAGAGAAGAGAAGGGAGCTGTGGGGCAGCAGCCAGGACCCTAAAGGCACAGAGGAGGAAGCTTGGATTTCCAATTCCAAAGGACATGAAGTCAACACACCTTTATTTAACCTGCTCCAGGTGAGGCTGGGCTTTGTGTATTTTCCTTGTTTTCCTTTTCCTTGTCTTCAGGCTGTTGTAGAAACAGGTACACAGGGGCTCTGTGTGGTGCCCTGTTCTGGTGGCCTTCAGGAAGCATGGGGTGCCCTGGTTTCCTTGGCTTCATGTCCCCCTTTCCTCCTGCCACCCCTGACTGGGCCCCCCACCTTATCCCTCAAACCATCCTCCTGGAGGGGATTGGCCAGGGCTTGTGTCCTTGCTAGTCTCTAGGAAGGAAGACTTTGTGGCTTGAAAGCTTGTCGGCTTAAGTTGCAAGGTGTAGGTGCCTGGGAGGGCATGTGCAGGGCCCTCTTGACTGATCCATTCATGTTTTTCTTTTTTGACTCTGTTCTATGTTGTCCTGATGTAGGGGTAAGCCCCTGCCTTTTGCCTTTCCTGCCTTGGACTCTTGCAGTAGGACCAGATGAGAGGGTCCATGTGGTCTGAGAATTCAAGCAATGCAGGCCACGCATGGTGGCTCACACCTGTAATCCCAGCACTTTTGGAGGCTAAGGCAGGTGGGTCAGGAGTTAGAGACCAGCTTGGCCAAAATAGTGAAACCCTGTCTCTACAAAAAATACAAAAGTTAGCCGGGCTTGGTGGTGCACACCTGTAATCCTTGTTATTTGGGAGGCTGAGGCAAGAGAATCACTGGAACCCAGAAGCAGCAGGTTGCAGTGAGGAGGAGGTTGCAGTGAGGAGGAGGTTGCAGTGAGCCGAGATTGTGTCGCTGGACTCCAGACTGGGCAATAGAGCGAGACTATGTTTCCAAAAAAAAAAAAAAATTATATAAAAACAAAAAACAAAACATCCTCTTGATTTGCTTTTCTTGATCTTGCTTCTCAGAGGTAACACTGGGAAGGGTTGAGGTATACCTCTCCACAACTTTTTCTTTGATTCCTTTTTATTTTTTATTCTACGTTCTGAGATACATGTGCTGAATGTGCAGGTGTGTTACATAGGTATACATGTGCCATGGTGGTTTACTGCAGCTATCAACCCGTCATCTAGGTTTTAAGCCCCGCATGCATTAGGTATTTGTCCTAACGCTCTCCCCTCCCTTGTCCCTCACCCCCGACGGGTCCCGGTGTGTGATGTTACCCTCCCTGTGTCCATGTGTTCTCATTTTTCAACTCCCACTTATGAGTGAGAACCCGCAGGTTTGGTTTTCTGTTCCTGTCCACACCTTTTTCCTCTGTGCACGCAAGCACCTGTATTCACACATAAGTGTTTATTGTAACCTTTTTTAAAAAGTAAAAATGGAATAATGCTATATTTATTCTTTGGAAAGCCTGCTTTTCAGGCAGCATGTCTTTGACATTGTCTCACATTGGAACCTGGGTACCACCTTCTTCTCCCAGCAGTTATTCTGACGTGTGGATGCACCACGCTTCGTTTAACCAGCCCTGCACCGATACGTCTTTAGATGGTTTCTGCCTTTTCCCAATCACAGACGGTGTTCTGATGAATTTACTCACACACATCACTTGGTGCTCTGTGCCTGTATTTCTGTGAGATGTTCCTGGAGGTGGGCTGTCTAGGTCAGAGGGGGATCTGTGCTTAATTTGCATCCTGTGCAAAATTCCATCCAGTCATCCAGCTCCCCAAGGGCTCACATGGTACTGTCCTCTGTAGACATCATCTTCTGCAGATGATGGCATGATCGCCTCTCTTTCTTTTACTCACACCAGTCTGCACCCTGGTGTCCTGGGGGGTCCAGCCCCTACCTGCTTGTCTGCCCACCACAGTCCCCCCAGCCCCTGCTAACAGGGACCCTGGCTTCTGAGCTCTGGCAGACTGCCTCACTCTGGAGAAGTTTGCTTTCTCAAACATTCCTGGCAATGTTACTGCAAATCTTGAGGCCTGCATTTGCCTTCTTCAGGCCTCAGTTTCCTCAAAAGTAAAATGGGGATAGTGTGATGCTACTGTCTGCATCCTAGAGCTGCCACGAGGGTTCAGTGAGATCACTGTTGAGAGCACGTTCACAGCGCCGGCCTTGTGCGCAGTCAGCACCCGTGGGGCAGGGCTGTTGCTGATACGTGGTTGACTGTCATTGCTAGACTGTGGCTTTACCAGGGGCATTGTCTTTAGTGCCGAGCCCAGAGCCACCCCTAGTACCTGCTGTGTTTATAGAGTGATTGAGTGTCAGGGTCAGAGACTGGGGCAATGGCAGCAGAAACAGAGGAAAGAAGTGGGGCTTCTAATAGGTCCTGAGCCAGTAGCCTTTGAGATGAAGCCTTCTTGCCAAGGTCTGGGGCTGTGCTGTGTGTTCTAGGCCCGAGACTGGAAGCTAGGCCTGGCTGCAGCCCCGACTGAGCTGGGGAAGTGCAGGTCAGCATCCTGCTTCATTAGGACATCTCCAAGCCCAGCTTAGACGTGGATGCCAGGTGACCCTCTGTTTACTCTGAGCCCAGACAGAGGACAGGGAAGTGTGCAAGTGTGGGGACCCTCATCACAGCCCTTGACTCTGTAAGGCATATGGGTTTGTGCACGTGTGTGAGCACGGCCATGGCTTCTCTGTGAGTTTCAAACTCGGGGTTGTGTTTATGCAGGGTTAGGCTTGCCAGGTAAAATACAGGAAGTCCAATTAAACCTGAGTTTCTCATTAACCTTTTTTTTTTTTTTTTTTTTTGGTGCAAATATATCCCATGCAATATTTGGGACCTGCTTACCCTAAAAAAATGATTTGTTGTTTATCTGAAATTCAAGTTTAACTGGCATCCTGTCTTTTCACTTGCTACGTATGAGAGTTCCGTGTGGGGGTTATCAGTGTGCATTTGTGAGTTCCCATGTAAAGGACTGTCTCCAAGTGTCTATAGGTGCCAGGATGGAGATGGACAGAGAAGATCCTCTCGGGCTGCTTTAGTGGCACCTAGAGGCTGCGGGGTTGGACACTTCAGCCCCAGGGGCCTAGGCAGCACTGTCCAGCACCTGTGTGCTCCTGTCTTCTTCATGGGGGCTGACTTCCCTGCCATCTCTCTCCAAATACAGTGGCAAGAGCTATCCCATCCGCCCCCATCTGGAGCTCGGCTGCCCAGCCAGACAAGATGGCAAACAGTGTGCAGATGGCTGCAAAGCTTTCCCCAGCTCCTTCTGCAAGGGGCCTGCAGATGAAATGGAAGCCCTCATCCTCACCACCTCCCCCTTCCAGAAAACCCAGGCAACAGCCACCTCTGAATGCTGCTTTAGAAGCTTCTCCCTCCTGGTGATTAAACCACCCCAAACAAATAAGGCACTGCATTTCCACCATAGGCTTGTTCACATGCGCGCAGCCAATTGTCTTGGATCCGCCTGTGTGCCTGATTCATCAGGGTGAGGGGTTCTCCTCTGAGGTGCTTGCAAAGAGCTGCTTGCAAAGAGTTGCCTAATTTTCATCTGAAAGACTCTCTGTAGAAACCAGGCCCAGCTTTGGAAGAAAGCCTTTTCTCCCCCTTTAGCAAATTCTGTGTCATTCTTTTTTCTTTCTTTCTTTTTTGACACGGAGTTTCACTTTTGCTGCCCAGGCTGGAGTGCAATGGTGCAATCTTGGTTCACTGCAGTCTCTGTCTCCCAGGTTCAAGCGATTCTCCTGCCTCAGCCTCCTGAGTAGCTGGGACTACAGGCACCCACAACCATACCTGGCTAATTTTTTTGTATTTTTAGAAGAGAGGGAGTTTCACCATGTTGGCCAGGCTGGTCTGGAACTCCTGACCTCAGGTGATCCACCTCGGCCTCCCAAAGTGCTGGGATTACAGGCGTGAGCCACCTTGTCTGGCTGGAATTCTGTGTCATTCTGGATACTTATCATGACTTCAAGCATCTAGGACTCTGTCCTGGGTATCCTGAGCCTGAGGGTGTACGTGTGTCCAGCTGGCTTGGAGGTTGTCTACAGGCAGGTTGAACTTGGTCTCTGAGTCCGTGGCAGCCTCACATGGGAAATACCACCAAGGAGCCTCATCGTGTGCTTTTAGGAGATAGTTTCTATTTAGTCATTGCTGGATCTGTTACAGACAGGGTCTGTATTTCTTGCAAGTCCTGTATGAGGTCGGTGCTGTGATTATCCACATGTTCACTTGTTCTCCCTGGCCTCTTTCAGGCTCTTGCACTTCCTTTGCTCTTTTCCTGCCGCAGGGCCTTTGCATATCCTGCTCTTTCTACCTGGAAAGATTTTCCCTCTCCCTGCCTCTTCACCTGGTCACTGTCTCATCTGACAGTGGAGTCACTACATCCTCAGGGATGCCTGGCCACACTGACTCAGTCACAGCAACCCCCTGTTATCTGCTTTCATGACACCAGGTGCCTCTCTGTGGTAGACACTAGCTCAGCTACGGCTTCCTGTTTCTGTGCATGTCATCCTTCCCCTTCAAGACTGTGGTCACCGTGAGGGCCAGAGCCATGCCTGTTCCTGATTCTCATTTGTGTCTCTGGTGTTTTGTATATGCTTACCTAGAATTTGATTAATGAATGACGGCATACCCATTTTACAGATGAGAAAGTTGAGGCTCAAGAACATTGTGTAACTTGCTTGGTATTAGATAGTGATGGTTTGAAGCGATCTGGCTGGTCGCTGGGTGCACACTCTTAACCACTTCACTATGGTTCTTCTCTCATGGTAGCTCTCCAACAGCAGGAGTGAGAGACAACTTTAGGACAGGTGTAACCAGAATCCCAGGGGTTATCCTAGAAGGTGGTGTCAAGAACATGCTTGCCTATGGGCCTTCTTACTGTATTGCATAAAATATTCAGTTTTTCTGACTCGCCTTACTAAAGACCTTAGCAATATTTGAAGCACAGTTGTCTGTAGGAAAGGGTGGGTGTTTATACTTTTTTAAAACGGAGTCTATATCATATTTATCTTGTGGTCTGCCATGCCCCCCGCTCTTCTTCAGCTTCAGTTATGCAAAATTCACACTTCTCCTCTTGACTGCCTCTCTCTTACCTGTTCAGTTTCTTTTCTGTGTTCGAGATTGCTTAGAATTTTTCCCCACTACTACAGCCTGCTTCCCACCTGTATCCCCCAGCCAGCTTGTTCTGGATTTTGTCAACAAGAGTTCCAGCGTTTAGTGAGGGCTGGACTGAAGGAAAGCCTTGGAAAAGGCTGTGTGATGAAAGGTGAGATGCCTAATGTTCAGGCAGTCATCAGGGTTAATTCAAAGGCTGGAAGAAGGGCTGACCTGGAGGACTGGAAATGTCTTTGAGCTGAAGGTCATGTGCAGGTGGAATGAAGAGGGTGAGCATTTGGGGTGAACTGCAAGTATTTGATAAGATCCTTGTCCCCATGGTTGGGGAAGTCTTGATAAGCATCCTCAATGTGATGGAAGGATCAAGGAACCCGTGGCTCTACCTGTCCAGCATGGCAGCAACATGACAAAGCCAAATTATTGATTATTGGTTGTCCAGCTGTCATCACTCAACATCTTCTGTTAGTTATAGCTGTAATTTGCACTAGTTGTCAATGCCAGTTTTGACTTTCCTAGTCAATAAAGTGTTCTGAGAGTGGTGACTAAGGCTGAGCACTACCCATAATCATGAGTATTACATAGGCAAGCCCCCTTGCCCACCCACGTGCAGGTGATGTTACACCCTAGGAAATCACTCAATTCTTTGGAGGACCCTGAATAAATGCTCAAGTCCATCTGTTCATCTGTCCGTCCATCCATCCATCATTCCTTCCATCCATCCATCCATCCATCCATCCAGACATGCATACATCCATCCACCCACCTACCCACCTATCCACCCACCACCCACCCATCTATCCATCCAACCCACTCTCTTATGCACCCAGCTATCATCCACCTACCCACCCACCAACCCATCTATCCATCCACTCACCCATGCATCTATCCACCCATTCACTCATCTACCCATCTATCCACCCACCCGTGCATCCATTTATCTATCCCTCCACCCCCTCACCCACTCATCCATTTCTCCAACCACTCAGCCATCCCTTCACCGACTCAACCATCCATTCATTCATCCACCTGCCCACCCACCCATCTTTCTATCCACCCACGCACCTATGTATCCATCCACTGCTTGTCCTTCTGTTCATTTATTCCACAAAGACTCATTAACCACCTACTAGATTCTGGGGAGGTATCTGCTCTAGTAATTGGGAACATGGTTTCTGGAATCTGATTCCCTGGGCTCAAATTGAGCTGCCTCCTAGCTAGCTGCTTGGGTAAGTTATAGAAACTGTGCTTTGATTTTCTTATCTGAAAATTGGCTATTAATAGCTTCTACTCTTGCAGATATAGTGAGGATTAAATAAGATGTCACGTTAAAAGTGCATCATCGACACTTAATAGAGATTAGGTTTTACCATTCATTATTATTCTTGGCAGATGCTGCAGATAACGTGGAGAGCATACGAAAGGCACATGTTTGAACCAATAGTCACATACGGGTGCTAAGTTCTGCAGTAGGGGAAGGGCAGAGAGCCATGGAGAGAGCCTGGTCCAATCCTGAAGCCTCAGAAAAAATTTCCCCGTTGAATTGCTGTTTTAGCTGAGACTTCTGGGATGGGTAGTAGTTGGAGATCCCAGACAGGAGGTGACCGAGTTAGCCAGGGAAAAATTGGGTCCTGGCACCCATGGCAGAGTTGAGTGATCCAGTCTTTCTGTCTCCACTGGCTGGAAGTCCATCAGATCTGGGAATGTCCAGTTGGGGGAGGGGGCTGACAATGTTCATGACCTTCACCTGTCCTCACATGTCCTCTGTGTATCTGCAAAGCCTCTGCCTCAGTCTCCTCTTTGGGAAAGTGGGATTAGAAACCACATCTGCTTCTCTCTCAGGACTGCTAGGAAGACAAGATTAGATGGCAGGTGAGAGCTCTTTGAAAATGCAAACATTCTGCTATTTGAATGCAAAGTGTTCTTTTTTGCCTGTGATGTTTCCTAATCTGTGAAATCATACTGGACCTCGAAGCTGTCTATTAAAAAAAAAATAGCAAATTGGCTGGGCAGGGTGGCTCATGCCTGTAGTCCTAGCACTTTGAGAGGCTGAGGGGGCGGATCACTTGAGGCCAGGAGTTCGATACCAGCCTGGCCAATATGTGAAACCCCATCTCTACTAAAAATACAAAAATTAGCCAGGTGTGGTGGCGTCTGCCTGTAATCCCAGCTACTCGGGAGGCTGAGGCACAAGAATCATTTGAGCTCAGGAGGCAGAGGTTGCAGTGAGCCGAGATGGCACCACTGCACTCCAGCCTGGGCGACAGAACGAGGCTCTGTCTGAAAACAGAAAAAAAAAAAAAAAAAAAAAAAAGCAAAGTTAACACTTCCTCCATCTCTCCCCTAGGGAGGGCAATTTATCAAAGATTGTTGTTGGATTTTACACACAGGGAAATCTAAGGAAGGTGTGGAAACCAGACCAGGACTCTCGTCTCCCTGTTTACAGGGTCTTAAATGGGGGAGCCACTTTGGGTTCTTTCCACAAGATTGCTTTGTAAAAAAAAAAGAAGCAAACAAACAAAAAACTCAAAAAAACAGCCCTGACCTAAATATTCACAAGGGACCTTAGGCAATATCTGCAAACAAAAGTGAGTGATGAGTGGAATCTCTCATCTTTACAACTAAGACAGCTCCAGAGTTGAAGCAAGTGGAAATATCTCTAGAGACAGAGACTTGGGTGGGTTTTGCCAGTTACAAGCCATGAGAACCTGGGCAGGTTTACCTCTCTGAGCTTCTGTGACCTTGTAAAATAGGCTGCATTGCGCTAAACTTGCAGGAGGAATCCCAGCATCCTCCTGTGCACAAGGCTGGTTTCTTCCCATCCTTTTCCTTGTTCTGCCTCTCTCCTCCTCTCCAAGAGATGAATGCATTTGGACCCAGTAGGGGCCTACATTTGCAAAAGCTCTCAGGTGATTCTCATGTAGCCAGCCTGGCTCTGGCAGTGAGTTCTTGGACACGTCTGGAGGCACATTTACTAGTGAGGAAGGTCACTGTGTGCTGAAGGCATGACTCATCTTCCATTCCTTTCTTCCATGAAGCAAGGCGCATGGGTCGACTGAGCTGGGAGAGTCCACAGTGTCAGCCTCCCCCACGCTTCCCTCCCTCCTTATTCCTTGTGTGCTGTACTTTGTCTTGATTTCCTGTACTCTGCACCAAGCCAGGGTATGGTAAGATCTCAAAAAAATCATTTTTTTGGGAAATGGGATCAAGAGGGTTTTTGTTTGCTTGTTTGTTTGTTTGAGACAGGGTCTGTTGCCCAGGCTGGAGTGCAGTGGCTTGACCTTGGCTCACTGCAGCCTTGACCTTCTGGGCTCAGGTGATCCTCCCACCTCAGCCTCCTGAGTAGCTGGGACTGCAGGTGCACACCACCATGCCTGACTAATTTGTCTATTTTTTGTAGAGATGAGGTTTCACCATGTTGCCTAGGCTGGTCTCAAACTCCTGGGCTCAAGCAGTCCTCCATCCACCTCGGCCTCCCAAAGTGCTGAGATTACAGGCATGAGCTGCTGTGCCTGGCCAAGGTTTTTTTTTTTTTTTTTTTTACCAAAACTTTTCAATAAACATAAAAGTAGAGAGACTAGTTTAATGAGCTATCATATACCCATCACATAGATTTAAAAACTATTAACATTTGCAATATTTACTCCATTTGTTTTTCTGAAGTATTTACAAAATAGTTTACAGTAGTTATGTAATTGCATCCTGATATTCACCCCTACGTAATTTACTTTCCCTCTAAAAACATGAGGGCATTTTTTATATGATCATTGTCATACCTAATAAAATTACCAGTAATTCCTTAATATCCTGTAAGATCAAGTTTACATTCAGATGTCTTGTCCCCAAAATGTCAATTGTGATTATTTTTTTCTTTGAGCAAAGATAATAAGATCTCAAGATTTAATGACAGAGATTCCATGTTAGCCCTAATGTCTAAGCTCTGTGGTCCATTGTGGCTTTACTTGAAAGTCTCAGGCTAGGCGTGGTGGCTCACACCTGTAATCCCAGCACTTTGGGAAGCCAAGGTAGGCAGATCATGAGGTCAAGAGATCAAGACCATCCTGACCAACATGGTGAAACCCTGTCTCTATTAAAAATACAAAAATTAGCCAGGTGTGGTGGCGGGTGCCTATAGTCCCAGCTACTCGGGAGGCTGAGGCAGGAGAATCACTTGAACCAGGGAGGCGGAAGTTGCAGTGAGCTGAGATTGCACCACTGGACACCAGCCTGGGTGGCAAGAACGAGACTCTGGAAAAAAAAAAAAAAGTCTCTCACTGTGGTCTCATAATAAAAGGACACTCCATTTCCCATCAGGCCCCTGCTCCTTAATGTTAGGCCCCTCCTGTGGGGAGGAGGGGGTGCCTTTCAGCGCAGGTTCAAACATTCCTAGGGCTGGCTCTGATCCCAATAAAGCCCATCGTCATGAATGAATGCTTCCCTTGCAGGTTATTCTAAGTATTGTAAATAGTGCACGTGGAGTGTCCTCATGATGCCTGGGATGGTAGTGAATATTTATAGGTTTCTTTTAGTGCCTTTTTTTTTAGTGTTTTCTATAGTTCCATGTTTCTACAACCCTTAGGAACATCAGAATCATGTGTGTGGGGGTGCTTATTAAATAAACCAGTTCCTGGAGCTCACTCCCAGTGACTCCCAGTCTGATGTTTAGGGGCTCAGCTAGGACCTAGGTTTTCAAAAGCTCCCAGCTGATCTCATGCAGCCAGCCTGGCTCTGGCTCTGGCTCTGGGAGCTGGGTTGGGAACTAGTCTTTGGTGCTATTCTGCTGAAACTTCAAGTTGGGCTCTTTGACTCCGTCTTGTATTGTCACCACTTGTATTCAGGTCTGTTCTTCCCCTGGATTGTAAACTCCTTGATGTCTGGGTCATCTCAGCTCATGAGCTGAGCTTTCAGTGGGTGCTCAGTGGAACAGGTGCTGAATGGAGTCAGGCTCTAGGGAGGCCAGCGTGTGTTGGTAAGTGAGAGACAAAAATCATTTTAAAAAGAATCTTTTTGCCCTTCAGTTGTGTTTGCCATGAGTTAATGTGATTTACTCTAGTGGAAGCCAGTGCAGCTTAAGTGGAGGTCTTGCCCTGAAATGGAGCCAGGTTATGGATCAGCAGAGCTGCCAAAAGCATCTTGGGGGAAATGTTTCTGTGTCACCCTCAGTTGATTGAACTCAAGTTTTCACTCCCGTTTAACACCACGTGGGGGCCATTCTGACTTCTGCGGAGTGGGTTTGATCAGATCTTCTGTAAAAGTGTAAGTGAGGGGGCTGGGCACGGTGGCTCACACCTGTAATCTTAGCACTTGGGAGGCTGAGGTGGGTGGATCACTTGAGGCCGAGAGTTTGAGACAAGCCTGGACGACATGATGAAACCTCATCTCTACTAAAAATACAAAAATTAGCCAGGCATGATGTTGCATGCCTGTAATGCCAGCTACTCAGGAGGCTGAGGCAGGAGAATCACTTGAACCTGGGAGGTGGAGGTTGCAGTGAGCTGAGGTTTCACCACTGCACAGCATTCCAGCCTGGGTGACAGAGCGAGACTCTGTCTCAAAAAAAAAAAAAGTGTATGTGAGGAAACTGGAATTGAGCTTGGGGATGTTGGGGGATGGAGGTACTTCATTTACTGAACAACAAAAATCATAGGATATCAATGCTGGAGGAAGAAGCATCATCCTCAGTTTCTACTAACTCAACCACGCATGAGATGGAGACTTGGTGTCCGAGAGAAAAGCTTCTTTTTAGGTCTTCAACCTTGATCAAACCATTTCTGAATTCCTCATACACATATAATCAGGTGCCATGAGTGGTACTGATTGGATAATCTTTCTGTCGTTTCCTGTACTAGGAAGGAAAATACATGTACAGCCAACTTCCTTGAGGGTTGGTTCTTATGCATCAGGGTGTCTCAAACTGCTGCCCTTAAAACACCTGTAAGAGAATCATCCAGGCGGCTTGCTCGCTCTGCATGCAGGCCCTTTAGAATTAGAGTCAGAATCCCTGGGGCTGGAGCCACTAAATGAAATGACATTTCAACGAGTTTGTCATCATGTGAGAGAGAATAGGTGAGTATTTGGATACCTATAATACAAAGTAGATTCAAAACGAATGACTTGATTATTTTAAATGTTATGTTTTTAAAAATTTAATACAGAAAAGCCTGGGCGCGGTGACTCACGCCTGTAATCTTAGCACTTTGGGAGGCCAAGGCGGGTGGATCATTTGAGGTCAGGAGTTCAAGACCAGCCTGGCCAACAAGGTGAAACCCCATCTCTACTAAAAATATAAAAATTAGCCAGGCAGTAGTGGTGCGTGCCTGTAATCCCAGCTACGGGGGAGGCTGAGGCAGGAGAATTGCTTAAGCCTGGGAGGCAGAGATTTGGTGAGCTGAGATCGTACCACTGCACTCCAATGTGGGTGACGATTGTTTAACCACCACCAAAATGGGTTCTGAGTCCAAATATTAATATGAAGATGACATCCATTGTGGTCTTGTACATTTTGTTGCCTTTCCGGGGTGAAGGGCATTGGTGAACATTTGTTTCCTCTGGAGCGGTTGATTGGTCATGAACTTCCTGGTCCAGGTAGTTACTGTGTCATTCATGATGGTGGTTGATCCTCAGGTAGTTAGGGAGGAAAATAAATAAGAAGTTATATATTTAAAATCACGTTTCAATTTTAGACCTGATTAATTGACTTAATAAAGGGCATTAGCACTTCTACTTCCTACATTCCCTCCCTTTACCTCTGGAAACTAGTTATTTCTAGGTTGTTTTATGTTGTTAAGGTTGACCAACTTCTCTTTCTGTTCTGCAATCATAGTCCTATCACTAGCCTTTTGTCATGGTCATTCAATACACAAGTTGCTTATTTTTTAATCTCTTGGCTGACTAAATTTTATTATGAAGACTTTTTTTTTTAAAGATCTCAGAAATACTGTATTCTTTAAGTCCTTCAGCATGTGATAGTGTCTTTTGCCTATTTTGATTGGGAAATAATTTAGCTGGCTATAAAATTCTTGGATTATATTCTATTTCCCTTAGAAATTATAGGCACCCATCCACTGACATTTCATTGTGCTATCTTTTTTTTTTTTTTTTTTTTTTTTTTTTTTTTTTTTTTTTTTTGAGATGGAGTCTTGCTCTGTCACCCAGGCTTGAGTGCAGTGGTGTGATCTCGGCTCACTGCAAGCTCTACCTCCCGGGTTCACACCATTCTCCTTCCTCAGTCTCCCGAGTAGCTGGGACTACAGGCGCCCGCCTACATGCCTGGCTAACTTTTTTGTATTTTTAGTAGAGACGGGGTTTCACCGTGTTAGCCAGGATGGTCTCAATCTCCTGACCTCGTGATCCGCCGGCCTTGGCCTCTCAAAGTGCTGGGATTACAGGTGTGAGCCACTGTATGTGCCCAGCCTCATTGTGCTTTGTACTAACCCCGTTTCCCTGGCCTCTTCCAGCTTGTCTTCTTCTCTCCCAGTAGTTTCTTCATGAAGAGGCCATGTGCTATATTCCATGAGATATTTCACACTCAAAGAAGACTTCTTTTATACTATTTTGATAATTTGTCTGGGAATCACTCTCTTGATTTATAAGGGAGTTTGTAATAAATACAGTAAAAGAGAAACACAACATATTTTGAGACATCAGAGAAGGGAGACACCAATTCTATTAATATTTGGGGTTAGCAGGGAAGGCTTAGTTAAGAGGTAACATTTGAACTAAGCCTTGAAATAAGGGAAGGATTTGGCCATGCAGTAATGGGGAGAGAGTAGAAGTAAGACATGATGGTTAGTGTTATGTATCAATTTGACTGGGTTGTGGGCTGCCCAGATATTTGGCTACACATTATTCTGGGTGTGTCTCTGAGGTATTCTGGATGAGGATAACCCTTAATTGGTAGACTGAATAAAGCAGATTGTCCTCCCCAAAGTGGGTGAGCCTCATCCAATCCACTGAAGGCCTGAACAAAACAAAAAGGTAGAGT